>NC_000024.10:24239247-24847739 GCF_000001405.40 Homo sapiens
CCTCACCTCCTGCCATTCACACCCTTGTAAAATTCCACCCTTGGACCTAGTGACTCACTTCTAACAAAGAGAATACAGCAAAAGTAATAACATCACTTCTGAGATGAGGCTACAAGGAGACTACGATGCATGCCTTGTTCACCCTTCTCCTGCTCTTTCCATTGCTCCCTCTGTTGGAAGCCAGTTGCCATGTGATGAGGTGCCCTATGGAGAGGCCCACATGACAAGGTATTGTAAAAGGTCTCTGACCAATAGCCATCTAGAAACGGAGGCCCAGTCCAGCAGCCTCTGAGGTGAATCCCGCCAGTGTGAGCTTGGAGATGGATTCTCTCCCTATCCTGACTTGGGATGATCACAGCTGCCATCAACACCTTCACTGCCTGGTGAGAGGCCAGGCCAGTGAACCCAAGGTAAACTGCACAGAATCCTGACCCACAGAAACTGTGAGATAATGTTTGTTGTTTTAAGCTACTAAATTTGTTACAGAGCAATAGATAACTAATTCAAACACCATAAAATTCATACATTTTATTCTATCACACAAACCAAGTAATATGAATAAATGCCATTATTATACATATATTTTTGGGAGATAATTACATGTGATTTTTTAAAAAGCTAATGAACTAAGCATTATGCACTTTCACCCACTAATAGACATTTACTCTGTTGCATTGTACTGTCTTCTATTAGAAACTGGTGAAAAGCAATCGTTATTATATATTAGCTTCAGAAGAACTAGGTTCAAGTCAAGGAAAACCAAGAAAACCAGAAAACCATGAAAACCACGGAAAACCAGAAAAACAAGTTGGCCAGGTGTGGTGGCTCATGCCTGCAATCTGGGCACTTTGGGAGACTAAGGTGGGTGGATCACAAGGCAGGAGATCGAGACATCCTGGCTAATGTGGTGAAACCCTGTCTCTACCAAAATAAAAACAACTAGCCGGGCATGGTGGCTCATGCCTGTAGTCCCAGCCACTCAAGAGGCTGAGGCAGGGGAATCGCTTGAACCCAGGAGGCAGAGGTTTCAGTGAGCTGAGATGCACCACTGCACTCCAGCCTGGTGACAGAGCAAGACTCCATCTCAAAAAAAAAAAAAAAAAAAAGGAAAAGAAAAACAAGTTATATTGAAGGAGGACATCATTAACAGTCTATCTCTTCAATAATGATTTATTTCACTATTCTCATTCTTCTCATTCCTCTCTTACAGTGTCCCAAATCTTTTTACAGGCTAAAAGAAACTCTTCAGAATGAATCCTATTCTTTTTGTTTTGTTTTGTTTTTGAGACAGAGTCTCGCTCTGTCACCCGGGCTGGATGCAGTGGCACGATCTCAGATCATGGCAAGCTCCACCTCCTGGGTTCATGCCATTCTCCTGCATTAGCCTCCAGAGTAGCTGGGACTATAGGCACCTGCCACCACGTCTGGCTAATTTTTTGTTTTTTAGTAGAGACGGGGTTTCACTGTGTTAGCCAGGGTGGTCTCAATCTCCTGATCTCCTGATCCACCTGCCTCAGCCTCCCAAAGTGCTGGGATTACAGGTGTGAGCCACCGTGCCTGGCCCAATGCTATTCTTAAAGAATACCACTTACTGCCTATTGCATTTTCTTCTTCAAATTCTTCAGCATACATTGGGAATACACCATATGGACCATTTTTAAATTTTTAGTTTGGGTTTTTTTTTTTTTGGCTAAAGAAAATGCAACTAGATTTAGGACCTCATTCTATTAGGTTAGTATTTGTCTAGTAAACTTCAGCATAAGCAAAGTAAAATACATGTTGCTGCTCTGGACTGAAACCCCTCAAAACCATATTTTAAAAACTACAAAAATATTAACTGAAATCAAGTTTTTAAAAATCTTGTAGATGAAAAGATATGATATATAGTAGGTTTAAGTACCTATTTCAGTGGTTCCCAAAGTGCAGCCCTCAGACCCCCAGGTCCAAACTGTTTTGACAGGAATACTAACATGGTGACATTTGCTGTAAGGGTGCAGATGCAATGGTGGGTAAAAATGCTGGTACTTTAGCACAAATAAAGGCAGTAACACCAAACTACTAGTAGTCATGGTATGACTACTATGCACAGGAAAGGTTTAAAGGTTGAAAAAGGAAGGGCAGGCCAGGCACAATGTCTCATGCCTGTAATCCCAACACTTTGGTAGGCCAAGGCGGGCAGATCACCTGTGGTCAACAGTTTGAGAGCAGCCTGGCCAACACGGTGAAAGCCCATCTCTACTAAAAATATAAAAATTAGCTGGACATGGTGGTTGTATGACTGCAGTCCCAGCTTCTTGGCAGGTTGAGGCAGGAGGATTGATTGAGCCCAGAAGGTTGAGGCTACAGTGAGCTGTGATCATGCTACTGCACTCCAGCCTGGGTGACAGAACAAGGCCCTGTCTCAAAAATAAAAAGAATGTCTATGATGAAGCAGTGAAAAATTTACATCTTAATCCTTGAATATACCTTTTTAATATTTCAAGTGATGAAATGGGAAGTATACATGAGCATACCTACAGACTGTCAGAGAAAAAACCCTCATGAGACTACGTCATGAAGTGAATTAACCACTTTAATGGAATATCATTTTTATTCCAAAAGATGGCTGACAAAAAATGCTATTTCAGCTTGGGTTTTGGGGGACATTTTCTCAAAAAAGGAGATTCTGTTATTTCAAGGAAAATAACAGACAGGCCATAATAAATTTCAACAATAAAATTGCTAATACTAAAACTCAAGCTTTTGAACAAAAAATTAGAATTTTAGAAAACTTATATCCACCATCGCTTTCTAAAACTATTCTGATGAGATTGATGGTGATATTGATGAGTGTATTTTGATATTGTACAATCAAATGTATCAACATATAGAAGATCTCAGTAAACCATTATTTTTGAACGGAACAATGCATGATGTTATAATACCATGCAAGGGTAAAAGATCCAAAGTTCAAGAAAAATCAATTTTTGATGGAGTATCAAAAAGGAAGCCAAGGCAACATGGCAAAACCCTGTCTCTACAAAAAAATACAAACAATTAGCTAGGTGGGGTAGTATACATCTGTAGTCCCAGCTACTCTGGAGGCTGAGGTGGAAGGATCACCTGAATCCCCAGACACTGAGGCTCCAGTGAGCCGTGATCATACTACTGCATTCCAGCCTGGGAGACAGAGAAAGACCCAATCTCACAAAAAAAAAAAAAAAGAAATATCCATAATGATCTAAAATGGCTGTCTGTATCAGATTGGCCTTTGTTCACATTTTTTCAAGCAAATATCACACAATAAATTGAATGGAAATGCAAATGACGTATCAAACATCAACGAAATTTGCAAAAGGTGTAACATTGTACTATTTTGGGTTTAGAAATTTTCTTTTCATAAAAGCATTTATAACAAAATTTGGTGAGCTTTTAAAGAATATTCTAAATATTTCTGATTTAATTTCTAATGATAAATACCAATAGATATAACCTATATACAGAAAAGCTCCTTGGGCCCTCAATATACTTTTAAGAGTGTAAAGGAATCCTGACCCCAAAACTTTGAGAACTGCTGCCTTACCCTCCACTTTCTTCCTTCCCTAGAATTTCTTCCTTGGAAGAAACATTCCTTTGCCATTCTATGTTAACTTACATAGTTCCATTGAGGCCAATTTTGCTACCTCTCTCCTATCTTTCCACATCCTGCTCTTGACACAAAACCTGACCAAAGGACTCTACCGGCCCACCCCATTTCCAGTGATTAGCTCTCAGGTGGGCTAAGCCAAGAAAATCTGGGTTTTCCCTGAGACTAGACCTCTCTTTCTGGGAGATATGGAATCACAGGGACAAGATTGGCCACCTAGGGATAGTCAGAATTCATCTTGCCTAAATGGGAAGAGGTTAGGCAAGTTTCTAGAATGTCAGACTGCTTTCTAGAAAGTCAAAGATAATTATACTTTCTGCCACGACTGTGAGAATGCCCATTTCATTGCACACTTTCTGACATTTTTACCAATCTGATAAATAAAACTAGTACCTAGAAGAAAAAAAGGCTGGGTGTGGTGGCTTATGCCTGTAATCCCAGCACTTTGGGAGGCCAAGGTGAGTGGATCACCCAAGGTCAGGAGTTCCAGACCAGCCTGGCCAACATGGTGAAACCCCATCTCTACTAAAAATAGAACAATTAGCCAGGCATGGTGGCAGCCACCTGTAATCCCAACTACTCAGGAGGCTGAGGCAGGAGAATCACTTGAACCTGGGAGGCGGAGGTTTTAGTGAGCCAAGATCATGCCATTGCACTCCAGCCTGGGTGACAAGAGTGAGACTTCGTCTCAAAAAAATTTTTTTTCCATACAATATAATTGGTTCCATCTCTAGAAACCAATTCAGCAATGAGAACTGAAAGCCACCACATGGAAGGTTTCAAGTATTTAGCTCTAGCTATTGATGTCTAAAGCATTAGTTAAGGTAGAAAACACACGTGCACACACACACACACACACAGAAACATAAACACTCACTCACTCACCCCTATGTATTCAGTATCAGAAAACGCGAATGACTAGATGGTATAGTCATCCAACACAAAGCACACAATAACTGAAGGCACTGTAGAGGAGTAACTTATGACATGGGTCTACAATATTGTTGAGTGAAAAAGCAGATTACAAAAAAAAATCTGATTTTTTAAGGGAGAGGGAACACATACAAGCAAAGGAGAAAAGAGATGAGCAGATGATGGGAAAGATACAAAATTCTGACAGTGGTACATTCTGAGTGGTAGAATTACTGGTATTATGTTCTAGTTTTGCCTAAAAATTTTCTAAATTTCTTAAAATAAGAAGTTTTTGTTATCCATATTATAAAATATCCATCACCCCAGGAAACTTAACCTTGAGCACAAACTCTACAACATGTTCAATGTTTTCAGTTTAATATTTAAGAGACAATGTATTTTGAAAGACATCTAAAATGATGACCAATATTTAAACCTATGCATTAATATTTTTCAATTGTATGCTTTACATTTTGTAATTTTGATAAGGTTAAGTTTTAGATCCATCTTGAAAAGATAACTTTTCTATTTGTCTTTAAAATATTACCTACAATATGCCTGTTTTTAAACAGTGAATGATGCTCAAAAATCACAATATAAATTCAGGCAGTGTTCCTTCCATGGAATGTTTAAGTGTTCCTAACACTGTTCTTTTTCATCAGTTATGAAAACACAGAACAATTATCTAAGCATCTGATTATTCAGGTCCTTTGTTTCTCCTCCATTCTGTTAGTTTTATACTAATTTCAAGGCCTGTGAGGATGAAGTTGTCTGTGACCGCTACCACAAAGGTTACCATTAGCAGACAAGTTTCCAACAAGTTTATCACCACTACCATCCCCACCATAAAACTGTCTCAATCAAGGGCAACACAATTCAAGGTTAGCCAAGACAACCTCTTTACCTGTCACTGCTTAAGAAAAGGATTTTTTGGTCTTATTTAGAAATAACTTTCTGTATCTATTTTTCTCCATAAATCCACTGAGACCAATGTGTGCCTCTATCTCAAGCACCAGCAAGCAAAACTGCCTGCCAGTATGTTCAGTTTTTGTATCTTTCCAAATGTAGGGCACAGCTATCTTTTGATATCATAATTTTTTGAAAACTGACACACAAACTTCTGGAAAGTTCAGCCGGGCACAGTAGCTCATGCCTGTAATCCCAGCACTTTGGGAGGCCGATGCAGGCAGATCACGAGGTCAGGAATTCAAGACCAGCCTGGCCAACATGGTGAAACCTGTCTCTACTAAAACTGCAAAAATTAGCCAGGTGCAGTGGCAGGTGCCTGTAATCCCAGCTACTCAGGGGGCTGAGGCAGGAGAATTGCTTGAACCTGGGCAGCAGAGGTTCCAGTGAGGCAAGATCACACCACTGTACTCTGGCCTGGGTGATATAGTGAGACTCCATCTCAAAATAAAAAAATAAAAAAGAATTTCAGATATACAGCAGTTGTAATTCTTCTGAAGGCTGCTTATGGGACACATTACTTTCATACTTTGCTGTTCAATAAATGTGGGGTGGAGAATAAAGTAAATTGAAAGAATTACCATATAAAATAAAATTCGAAGTCCTCTGACAAGAAAAGAAACTTAAAATACACACACACACACACACACACACACACACACACACACACACGGTTTTCCCTGCTAATCATTTTACAACAACCACGTAGCTAACCCAGAGCCCACAAAAGCTGATACAGAAGCCTGAAAGGAAAGCGGGCAGAGCACCTGGACAGGACTCTTACCTGCCGCATCCAGGGTACAATGCGCCTTTCCAGAACACAGCAGCGACCAGGGAAGAGGGATCGCTCAAACAGCACCAGAGGCTGCATTCCAACTTCTCCTCCACCAACGAGTCCATTTTCATTGTTAGTTTCTCCTTAAACAGGATTGGCTGAACACGCGGGAACAAGGAAAACCTGACTGAAGAACGAGGTGTTTAAGCTTAAGGGCCTCGGATCCGGGCGCGGTGGCTCAGGCCTGTAATCCCAGAACTTTGGGAGGCAGAGATGGGTCATTTGAGGTCAGGAGTTTGAGACCAGCTTGGCCAACCTGGTGAAACCCACTCTCTACTAAACAACACAAAAGTTAGCCTCCCTCTTCTGCTTTTCCCAGCAGGAAAGGCCCAGCCTCACCTATGCAACCTGCAGCCCCCCGTCAACCAGTTGAGGCTCCCCTTTTAGACTTATATGTCTATGGCCAGTGCCATCTGGCTACCTGCCCTCCATGCCTTCCCCAGGGTCCCTCAGAGGACCCTGGGTTTTCTGATGGCCCAGAGGGGCCTCTGGCGACCACTCCAGCCAGCCATCCCTTATAGCTCCACCATTTTGGTTCAGGCAGTGTTCCTTCTCTATCAGGTCTGGTGGCTGTTGGATAGGGCTCTCCAAGCAAGAGGTGGCCCTGGGCCAGTGGGTTGGAAGACATGGTCACCAGAGAAGAGGGAAGCCTGAGGGAGCTGGCATTGGTCTGAACTGTGGGTGGAAGGGTGGATTGCCTGGGTGCCATGAGAGAGGCTAGCGTGTGTGGGGTGCGGAGGGCCGCCGCAGTCCCCAGGCACTACCTATGAAGCTTTGGCTTCTCCCTCCATCTTCCTCCCCTTTCCCTTCCAGCCCCTCTTTTCCAGGAACCTTGCCATGCCCACAGCTACGCCCTCCCCTCCCCGGCCCTCCCACAGCTTCTGCAGCGCACCCATACTCTGCACTCGCCTCACCAGCTCTGACTTTTCTCTAACCCGTTTTCTCTCTGCTTTCTCTCCAACTGCCAGCTGATCAGGTCAGGCAAGTCCATCCCATCCTGAGAGCTCCAGGCCCCACTTCGACCTCTAAACAGATTCCTCCTCTTCTCAGAGACCTCCCTTTCCAAGCCTGCCTGGGTGGGTGTCCTGTGACTTGACAGTGGCTCCCCCAGCCCCAAAGCCAGCCCCCTTCATCTGTGACTTAGTCTGTTGTAGTGGTGAGCTGACACATCCAGGTGTGACCATTGCTGAAAACTTGTGCCCCCTCTGTGGTATGCCCCTGCCCAGTTCTATAAATAGCTATAAATTCTCTCTCTCTCTCACACACACACACACACACACACACACACATATATACATATATATACGTGGCCAACTGCCTCGCCTCTAGAACTGGGAATCAGTCCCCGTGCTGTGCTTGTGGAGTCTTGTAGACCAGCAAGAGAAAGCTGTCTCCTGACATCGCCCCTCCAAAGTACACCACCTCCAGTGAGCTTCCAGGACATGCGCAGCCTGTGGACAGCCAGCCCCTGCCATCCCTCCCGCCCTTCTAGCCAAGCATGGCTGCACTGTGCAGGCAGCTGTGTGGCCTGACAGTGTCTACCAGTCCTGCTGTCCCTCGGCTGAGAAACCCATTTCTGGATTACAGAGAATGTGTCCTCTGCTGGCTGTGTTCTCTATGGAGCTCAGGGGATGGAAAAGGCCAAGCCATTTTTAGGGTGTTGTTGGGAGCAGTGAAAAGGTCACACCCTTTTCAAGGGACACTTTTCCTGGAAAGTCCCCGCAGCTTAGCTGGCTCTTATCCTGTGAAGCCGGCTCTGGCCACTAGGGCACAGGGCCCTGAACTCAGCCTGGAGGGAGCCTGCGGGGCAGCCAGCACTCTGGAGGGACAGACAGGCCACCTGGTGCAGACAGGAACGGGAGGCAGGGGGACAGAACGGAAGACACCTGGGGTGGAGGGAAGTCAGTGCCCTTGGGTGCTGGTATCTGTCTTCCTGGCCACAGCTAGATCAGGCTTCTCAACCTGTTGGCTGTCAGGGCTGGACTGTACTCCATAGGCACCATGGCAGTCCCCATGAAATCCACCAGGTGTCACCAGGCAGCATACAGGTAACAGGCCTGGAAGATTCCCCACAGCCCAGCTGGACATGCTGAGACACTCTGGGGCTCCTCGTTCAGTGGGACAAACTACAGGACCCAGTCAGGGAAATGGGAACATAACAGGCTGAGCAGTATGGCTAAATACATTTATTCCAAAATCAAAAGCAAAACAACAACAACAACAACAATAACAACAACAAACAAAAAACAGGAGTCCCATCACCAGGGAGCCATGACCCCATCCCCGCCTCCTTCCTCGCTCCTATGCTAGCAATAAATAAGTTTCCCAGCCGTGAATAATTATAAGAACCTCTTCCTCATATGCCAGCTGCAACCTCCACTAGGTACGATACGGAATGTTACACAGCTACAGTATGTACACGGGGGAAGGGGGGCCACCCCCAGCAGCCTGTGCCCTCACCTCATCTACAGTTATCTCCACTGTCCCGCCTCAGCTGCCTCTCTGAGTAAGAAGATGGGAGCCCCCCGAGGGAAAAGTTGCTTTGGTGAGAGTAAGGAGGCCATCAGACCTCCTCCAAACAAACCAACTCCTCCAACCTCTGGCTCTTAAATAACAAACATCATCATCCAGAAATGTAAGGACTCAGCCTTGGTCAAGGTGGTAAGGGTCTGTTTGTCTCCCTGCATTAGACCAGGGTCTTGTCTTGCTACCCTAATGGTAAAGGGGTGACTGGGGAGGTGTTGTAGGGACATGGTGGGGGTGAAGACTCCAGACCCACTTCTCCAGGCTTATGCTGACAGGGGCCTGCTTTTATTTATTTTTATTTTTATACCATGACTTTTTTTAAATCCTGTAACTTCTTTTTCATAACTTTTTAAAAAAATTTTTCATAAAACTTTTTTTTACTTTTTTTCCACAACTTTTTTTGCCACTTTTCCACAGTATTTTTTATCCCGTAACTTTTTCATCCCACAACTTTAATTCCTGTAACTTTTTTAGTTTGTGTTATTTTAATAAACACACTTACATAGTTACAATTTTGTAAGAATAAAAACTGATTATCTCATGCCAAGCGTGCCCAGCATTTGCACAGTCTCAATACCTTTAATACTATAGTTTTCAAGACACACAAAATTTTTAGGCAAAACAGCACCTTGAAACAATTTAATAATGTATTACATTACAGTAGCTTCACAGAAGCAGTCAATAATACCACTTTAGACAAAAATCAGTATTTCCATTATACATTCTGTTTGTAAGAATTCATAAATCAGTAAAAGTCATTCTAAGAAAACTTGGCAAACACAGCTTTGGACTGGAATTGGCATTTCTTTGTCTACTTTTCCTTCCCCTAGATTCTTTGTTTTAAACTAGAGCATTCATATTTTAAAATGTTTTGAATTATTTTAAGATGTTAGTATAGCAGTTACATTTTTGAATAGTTATTTGAAAGTGACTGTAAGACAAAGTTTTAGAGAATCTATTTTGGATAGAGTTGACTTACATTTTCACATTTTCTAAAAATCAGCTTTGGTTTTAGAACTGTTTTTTTTTTTCATTTCGGGAAAACCTACCAGGTTTAATCAATTACTTTAAAAATAATTATCACATATTGCAGTCTTTAAGTAGGTATTTTGATTCTTTACTCCCTAGAGAAATTCATTCAGTTGAAGTCACATTTTAAAATTCTATGTTCCTGCTGAACTCTAACCTTCTAATGTTGCCTTCCAAGCAAATTGAAAGCTGCCTTATACTGAATAAGAGAACAAATATTTGGCTGAATGAGGTATTGCAAAACACTGTATGCACTTTGAAGAAAGACTTAAGTTATTGTCATAGGATTTCCATTCTTTTTAGCTTTTTCTTAAACATATGACAAAATACCTATACAAAGAGTGGTATTTGAGTTAATATAGTACATTTATTTTTCAGACTTACATTCAGTTTAAATATGCCAGTATGTGATTTAATCCATAGGTACCTGATGAACACATTATTGTCAGATTGGTTACAGATGCTAAACGCTATCTGAAGGTCATTACTAGTCATTTATACGTGTCAGGGTAAAAGTGAAGCTATTTGAACTATAAAAATACCTTTGAAATAATTTATCAATGTATTAGATAAGCTCAGTTTCATAATGATAAACAAAAACTGTTAGACCAAATAATGTGCTACTGGCAACCCAGGTGCCAAAGCAGGGAGAGCCCAGCCGGGCAGCCCTCAGCAGGGACAATGTATTAGTCTGTTTTCATACTGCTATAAAGAACTGCACGAGACTGGATAGCTTGTAAAAGAAAAAGGTTTAATTGACTCACAGTTCAGCATGTCTGAGGAGGTGTCAGGAAACTTACAATCACAACGGAAGGTGAAGGGGAAGCAAGGAAACTTCACGAGGTGGCAGAAAGAAGAAGTGCTGAACAAGTAGGAAGAGCCCCTTATAAAACCATCAGATCTCATGAGAACTCACTCACTGTCATGAGAACAGCATGGGGGAAACCATTCCCATGATCCACCAACTACCTCCATTACCTCCACCTGGTCTCTCCCTTGACAGGTGGGGAAAATGGGGATAATTCAAGATGAGATTTGGGTGGAGACACAAAGCCTAATTATATCACACAAGGACCCCCATCATCCATAACCAAGCCCTACTGTCTCCCTGGCCTCTCTTCCCCACCTCCATCCTCTGCTCCATCTGAGACTGAGGAAAAGGAGCAGGCTGGCCACATTGGGTGAGGCCAGGCACCTCAAGCCTCAATTGCCCTGCCTCTCCTCCCTGTAGTTCCACCCCAAGAGTGCTGGGCCCTGCCCACTGGGATGTGTCCTCCAAGGCCTTGCCTGAGTCTGGCCCTGCCTCCCTCAGGAGTGTGTGAGCCCCTGGGCCGGGCTAGAGGTCACCTCCAGGGAACTGTGGCAGAGACAGGAGCCTGGAGAAAAGGAGGGGGAGAGGAGGCCCGTGGGCAGATGCTGGGCCGCCAGACCTCTGAGAGGGGCCTGAGCCAGTGGTCACGCCTGGGTCTGAGAGTCCCCTGTAGGACTCCATATGGGGCCAGATGGCAGGATATGATAACAGGGTGTAAGTCAGGCACCAGACCTTGAGTCTGCAGAGGCCCAGACAGGACCAGGGGCTTGCTCAAGATACCACAGAAGGTCTGGCTGCTCCAGGGGAAGGGAAGCCTGGTGTCTGTAGGGAAAAGAAAGAGAGATCAGACTGTTACTGTGTCTATGTAGAAAAGGAAGACATAAGAAACCTCATTTTTATTTGTACCCTGAATAATTGTTTTGAGATGTTCATTTGTAACTTTAGTTTCAACCCTGTGTTTACAGAAACACGTGTTGTATAGAATTAAGGTTTAAGGGATCTAGGGCTGTGTAGAATGTGTCTTGTTAATAATATGTTTACAGGCAGTATTTTTGGTAAAAATTATTGTCATTTTTCATTTTTGATTAACCAGGGGCACAATACACTGCGGAAAGCTTCAGGGACCTCTGCCCAAGAAAGTCTAGGTATTGTCCAAGGTTTTTCCCCACTGAGATGGTCTGAGATATGGCCTTATGGGAAAGGAAAGACCTGACCGTCTTCCAGTCCGACACCCATAAAGGGTCTGTATTGAGGAGGATTAGTAAGAGGAAGGCCTCCATCTCTTGTATGCCTCTGGGAATGGAGTGTCTCCGTGTAAAACCCGATTGTACATTCGTTTTATTTTGAGATAGGAGAAAACCGCCCTGTGGCTGGAGGCGAGTTATGTTGGCGGCAATGTTGTTCTATTACTTTTTACTACACTGAAATGTTTGGGTGGAGAGAAGTATAAATCTGGCCTATGCATACATTTACGCATAGTAAAAAAAAACTTTTTTTTTAATTTTATTTTTATGGATAGGGTGATTTTAACTTTTTATAAATTTGGTTTAGTTTTTTAGTTAAATTATTATTATAGGCTGGATTAATGGGCCAGATGGATGGGGCCTGTGAACATGAGTGAGTTTGACCCGTAGAATTACAATATAATTGGTTTTGAGGGGCCTAGTTTATAATAGTTTTGAATTTATTGTTTTGTAGTATTATTGTAGTATTAGTTATATATTTTTTTAAAACTAAGACTTTTGGATCTTTTGATTTTTTAGGGGCAAGGATTTTTTTAGGTTTAGATTTTAATGATTTTTGAAAAGAAGAGTTTTGTAAATTATTTGTGGTTTGAGTGACATTTTACTTACTATGTAATAAGTAAATTTATTGGTATTGATAGTAGGTACTTTTACTAATTTTGGGTTGTAGGTATTAAATATTTTGGTGTCTTTTTTAGGCAAATAGGATAATAATATTTAATAGAAATATTTATATTATTATTATTTTTAGGTTGGGCAGGGCAACGATTATTTGTGGGGCCTGGTACCCATGTATTATTAATATATGTTTTAATAGGATTATTTATTTATGTGACTGAATTAAGGGTGAGAAAGGTACATAGGCTTAGTATAATTAGTTGTTGTTTTTGTAGACATGGGGATACTTACTATTGTTGATATAATTATTAAAGTCATAAACAGTATTTTTTTGGAGTTTGTGTCACTTTTGTGTTTTTTTGGCTTTTTTTAGTTAACGGTGTTAGTTTTTTTAATTGTGTTTAAGTTGGTGGCTTTGTTTTTTTGGTGGATGGCGACTGTTTTTTTGATATTGTTATTTTATTTGGTGAGTTAATGATGCTTGATTGTGGTGTTTTTATTTTTGTGGAGGTGGCTTTTTGTATTTTTAATGGGTTTATTGTAGAATTTGAAATGTTTAGTGGGTATTTAAACAGGAAGTTGATTTTTTGGTGAAACACAAGTAAAGCTTTTTTTAATGTTTTTATTTTTTATGTTTTTTAAATTAAATTAGTTTTTTTATGTGGGTTTTTTATTAGTAAAATGTTGTTCTGTAGAAGTAGTGGTCTGATTTTTATATATGTTAAAAAAGTTTAAAGTATAGAGTGTTAGATTAAGTTGTATTGGGGGAGTGTTTTGCTTTTTATTGTTTAATTGAGTTTTGAGTGTTAGTTTTTTAAATTATGGTTTGTGTTTGGGAATTATAGGGGATTTTTGTGTATGTGTAATTTTTTATTGATTTAAGAATTTTTGAAATGTTTTATTACACTATTTTGTCCTATTATTTAATTTTTTGGAACTTTATGACAGTAAAACAAGATAATAAATGTTTTTTTAATATGGGAAGTACTTTTGTTTGGTAGGTTGTTTATATAAAATGTGAATAAGTATTAACTGTTGTATGGACAAATGACAATTTTTCAAATGAAGGTACATGTGTGATATTTATTTGTCATAACGTATTAGGACATAGACTTTTGGGATTAACTTTTGTTTTTTGAGTGGGCAGGTGTAGAATTTGACACTGGGTGTAATGTTGTACAATATTTTTTGTTTTTATGTGATATTAAATTTATTTTTTAGTTTTGTTGTATTTATATGAGTTAAGGCATGAAGTTTTTGTGTTTTTATGAATGTAGATGATACTAGTAAATTAGTTTGTTTTTTTTAGTTAAAGGCCTTGGTAAATTAGTGTGTGCTTGAATATGAGTAATATAAAATGGGAAATTTTTTTTTTTACTGTTTGTTGTAACAAATTAAATAGTTGGTTTAACTGATTATATTCGATATTTGATTAGGGCTGTTTTAACTTTTTTGTAGTTTGTGTTATATATGTAGAATTTGATACAATGTTAATAGGCTGATTAAAATTTTGTAATATTGTAATGACAGTAGCCAATTTTGTTTTTTGAGTTAAGTGACATTGAGTTTTAATGACTTGTTTTCTTGGTCTGGTGTAAGTCATTTTTTTATTGTTGGAACTATTAGTAAACACCATTAGAGTATTTTTTAAAGGTTTATGTTTGGTAATTTTAGGTAAAATTTAAGTAGTCAATTTTAAAAACTGGAAGATTTTTGTTTTTGGGTAATGATTGTCAATAATTTTTTATAAAATTAGTAAGACCAATTTGTTGTATACCAGAATTGATAAAGTCTTGTTTAATTTGTTTTTTGTTTAAAGGAACAATGATTTTATTTGGGTTATTTTTATATAATTTTATTATTTGTAGTTTTGTCTAATTAATGTAGTCATTTGATTTAAGTACAATGTAAAAGTCTTAATTGTGCTGTAAGGAAGGAAGGACCACTTCATAAGATTTGTATTTTGAACAATAATGTCTGTTGGAGAATGTGTAGTAGTAAAAATTAAAAGTTGGAGTGGGGCTAAGTGATTCATTTTATTTATTTGGGTTGACTGAACTTTTTTAAATTAATTTTTTTAGTTGTCTTTGGAGTTAATGTTCATTATTTAATTTTGGATTTTTTTTAAGATAGAGAACAAATTTGACATGGCATAAGTAGGGATGTCTAGAGTTGGCTGAGTTTAATAATTTTTAGTAATTTTTGAAAGTTATTTAATGTTTTTAATGTTTAATTTTTATTTTTTGTGGTTTTTTAACTTACATTTTTAAGTAATGGAAAGGATTAGAGGTTTGAATTTTATTAGATATTATTGTCAGTCTTATGTTGGTAACCTTTGCTTGTAGAAATGTGTAATAGTTAATTTGTTTTTTGTTTTTGTAGTATACAAAATAGTATTAATATAATGAATAACAGTTTGAAAACCTGTGTTTAACTGGTTGAAGAGTTTGAGTTACAAAAAAGTTTGACAAATAGTTGAACTATTAAGTATTTTTTGAGGTAACACTTTTTACTGAAACCTGGTGGCTGGTTTTTTATTATTTATGGCTGGTATAGTGAAAGTAAATGTTTTTAAATTTTGTTTTGTCAGAAGAATGGTAAAAATGTAATCTTTTAGATTAATTATAATTAAAGGCCAATTTTGGGGGATTATGGCCGGAGAGGGCAACTCAGGTTGGAGACTCTCCATGGGTTGAATTACGGCATTAATGCTTTTAAGTTGGTTAGTATGTGTCATTTGTCGGATTTTTTTTTTTTTTTGAATTATAAACATAGGAGAATTTTAAGGCGAAAATGAAGGCTCAATTTTTTTTTTTAAATTTTTTTGTTAGTAAGTGTAAAGTTTTTAGTTTGTGTTTTGGTAGTGGCCACTGATTTACGTATATAGGTTTTTTTTGTTTTTTAAGTTAATGGAATGGGTTTTGGAGGCTTTACAGTGGCCACTTTTAAAAAGGATACTTTATTTTTTTTTAATTTTTTTAGTCTTAATTGGGACTTCAGTGTCTTTTTTTTTTAGTTTTTTGTCAGGGAGATATTTTATTTTAGTCACGATTTTTTGACTTGTGGGGCTGTATAGGAAGGCTGGGATAGGGCAGGGATGGAGCTTGGAGGAGGGCTAGAGCTCTGAGGGGGAGGATCAGAGGGGCTTCCTGGAGAAGGAAGACACAGGAGGGGTCCCCAAGGTAGGGGTGTTCGGACAGGCTTAGAAGGGGAGGGCAATGAGCAGGACAGGCTCAGGCGAGGCAGGAGGTGGCCAGAGTCAGACCTCCTGATGGGGGCATGTGGGAACTTCCGACCAGAGCCCGTGAAGGCCCCACTGATTGGAGAGTCCACTACTGACCTCCCCCTCCACTCAGGACAGAACCGAAACCAGTGCCAGCCTCATCCTGGCAGGAAATTCCTGTTATCCTAACATTCGGGTGAGGTTGGTCTGGGCCCCCTCCCTCCACCTCAGACTGGGGCCTGCAAGTCAGGGTTCTGTTTCACCCACGGTCATCCCAGGGCAGGGTTGTGGAGGGCCACAGCCCCACCCCACCCTGAGCCCCAGCAAGCAGCCCTGAGCCAGATTTCCCCAGGTTCCAGCCTCCATCAGCACAGAGCGGGCTCTTTGTAGAGGGCTCTCTGCAGCGGCGGGCTGGCTCAGGGGTGCCAGCACGGTTGGCAGTGTTCTCAGCTTTTCGCTCTTGCAGGGAGTGGTTCTCCCACCCAGCATGCTCCAGTGACCAGGGTGACCTGAGCAGCTGTGACTCTCCTGTCAGCTGAGCCGCCAGGTGGTCACAGGAGAGGAGGCTGTGGCAGGCCCTCCCTCTGTCTCCCATAGCCCTGCTGCCCCTGGGCCACTCTGGCACCCCCGTCATGGGAACCAAGGGTAATGGTGGGGTAGCCTAGTGGACTTCATAGCCTAGACTGCACCATGTACATGGTACTTCATGGGAGGTAAGGAACATGCTGGAGCCAGCAGGCCCCACCTGCCTCAGCCCCTCAAAGAAGGACACCCCAAGAGAAGGGTGGGTCAGGCATAAGTCACCATCGTAAAGAGGAATTTGTTGAAGAAAGCCCCATATTCCCCATGACAGAGGTCAGAAACTCCAGTGTTTTCGGGGGCTCAGCCCACGCCAGGGAGGGAAACTGTCTGCTTGCAGGCTGGGTGCTTTGCATGTAAATGGGTCCTGCCATTCTTCGGCTCCACAGAGGGAGAAATGCGCACTGTGTGGATAGGGCTCCTCGTGGTTTTTTTGTTTTTTGTTTTTTGGGGACGATTCTTGCACTGTTGCCCAGGCTGGAGTGCAGTGGTGCGATCTCAGCTCACTGCAAGCTCTGCCTCCGGGGTTCATGCCATTCTCCTGCCTCAGCCTCCCAAGTAGCTGGGACTACAGGCGCCCGCCGCCATGCCCCTCTACTTTTTTGTATTCTTAGTAGAGATGGGGTTTCACCGTGTTAGCCAGGATGGTCTCATCTCCTGACCTCGTGATCCGCCAGCCTTGGCCTCTCAAAGTGCTGGGATTACAGGCGTGAGCCACCACACCTGGCCGGCTCCTCATGTTTTAAGAGAACTTTAAAATGCAGAATTTGTGGTGGAATCTCCCAAGTTTTAAATGTTGACAACCAGGTCAAATTTCAAAAGAACGTGCGGTTTAAACAAAACATATCCAGGAACCATGCTGTGCGCCAGGAGATGGAAGCAAGGCATCCATGGTGCGGCCCAATTTTCCAGTGCTTCCTCAGCTCCATATCAGCCTGTGCACCTGTGTGAACCCCGGCATGCCAGATGGGGGAAGCAGGCCTCAGGACCCCAGATCCCCAAAGACAAGGCACCACACTTTATGGCTCCTCCAGCATTTTCCAAAGGTTGGTCCAGAGAAACTTGTTCCTGGAGTTATTCATAGACATTCCTTATTTAGAGCCAAAACACTCTGGGAATCTCGGGGTTAAATAAATCAAAACAGACTTCTTTACTCCAGGACCTCTGGGAGCCTTTCACCTGTTACAGTGCCTTGTGAGTATCCAGGAGGCAGAGGCTGTGCAGCGCTTCCCAAACCAATTCCACATGGAACCCATTTTCAAGGTATACCTGTTAATTCCAGAAAGATGCTACTGCCCCATAGAATGCAGTTCTAGAAGCGGAGCTCAACACACCACTCCACCCATTTCACAGACTCAGCCATCCCAGGGTGGTGGGAACCCAGGCTGGGGTAGGGAGGGGCAGAGGAGCTGCCAGACTGCCAGACACTGGTCAGGAGGACAGCAGCAGCACCCAGGAAGAGCAGACTGAAGGAGCCAGACCCCCTAGGAGGCCCCTGCTGTCATCCAGAGGAGAGGGAAGGGGTGGAGCCAGGCCTGAGGCAGGGAGGTGGGTGCAGAGTGGATGCCTCCCAGGGAGATTTTACAAGTGGAAGGAACAGTCAGAACTTGGTGACTGGAAGGCTGTGTGGAGTGTGGGGGAGGGAGGAGGCGAGGAAGACACCGGGTGAGGGCTAAATGGGCAGAGCTCAGATGGAGACTCTGGGACCCAGGGGAGGGGTGCTCAGAGCCCAGGCTGGGGACCAGTTCCCTCCACCTCCCCTGACCCACAGCCCATCTCAGGGAGCTAGGCTCAAGTAAACTTCAGCCACCTGGAGTTCCCATGGCGACCACGGGAGAGAAGCCCCAGAGGACCTGGGCAAGCAGGAGGAGGAGAAGCAGGTCAGGGCACCAGGGGCTCAAAACCCGACCACCCACTTTTTGGTTAATCCCCACTGCTCTGAGCGTTCTCACTAAACAAGTTAGGCTGGTGGTTAGTAGTCAGCTCTTCCCACCCTGCTACCGAGCCGGGCCTTTGTTACGGTGGTTCTATTCTCTCTGGGATGTTTCCAGCAACCCTGGAACCAACCATGCATTAAAATCTCACCTTGTGGCTCAAGTCAAATATCCCCCGCTACATGAAGCATCCCCAGCTCCTCAGCCAGAGCTGAGTTCTCCCTTCCCTGCGCACCTCATGCTCCTTACAGCCTGGTATTCGGGCATCTGAGGAGTCTATGTCTCCCCTATGAGACCCTCAGCTCCTCCAGAACAGGGTCTGAGTCCTGTTCATCTGGTTCCGCCATAAGCCCAGCCTGGTGCTGGGCATACAGCAGGCATTGGTGCAGCCTGGGTGGGGTAGGTGGAGCCGATGCAAGGGTCGACTGTGAGCAGGGCTGCTGATGCCATCTCAGTTGCTAGTTTGCCTGTGGTTGAGGCCCCTGCCTGCTTCCCACCCTGAACTAAGGAAGACTGCCTCACCCCCAGGTCCCCATGGTTCCTGGTTGCCCTGCAGAAGGCAATGAGTATCTGACCCCAGAGGCCAAGCCTGGGACATGCAGAACCTCTGGCCTGATCATAAATGACTCAGGCCAGACTGTCACCCTAGTAACTTGGGGGACCCTGAGCTATGGGGGAGCAGAACCCCAAGGAAGATGAAGAAGCCCATGAGAAGGGAGGAGAGAGCAGAGGAGACCCTGGGGAGCAGCCAGTGGGGAGAGGACCCTGTTACCACTGCCACTGGAGGCCTGGCTGCACACACATGACCCAGATAACAGATTCGGGGAAGACCATTCCATTTAACTGGCAAAGTGGGATCATTCCCGCAGAGGGGAGAAGAGCTTTTCCTGCCACCCAGAGCCAAGGTGGGGCCCCCTCCAGGAAGAAGTGAGGAATAAGGGCTTTAGAGCCATTTTGAGAAGCATCCTGGGAGTTCCAGGACGGCCAGGCTGCTGAGGTGATGGGGGAAGGGCTGGGAGGAGGAAGCAGATCCAGAGATGCCCTGAGTTGGAGCCCACAGCCTGCACTCGCTGCTGTGCTCCTGGAACTGCCACTGAGCTGATGCTGGAACCGCTGAGAGGCACATGTCATGCAGGTGCGGGAGCCTGCCAGCACCTCCTCTTAGAAGAACTGAACCAGGAGCAGCATGCAAGGGGGTGTGGAGAATGTGCCCCGCAGACGTCTATCCTGCCACCCAGATGGCACAGAAGGGCCAGTGTGGGGCCCAGAGCCAACAGCAAAGTCACCCGGGGAAGACCCAGAGACTCCACTGTGGCCTGTGCCCTTGCACCTGATGCGAGGACTAGGACAGACAGGAGAGCCTGGCGGCGGGGTAGCGGGGGCTGGCGGCTGCAGTACCTCTCACTTTCTGCAGCCACAGGAGAGCGGCCGGCCAAGACTGCGGCTGGCCAGGCAGTTGGCCTGTGGCTGTCCATCCAGGCACCTGGATGCCCTGACCTGTGGGTGTTTCTGGCAGAACAGGCCTGGAGGGCAGGGCCCGGGCAGGCATCACTCTCTGTGAGGACTCTGCCTCAGAGAGCCCCTGTTGACAGTGGGGGAGGGAAACATGAGAGAGGCAGGCAAGGAATAGGAGGCGCGGTTCTGCTACCCCCACCTCAGCCTCAGCCCTCCCTCCACGGAGCATCCCCCCGGCCCCTCCCCACCAATGCCACCTGATCCCAGCCCCTGCTCTGTGCAGGGCCCTGGGCCACTCAACCTGGCGTGTTCATGATTCAATGCCTGCATCCCACACAAACAGGTTCCACCCTCGGCCCAGGCAGCAGGTGGCTGTCCAGCCCCTGCCTCCCAGTGCAGCCTCCTGCTCAGGGCAGGGAAGCCCAGCCTCCATTTCCTGGGAAAAGGAGGCTTGGGCACCCTGGAAGGGAGAATGCTCCACACCCCCCAATAGAGGCTGGTGGCTTTCTGCTGTGGGAAGGTGAGTGCCCTGAACACAGAGTCCCAACCCAAAGAGAAAGATGCCCCTCAGCATGTGAAGGTGGCAGGGATCAGGGTGCTCAAGTCCCAGCTCCAGCTCTGGGAGGAAAGGCAGGGAATTGCCTTGGGGCCTCCATTTGTCTACTCATCGAGAATGAGCACATTTCTTAGACGGTGGAAGGTTCTGGATAAGCCAGCATGGGGCAAGACCCATGTCCTCTCAGGAGGATGTCAGAGAGAGAGCTGCCTGCCAGCGGGCCGTGACCTCCACCCCAGGTCCTGCTGCTTCCCCTCCAGGCTGAGGGCTTTGGGTGTGCTGGGCTGTAGCCAGACTCTTGGAGGCCACCATTGGCCATGTGTCTCTCCTCTCTGGCCTGCTCCAGAGTGGACCCGGGTCTTGCCCCATACTGGCTTCTCCAGACCCTTCCACCATCCGTTTCCCTTGGGTGAGTTCTTAAGGGCAGGACCTAGGGTGTCATCTCTGCTTCGCAGCCTGGAAGTGCCCATGGGCAGGAATGGAACACCTGTGATTTTATCCAAGTGCACCAGGGCTGGGTACACACCAGGCCTGATACAGATGTGGTTCCGTCCCTCCCAAACAAGGAGATGCTGGAGGAGGAGAAGGTGGGAGAGGCCCCAAAGGCCTAGGACGGAGCAGACCTAGGAATGACACACCCTGCCTTGCCCCACCTCACCCCAGGCGGTGGATCCCAAGGAGCCACTTCTCCAGGAGAAGGGATCCAGGTGGCCACTGGTGGTCATAAAGCCATCTGGAAAAGCCTCTTGATGGCCAAGTGCAAGTGCCCAAGCCCCCGCGGGTAGCAGAGCCGGTAAATTATGGCTGAGGGCTGCACACCCTCCCTTCTGTATTTATATCTGCCTTGGTGCCTGACAATGGATATTTATGTATTTTCAATATTCAGGGCAAACGCTCCATCACTCCATGCTCACAGCTGCAGCACACGACACCAGCCCCACAGCAACTTTCCTCTTTCACCTGGTCTGCCCACTCAGGGCCCTGGAAGGGAGACCCCCACCCCCATCTGCAGGCCCACATGACTCAGGGGAGTAGAAGGAAGAAAGGGACCAGGCCAGCCTCCCTGCGGAGCCTAAGGGCCCTCTCAGAGACAGGGCCGGTCCCCCTGCTTTAGAAACCAGCAGCTGAGGCTCAGAGAGGTGGGGTGCCTGGGCGGGGTCACACAGCATCCTCTCTAGGCCAGGGTTCCTCGCTCACACCCCAGGTGAGTTGCCTCCCTCCTGACTTGGGAGAGTTGCAGAGCCTGGCTGCCTTTCCTGACCCTCTGACCTTTTTTTGTTTCTCTTGTTCTTTCTAGCATCCTCTCTGTGTGTCTCTGGGTCTGACTCTCACCATCCTAGCCCCTCTCACATCCTTCACCATCTCTGGCTTAGTGACTCCCCCTCTCTCTCATTGCCCCCCATCTCCCTGTTTCACTCCCACCCGGCCCCACCTCCCTTCTCTCCTGGCTCACATCCTCCCTCCCCCTCAGAGCCCCTGTCCTTGTCCACCTCCATCTCCCTGACTCTGTCTCAAGGCTGAGGTCAGGGCAGGGGTGGGAGGAGCTGTCCTGGTGCCCAGCAGGGGCCTCCCTGGGCAGCTGTGTTGCCCGTGCCCTGCACTTGTGATAGGAGAGCCCCCAGGGCCCTAACCCAATGCAGGCACAGAGCAGAAGTGGGACTGATCGTGGGAGGTTCGGGGTTGGGGGGCAGGTTTCCACTCGGTGGGAGCAGGTGAAAGACGTGTGTGCGCCATCCCCAGAGCTGTGTGTAGGGGGCACTGAGGGTGGATTTCTGCACCAGCCCCACCACTTGACCTTGAACGACCCGTCTGGTTCTGGGATCGGGGCTGAATGATGAGTTCCCTGGGACTGCCGTAAGCTGAAAAGGTTAATGCCTCTGGGCCTGGGGTCCCTCAGCCTCCTCACTGCCCACACCGGTTCCTCCCCACTTCACCTTCACCCTTCTGCTGCCCCTCTCCCCTCTCCTCTCCTCTCTGTCATTTCATTCCTCTCTCCCTTCTTCTCTCCCTTTCTCCCCCTGCTGGGAATGAGAAGAATTAATTAAACGTGTCCTCAGCTCCGGTCTCCTCACTTCCTCCAGGGAATTAGCCACTCCCTGCTCCTTGGGCCTTGTTAGATTCCAAGAAAAAAATAACTGGTGTGTGCTCTGCATGCATGTACGTGTGCACGTGGGCATCCCTGCACACACAGTAGTACGCCCCGGGCTGGTCTGCAGGTTTGTTGACACGTACTCATGTGTGTACAATTCCATGCACACTCTGGAGTCTGGAGACAGGACTGTATGTTTGTGTGAATACACACGTGCATCTCCTACGGTGCATGTGTGCCTGTGTTCCATATGGGTCTCTATACGTGTGCACGGTGGGGCTTCACACTGAAACCCACCCCTTGTGTACATCTCTGTTGGATCCGTGTGCTTGCACCGTGTGTTTGGGGAGTTGCGTGTTACTGTGCAAGTCTGTGTTGTGTGTGTGTGTGCTAGACTTATGTGCACACCTCTATTAATGCAGTATGTGTGTCCATGCATGTGAGCATGTCTGTGTGTGTGTGTGCAGTGTACACACACCCTTGGCACCCTACACACACATCTCCTTCCTGGCTCCCTTAAGCTAGCAGCCTTGTCCCCAACAGGAGGCCCATCATGTGGCATCTCTGGAGTGATGGCAGTGGTGACAGTGGCAGTGTGGGTGTCAGGAGGCTGCAGGTGGGCAGGTGGAGGTGGTGCAGGGGAAGGTGCTTGCTAATGAGGCCACCTTCCTTGCCAGCCTGAGAGCTGGTACCACTAATGATCTCTTCAGTAAGCAGCTCCCTGGGGAAGGGCTGCTGCCACAGCCCTGCTCTCTCTCTCCCCTGGGACCCTCCTTTCCCCACTTCCCCAAATCCTGAGGCGCTGCAGGAGCCATGAGCATGAAGATAAAGCATAGACAGAGCCAGGGGCCAGTGCCTGGTCCCACCAGGACCCAGGAGACCATCCGCCTGCTTGTCAGCCTGCCACCAGGAAGCCCACCTTCCAATGAACACTCTGTGTTAGGCCACAGTCTCCAAAAGGCCTCTGCGAGTCCACTTGTGCTTCTGGAGGAAGGGGCCCTGCACACCGCAGACAGGGAATGTGCTTCTGTAAAAGGAGCACTCAGCTGGGAGTCAGGCGGGCTGGCCACTAATCCCAGTGCTGTGTGACCTCGGGCAGGCCCTGCACCTCTCTGGACCTTGGTTTCCTTATCTGTAAAATGGGGGAAGGCTAGAATGGCTGGTAAATGCTCAGCTCTGTGAACCATCTGAACCTGTTTTGTATCACCAGTAAGGAATCACCCATAATAGGGGAAAGACTAGAGCCACTCTAAACCTAAAACAGGATTAGATGGTATACGGAACTGAGCATTTGCTATTTTAACTTTGTGTTTACTTTCATGGATATATTTCATGTGTATATTTTCACATATATGTGTATATGTATATGTCTGTGTGAGCATGTATGTGCACATGTGTATGTGTATATGTGTGCGGGTATTTGACTAGTGTATCAGACCCTGATTTCTCAAATATGGCTAAAGAAGAGGGTAAATCACACACTTAAATTTTAAAGGTAAGCTGATTTTTAAAAAACGCTAAGTAAAGAAGAATTCCAGTGGCATCTGAGTGTGGCAAAAGTCCTGATGAAAGGTGACAAATGGCTGCAGCCCTGGACTGAGTGTCCCTGTCCCCTTCCTGCCTAAGGGACAGTGGATTCAGGGCCCCGGCCTCCCTGGAATGAGAGATGCACAGACTGGGCCCTGATATCCCACTGTGTCCTCACAGCCCCAAGACAGAATGCCATGGGGATTGGCAGGTGACCATACTGTGAAGTTCATGGAGCCAACCCTCTGGGCCACAGGCCCCATGAGATCTCTGAGGCCACAGAGTGTGTCCACATAGGTGACCTCTAGGGTGATTCAGGCCAGGGCACAGGAATGGCCTGGGCAGAGGTGGCCTGGGCCTGGGCAGAGGTGGCTCAGGCTGAGCCTGAGGCATCCTGGGGGCTCAGCACTGCATCTCCTCGGAGAGGCCATCTGAGACTGCTGGGCCCATGAAAAGGCTTCTGACGTTGACCATAATAAGGAGCTGGCAAGTAGAATCACAATAAGGGATTTTACTTTTGTTCCAAATATATATTCCAGGTCTTGAGTAATCTAAGTGATAATACTGATTAATAGGAGTATCTATTATACATGTGTTATGTATGTGTATTATTCATAGATATATAATACATGTATATCTGGATTTATTATATGTGTATATATACATATATATGTACGCATGCAAATTAACTTTAATATCTACAAAACACTTAAAAATGGATATTAGATCACAAGTACAACCTCAACAATGCCCCCAAAATATATATACTGTGCAGGTATTATTTTATTCTCCGATTCTCCTTGATTTTTTTTCCATCTTATTGGCATCCCTACTGTAATCAAAAAAAGGAGAGTCTTTTTGTCAAGAAATTGCTTAAAATTCCTTTCCATTGCCTCAGATATTTAAAGAAAACTCACAGTTTTCTTTGTCCCATCTTTTTTCCTTGCCTACTTCCCTACTTTTCCTTACAAATATTATGCATTATTCACATTGCAGTAAGTTACACCCATTCACTGTAAAAAAGAACAATACAACACACCCTGAAATCTTTGGGGCTACTAATTTCTAAAAAGATTACTTCAAGCAGTAAAGTTTTCTTTTATAAAAAAGAAAGTTTAAAGTTTCATCACTCAAATGTAGCCTATCTAAAACACCTGGAAATGATTTCAAAGTTTCAAAGTCACTATTCTGATAGGTATTACTTCCAACCTAACCATTACTGGTCTTTGAAATACAGAAGCTAAAAGCAGACTGCACGGATCAAATACTATAGATAAAAGCATTTTGAAAAGCCTACGGTACTATGAAAACATAAGGTGGTAGTATTAAAAATGGATTTGGACATGAAATCCCAAACTCATTCATTTCAGTGATGCCTTAGTGCTTGGATGAGGGCAGAAAACAGTGAGACTTTCATCCAGATCCAGTTCAGCATCTTACTGGGATCATTTCAGGCCAGTCAGCTTTAATCAAATTACACTCCATCCATACATGATTAGAAACAAACTGAGGTTTTGGTCAAGTGCCACCGTTTTTCACTCAGGGCTGTCATGCTCACTTTCTTGGAAGACACTTGGAAATTATGTGATCAAATCTGAAAGTAACTTTTCAAGAGGTGTGTGTGGTCTTTCTGACAAAGAAGAACTTTATATTTGCGACTGAGTTAAAGTCTCTGGCTGTAACTAATTAGTTAGTGATAAAATAACAACAATGAACATGGAATACAAGCTAGAAGAAATCTTAGACTTTAAAACACATTAACGGAATAAAATTTATAATATCACTCTCATCTATCAAATATAGCCAAGAATATGGAAGAAAAAGAATTGTTAAAGATACACCTAGTAGGAATTTCTAAAAAAACATCTGCTGAGACAAAGAAGCTGGGCATACTGCATGTAAAAGTAAAATTACAGGCCAGGCGTGGTGGCTCATGCCTGTAGTCCCAGCACTTTGGGAGGCTGAGGTGGGCAGATCATTTGAGGTCAGGAGTTCGAGACAAGCCTGGCCAACATTGCAAAACCCCATCTCTACTAAAAATACAAAAATTAGCCGGGCGTGTTGGAGGGTGCCTGTAATCTCAGCTACTTGGGAGGCTGAGGCAAGAGAGTCACTTGAACCCAGGAGGTGGAGGTTGCAGTGAGCCAAGATCGTGTCACTGCACTCCAGCCTGGGTGACAAGAGTGAAATTCCGTCTCAAAAAAAAAAAAAAAAGTAAAAATACAGTAAGTAAAATCAGGTGTTTTGAAAACATATGGAACCTACTGAAATAATTAAAATGTAAGCAGAGGAAGCATATTTTCCTTTAGCAGTGACAAAAATTAGAATTATTCATGGAACCAATTCTTAGTAATCATGCAGTCATAGCTCACTGCTTTATGCTTAACTAAGTGCTTTAATAAACATTACATTATTTGGGTTTCACAACACCATGAAGTGGAAAGCCCTTGTGAACTTATAAAGAGAATAGCAACAGTAATGAATTTGAAATACAACAAAAGAGAATGTGAGAAATTGCCCAGGGACAGAGATTATACACACTCATAGCACAGTGGCTCTTGACGCTGTGTAAGCAAGAGCTCAATACGTATCTGTTGAACTGCACGAAACTGATAATACATTCAATACCACTTTTACTAAAAAAAAAAAAAGAAAGAAAGAGGTAGGAAAAAAAAAATACAAAAGCACGTGTGTGAGGGGAGCACTATAGGAAAAACTATGGAAGGCTATAAGGTGATTTGTGATCAATGGTTATATCAGAGAAGTGGTGGCAAAGATGAGGAGACTGTTATTTTGACACTTCTTTATTGTCTGGATTTTCACAATAAGCATGTATAACTTTTGAAATTCAAATTAGTGAAGCCAAAATAAAAATATCCCAGCTAAATTTGTTAACAAAGAATGGGTATTGCTTTTAAAACACAAACAATCAAATTATGTATTTTTTTAAAATGTAAGATAAAACACCCTAGGATTATGCTACAGTTTGTGACTACTGGATCCTGAAAATGGAACAGTTAACTTAATGATCAAATATACTTGACAGAGATCTTGGTGGAGAAAGAAATTTGGATTCCATTAATACATATTGAGCACCATCAGGTATTAGACACTGCAGCTATGCACTAACTTAGGACTTAGAAAGTAACTGTACTCAATTCATGCACATCCTTCCTTATCTATAACCAGTTATATCCCCTTCCAGCTTTACAGATAAGAAACCCCTATACTTTGAACACAAAGTCAAAGATAACTATTTTCTAGTTATCGAAGGCTTCTATGCATGAGAGTCCATGGCATTATTACATTTAAGAACAGTTGTCTTTATTTTTCCTAAGCTTGGAGGCACTTAGCTAGAGTAAAATTTGACAAAACAAAAAGATTACTCATTTTGTCAGGCACTGTAAACTGTCTATCATAGGATAAGGCGTATTTTGCAACTTAAATTCTGAAAAAGATCATTCTTCCCTCCTCTGGCTCATAAGTGATTGACTGTTAGGGAATACACCTAGCTTTCTATTATATGTCTCCTTTAAATTAAGAGGACAAATCTATTATTTGGAAATACACATGTCTCAATCAATTGAATGTGCTCACAAAAATCTTCAACCTCTTTCAAGAACTCTTTATATGCCGTGCAAACTATTGTTGCATTTGGGCTCTCCCACCCAACTCGCGGCCCTCACTCTCCTCATTCTGGAAAACAGTGCTGTCACTAACACGGTGGGCAGACACAGTGGCTGAACCAGGCTACTCTCTGTCTGTCTTTGCTTGGCACTGGAAAATTCCTTTGTCTTTATACTTAGCAGCAGTGTAATCTTAGAGAAAGAACTTTAATTGAGGAAGACTTTACTGAAAACTCACTTGGGAGGCCCTAGGTGAGTTTAAAACAGATCATTGAAATCTTTTCCACAGTTGGTTTGGTCAGTAGTGCCATTGGGCGGACTGGATTTTCAGCCCAAGCACAATCCCAGTTCCTTTATCGGGAGGTATCTATACCATTCTAGACTAGACCAAATTTCGCTCTTCATTTTGATAAAACCAGACTGCTTCCTAAGATTCATTCCATAAATGAACTGTGTGACCTTTTGCAAGTTATTTAAACTCCCTGAATCACATTTGCCTCATTGGAAAAATCAAGTTAATTGTATCTACATCACAGGGTTGTTGTGAAAGTTGGATGAGTCTTGGGACTTTGAGTTTCCTGTAGTTGAAGGACTAGTAATTTAGACCAACTCTCCTGCTGAAAATAACTAAGAATGCTGGATAATTCTCTTTTCATATTTGTAAAAGCATCAAATTGCTGACAGGATGGTAAGAAATTCCAGCCTCAAGTCTAAGAGAAAGCAAGAACCCAGAGAAGTAAGTGGAACATCAAAGCCACCTTTCCTGTGAAGGCATTTGTCCATCTGAATTCTCCAAGCTGCAAAACTGAGCTGTGGTTTTGATGGATTCTGGAAGCAAGAACACAGAAGTCAAAGCTAGGGATTACCAGGAATTCCACAGTCACCTCCTCAAGTCCGTGTGAAGCAGAAGTAAACTGGCCCCTCCCACAACACCCCATGGTGTGATGGAAAGTGAGGTCTTGGCACCAATCAGAGTCAGGGAGAAAGAAAAGAAAAAAGGCCGGGCGCAGTGGCTCACGCCTGTAATCCCAGCACTTTGGGAGGCCGAGGCGGGCGGATCACAAGGTCAGGAGATCGAGACCATCCTGGCGAACATGGTGAAACCCCGTCTTTACTAAAAATACAAAAAATTAACCAGGCAAGGTGGCGCACGCCTGTAGTTCTAGCTACTCGGGAGGCCGAGGCAGGAGAATGGCGTGAACCCGGGAGGCAGAGCTTGCAGTGAGCAGAGATCGTGCTATTGCACTCCAGCCTGGGCGACAGAGCGAGACTCCGTCTCAAAAAAAAAAAAGAAAAGAAAAGAAAAGAAAAAACACTGATCTCTAAGAGGTTATAACCATGGGCTAGCACTTTTTCAGATTTGGAGCCCAAGTCTGCATCTGTAGTGTGGTTCAAAAGCTCAAGCTATGTATTTAAAATAGTACTGCATAGAGAGAATGATGAGAAAAGAGGAGAAGAGGCACAGAGATTGGGAGAGCCACTGAGGTAGACACATTTATATACCATGTTCCAGCCGCACTGAAATAATCTCAATCCTTCACATAAACACCCATGCATACCTTCTCATCTTGGTACTGGTTGTTCCTTCCATTATCAACCATATGATCTCTGGAACCAGATGGCACAGTTTCATATCCTGACTCTGGGTGACTTTGGGTAAGCCACTTAATCTCTCTCATCATTTTCCTCATCTGAAAAATTGGGGACAATTACAATACCTCCTTGTGGTGTGCTGAGAGGATCAAATGAGTTAATGTACACAGAAGGCTTAGTAGATTGTCTGGCACATAGGAGGTAATTATAGAGTGACGGTGGTTGTACTGATGATGATGGTGGTGATGATGATGATTTTCTCAAATGATCATGTACCCTTTGTTTATTTGGCAATTTTTATTAATTGTTTACACTTCAGGTAAAATATTAGTGCTTCAGGCTGTGTATGGTGGCTCATGCTTGTAATCCCAGCACTTTGGGAGGCTGAGGAGGGAGGATAACTTGAGGTCAGGAGTTGGAGACCAGCCTGGCCAACATGGTGAAAACTCGTCTTTACTAAAAGTACAGAAATTAGCTAGGTGTGGTGGCATGCACCTGTAGTCCCAGCTACTCAGGAGGCTGAGGTGGGAGAATCACTTGAACCCGTGAGGTGGAAGTTGCAGTGAGCCATAATTGCACCACTGCACTCCAGCCTGGGCAACACAGTGAGACCCTGTCTCAAAAAAAAATTACCTCTTCTGTTAAGCCTTCTCTGCCTCTATGTGCTACAAAACTTTGTGTCTTTCCTGGGGCCCTTATTACACTCCATTGCAATGGACGTATTGACATCTCTACCTACCCCTGAGAACTGTTAAGTTACCTAGTCGGGACTAAGTGGTTCTTAGTTGCTAGTACAGAGCTTGACACATAACAGATGCTTAGCAAATACTTGGTGAATTAAAGAATGTATTGGCCGGGCACAGTGGCTCACGCCTGTAATCCCAGCACTTTGGGAGGCAGAGGTGGGCAGATCACGAGGTCAGGAGATCAAGACCCTCCTGGCTAACATGGTGAAACCCCATCTCTACTAAAAAATACAAAAAGTTAGCCAGGCGTGGTGGCAGGCGCCTGTAGTCCCAGTTACTCGGGAGGCTGAGGCAAGAGAATGGTGGTGAACCCGGGAAGCGGAGCTTGCAGTGAGCCGAGATTGTGCCACTGCACTCCAGCCCGGGTGACAAAGCACAACTCCGTCTCAAAAAAAAAAAAAAAAAAAAGAAAGAATTGATGATTTTAACTTGCATTAGTGAACTAATTTTTCCATAAGAAGTTTTTTTTTTTTTTAGTCTCTTAACCCTTATTCTGCACTGACTTTAAACCAAAATCATAAAACACTGTTCTCCCATCTGAATTGTTTCTCTGGAATGTAAACTTCTCAAGAGCAGCTCCAATATCTTATCTGATTAATTTTGTTGTGCATGAGCCATACTGTGTCAGGAAAACGACTAAACGGCTATAAAAATGATATTGTCAAGAAAATTGGGCTGATGAATCACGAGATCATTGACCAAGAAGTATTCACAGAGTTCTTCCTGCTTATATGGGGATGTAGATTTGAATGGACTTCCTGGTTCTGTTGTATTGATGGTAAAAGCACTGAGTTCAGGGTCAGAAGACTTGAGTTAAGGTCCCAGACTCACTCTTTATCTGTTGTGTGACTTTGGGCAAAAATTAGTCTTCCTAAACTTCACTTTCCTCATCGGTAAAATAGGTTTAATAATACCTATCATTACAATGAGCCATGATTGCACTGCTGCACTACAGCCTGGGTGACAGAGTGAGACCCTGCCTCCCCAAAAAAAAAAAAAAAAAAAAAAAAGAAAAAAAAAAAAAAAAAAAAGGCTGGGTGCAGTAACTCACGCCTGTAATCCCAGCACTTTGGGAGGCCAAGGCAGGCAGATCAGCTGAGGTCAGGGGTTCAAGACCAGCCTGAGCAACATGGTGAAACCCCATCTCTAATAAAAATTACAAAAATGAGCTGGGCGTGGTGGTTGGTGCCTGTAGTCCCAGCTACTCGGGAGGCTGAGGCAGGAGAATAGCTTGAACCTAGGAGGTGGAGGTTGCAGTGAGCTGAGATCATGCCACTATACTCCAGCCTGGGCAACAGAGCAAGACTTCATCTCAAAAATAATAATAATTAATTAATTAATTTAAAAATAATACTACCTATTACATAGAGTTGTGGTGAGGCCAATACATTGGTGCAAAGCACACAAAAGGGCTTCATCAATGGCCAAGGGCTTTACAGATGTAGCAGTGGCAATTATACTTGCTTGTGCTAGTAAGTGCCCAGTTATATTCTTGGTGGCCAGTTCTCATCACTCAATGGGTAGCTTTTCTCAGAAGAGACTTTCTATCCACTTTATGTTTACCACCAAATAAGGTACTTTGCCTGGGAACAAACAGTCCTGGAATTTTAGAGACATCTCTGTTTTGAGAGTTTGGCAAGTGACTAAGCTTGGTTCCAGAGAAAATAGCCCTGGAGGGACCTGCCTGGGGAGCAGGTAGGAGAGCTCATGCCTTTCCCATGACTCAACTTGCTCTGACACATTCATCCACAGTAACATGTGGAGAGAGGGTGTGAGCTGCCTCTGCTGGGTGCCTGAGTACCGAGGAGAGTCTCTCTGGAATGACAGACACTTGAAAACCAGCTCTGAAATCCAATAGAATAACCTCGCCAAAGAGTAAGAGCAATTCCTCCCAACCAGGAGCCCTGTGTTGGACTGCTGGGATGGGGGCGTTAGAGAGAGCAGAGGGCATTGCCTCCAAGTTATTAAAGACCAGACTCTGCATCCTGGATTTAGAAACATGTTTGCATATCATTATTCATCTGGCTGAATCCCGCCCTACTCCTTTTAGAAAGCCAAAGAAACTGCATAACAGAATGAGGCGATTTCATTTTGGCATTGCCTTTGTCTAGTATGATCATGTTCTTCATCTAGAAAGTAAGTTATACATTCGTAGAATAATGAGATACTAGAACTTGGAAATAATTTAGAGAACATCAGTTTGAACCCATGGAAGTTGAGACTCAGAGATGAAGTGACATGCCCATGGGCAAGCGGTGAGTGGGACCAGAATCCAGGTGTCTTCACTCTCAGCCCAGATCTCCACCCTCTCCTCCTCCCAGACCAGTGAACCTGGAGAATCCAGATGTTTCTCTTTATCAGCTGTGGTCCAGAGAGAGAGGGTGTATCTAGGTCAGAAGTACAATCTCCTAAGCAAACAACCTAGCACTGCTGCAGAGGAAATTTATTTTGAAACCTCCTACCATGACAAGCTGCATGACTACCATCATCTGTCTAAAGGAGGTTTAGGTTGCATCAAGGATCACATATGTCCACCCAACCAGTTCTCCTCCTCATCAAGTCTTCCGCAAGCAGGCTGTCTCTTATGTATAATTTCTTCCAAACTATCCCAGAGAGTAAATGAGCTGGGTAAGAAACCAAGATTTTGATGACAATGCTCCATGTCTCCATTAAACTCTCATTTAACATCTGTGGGCCAGGCACACTTCATTTGGTATCTCGTTTAATCCTCACGATAAGCCTCTGAGTTCGATAATAATAACAATTTACAATTGAGGAAACTGAGATGGGGGTTAAATAACTTTCTCCAGATCACACATTTAGTCTGTGGTAAAGCCGTGCTGAGTCTTTCTGTCTTCAGTGGCATCAGATCCATCATATTGAAAATTAATAAACTTACTTATATGTATAAAACTATATATATATTTATTTATATTTTCATTTATGCATAACTTACACACACACATGTCCATTTCTAAGCAATGCTCTGAAAAAGTTGCTGTACTTTGAATACTCAAAAAAAAAAATTATACACACACTCCACTGAGTCTTTCCATTAACCTTCCCACCAAAGAGTGCTTCAAACATTCAAATATGCTGTAAGAGTAAAGGTAGAAGATTCTCCACTCTACCATGCTAGAATCACCTCTGGGTTTAGATCCATTCCTAATGAATGGAGCTCCCCTCCATTCTGGGTCACATAAATCTGCCCTTTCTGCTCTAGAGAAAAATAGTGTCCAAACTTCAAGCTAGTTTAAGATAATAAGTACTATTTAGTAAGTGATTACTGTGTGCCAGACACTATGCTAAGCCTTTTAAATTAATTACCTCCCAATTAATTACAATTACAGGAAAGAATTACCACTAGTATTATCATCCTCCTATTTAGCTGGCTAAGTTTCACACAGCCAGTGAGAAACAGAGCCAGCTCATAGCCATCATGCCACAATAACACCCAGCTGTAGAGAGGGGCACGGAGGAGGGTTTTATTCAGACACTAAGGTGGGCTTGGGAGCATAGACCAGCATCCTCTGTCCTTAATTGTGGACGTGGGAAGATCCAGTGATTTAAGCTCCAGTAAGAGGTGGCACCATTACTATACTGACATGAGGTACCTGATGGAGTTTCAGGTCTTGTTCAATGCAACACTACACAGAGATGTGTAGTTTTACTTCTATGTAAGAATTGCCAGGAAGTTCAGATGTACATAAAAAACTCATAAGAGGAATGGTCCCCACCTTATAGTGGATGAAAGTTTAAGCTCTTTTTCCAACCAGTCAGTTTGGGAGACTGGATTTTTTTGTGTTACCAGCACTAGTAACAGGTAATAACATAGGCCTGTGATTGACCTCATTTGATTGCTCAAGAGCCTCTTGACTTGTTATCTCATGACCTCTACACAATGCCTTCCTGGTGTGCAGATAAGTCAATGAGGTCACCATCCCAGAGGCAGGAGGTTTTTCATTCCACCCCTAGGCTTCTGCTGGGGGTTCTCCTCCCTGCTAATCTCTGTCCTTAGAAACCCTCCTGACTTTTCACATCCAAACCTGGTCACTCCTTCATGGTCTACCTTGGCATTTGGTCAGCAGGCTATTCATAAGCATTTTAAATAACCTCTTTTGCATGTTTTATTTCCCCCAATTAAGTCAAACCTTCTCAAGGACAAGGATTATGTCTGATTTGGTTTCCCATCCATAACACATAGTATTCTCTTCGGGCATGACAGGTTGTCAGTACGGCTTTGTTGACTGACTTTTATTTCCCAGCCTCCAACATAAGGGGAAAAAATTGCACAAGCAAAAAGGGAGGAGAACAAGCAAAAGTCTGGATGTTTGAGCCTTCAGGAAAATAATTTTCTCTGGGCATTTTTGTGTGTAAGTGTCTTGATTGTCAATCACTTTCACCCAAGTATTAAATTACTTTTGCAAACAAAGAGAACTAGGACTCATCGAAGGCCTACTGTGTGCCAGGTTACATTATTTCAACTAACCTTCACAGCCTCTGTAAACAGCAGTAATTGTTTTCTCATTGTGGGTATTGGGACTCTGGAATATTAAGTAATTTTTCCAAGGCCTTCTATCTAACAAGGGATGGGGCCTGTATTTAAAATTCAGTTTTATTCCAAAGTCTATGATTTTCCACTCAACTACACATCCCCCAGCTCTGCCCCAGGGTTCATTTACCCATCCCTTTCATTCCTTTCCTTTTTATTTGACAGGTTTATCTTCAAGTTGCATAACATGGACTCCAGGGAAGCCTGGTAATGGCCTCATGGAAAAAGGGAGCAGGGAAGTGGAAAAAAATGAAACAAATTTTCTGAGCTCCCACTGTATGCCGGGCTGTTACTAGATTCTTTATACTTGGTCATTTATTTACTCATTTTAATGACCTCATTATGCAAATATTAAACCTGAGACTCAAGAAGTCAGTCACATGACTTGTTCAGAGTCCCCCAGCAGGTAAGTGATAGTCAAAATCTAGCCCCAGGGCTGTCTAACATCAAAGCGTGAAAACGCAGTTTCCTAGAAAAACACCAAGATTTTACTCAAGTAGTGGACTAGGTTTTCAGAATTTAGGACCATGTCTCTAGAATGTTGTCAGGCCCCATAGGTAACAGGTCAGCCTAAGTGGAACAAGACTCTAAAAGCCTTGAGCTTCTGACACTGGAGATGTCAGGCACTTGTGATGTGGCCCACTAAAGCCCACGGAGGAAGCACAAGAGGTCACAGTATAAAACCAAACATCCAGCCACCCTTGAAGCTCTGAGAGCTTGTGAATGTGCTGCTCACATGTCCTGTGTAGTGACAGGGGACCCCAGTCTAGGACTCCCACTGAAGGAGCTTACGCTGTCTGTAGATTGTCTCTTAGGGAGAAATCTGTAATCTGTTATTAACCACCCTTTGGGCATGGAGCAAACTGCATCAACAATTTATGCAATATCATAAAAGAAATTATTTTTAGATCAGTGATATCATGTATACTTGCTGCTTTCTCTACTCTGCAGTCAACACCCCATATTTCCTTGGGGCCCCACCTTCCACTACTGTCAGTATGTTAACTCTCCCTGTGACTCCAGGGTTAGGCAGGTGACTGAGCCCAGCCGTTCAGAACCATATGTTCCCGATCATAGTCAAGTGTTCAGATGAGCCCAGATGAGCCTGTGACCCAATAAGGTGCACTGAGTCTTTTGCTTGGCCTGATGGTAAAGAGGCACTCTCTCTTCCATTCTAGGTTTGAACTCTGCAGGATGTTGGCCTGGGGTTGCTGATAGCCATTCTACCTCCATATGGAACTAGAAAATAAACCACCACAGAAAAAGCAGAAATGCACAATGAACTAGGTCGTGTCCCAATGACGTCGTTTGACCCCTGACTCCAGCCTGACCTGGACTTTTCAATTCCTTGAACTAATACATTCCCCCTTCTTGCTGAAGTCATGGTGAGCCTATTTTCCTGTCATTTACAACAAAAAGAGTCCTGACACAATGACTTTTCAAAAATCGTCACTCTCCCACGAACCCTTGGAGCGTCAGGGTTAATGACATTCTGATACAACTTACTGTTTCCATGTCTTTGCTTAACTATCTCTTTCTCAGTAAGGTCTTTCCTGACGACTGTATTTTAAATTGTGATTCCTTCCAGCCCAGTCAGCCTAGTCCCCATCCCTTTTTTTTTTTTGGTTGTTGGCTGTGTGTGTGTGTGTGTGTGTGTGTGTGTGTGTGTGTGTGTGTGTGTGTTGATCCTGGGTCTCACTCTGTCACCAAGCTGGCATGCAGTGGTGCAATTATAGCTCACTGTAACCTTGAACTCCTGGGCTCAAGTGATCTTCCTGCTTCAACTTTCTGAGTAGCTGGGACTACAGGCATGCACCACCATGCACAGGTAATTTTTAAATGTTTTTGTAGAGGTGGCGACTCACTATGTTGCCCTGGCTTGTTTCAAACTCCTGGGTTGGAACAATTCTCTTGCCTCAGCTTCCCAAATTGCTGGGATTACAGGCACAAACCATTGCACCCCACCCCACTGCCCTGCTTTTTCTTTTACTTATCACTATATGATATGCTACTTATTTTACTTACTTGTTTTGTTTATTATCTGTCTCCTGTAAGTAAGTCATAAGGGCAGGAATTTTTTTTTTTTTTTTTATGCAGAGACTCATTGTGTCACCCAGGCTGGAGTGCAGTGGCATGACAGAGGTCAGTGGGAGCCCCTTGCCTCACATCGGCCCCTCCCACACTGACAGAGGTCAGCGGGAGCCCCTTGCCTCACACCGGCCCCTCCCACGCTGACAGAGGTCAGCGGGAGCCCCTTGCCTCACACCGGCCCCTCCCACACTGAGAGAGGTCAGCGTGAGCCCTTGCCTCACACCGGCCCCTCCCACACTGAGAGAGGTCAGTGTGAGCCCCTTCCTCAACAGGCCACCGTGAGGGAGGAGCAGGGTCACATGCGGGCTGCTGGGAGGCAGGCAGGGACTTGGGCCTGGGAGGCCACAGTGGGGTGAGAGCTGGGCCTGGAGACGCCCCTGGGAGGCAACAGTGGGGCCTGCAGACGCTCTTCTCCAGCCGGAGCTGGGACTGTTCAAGCCTCTGGGAGGTGGGATGTGGGCCTGAAGAGCTTGGTTGCAGAAACTTCGGGGTCTACAAAGGCCGGCAGGAGCTGAGCCAAAAGAGCTTGTTTGCTGGGAGGCAGGAGCTGGGCTGGGAGATGCAGCCAGGAGGAACAGCTGGGCCTACAGAGGCCGCCATGCGGGAGGCAGAGGACGGGCCTCCTCAAGTCAGCCTCTCCAGACCCACTTGCAGCCTCCTGGCATCCTCTCCGGGCCCAGCTCTTCCTCCCGGCTGTGTCTCCAGGCCCGACTCCGGCCTCCCAACAACGTCTTTGGACTCAGCTCCTGCCCAGCTCCCAGGGGCCCTGGTAGGCCCACAACTTTCCGAAGCCAAGCTCCCCAGGCCCAGCTCAGGCCTCACGGTGGCCTCTTCAGGCTCAGCTCCTACCCTCCAATGGCATCTGCAGGCCCCAAACAGCCTCCGGTTGGTGGGCTCCTCTAGGCCCAGCTTGGGCCTCCTGGTAGCCTCTGAAGGCCCAAATCGTCCCGAAGTTGGCCTCTCCAGGACCAGCTCCAGCCTCCTGGCTGCCTCTGCAGGCCCAAGTCTTCCTCAAGTCGGCCTGGAAGTGGGCCTGGAAGAGCTGCAAGTCAGCCTCCCTGGGCCCAGCTCCGTCCTCTCGGTGGCCTCTCCAGGTGCAAAACTTCCTCGAGTCAGCCTCTCCAGGCCCAGCTCCTCCTGCCTCCCAGTGGCCTCTTTTGGCCCAGCCCAGCTCATGGCTCTCGGCGGCCTTCCCAGGCCTTGCTTTTGACTTTTGGCGGCCTCTTCAGGCCCCGAACTTGACCTCCAGTCAGCCTTTGCAGGCCTGGCCTCCTGCCTCTTGAAGGCCTGCACGGGCCCGGCCTTGGCCTCACAGCGGACTCTCCAAGCCCAGCTAGCTCTCGCCTCACTGCGGCCTCCCCGGTCCAAAGCTCCTGCCTTTCGGCCACTTCAGCAGGTCCAGCTCCTGCCTGCCAGTGGCCTCTTTAGGCCCAGCTCATTCCTCACAGCGGCCTTTCCAGGCCCCGTTTTTCCCTTCCGGCAGCCTCTTGGCCTCTAATTTGTTTATCTTTTGTGTATAAATCCCAAAATATGGAATTTTGGAATATTTCCACCATTATATAAATATTTTGGTAGGTAATTTATTTGGAGTGAGTTTCTGCACCAAGCCTGAATTTTTTATTTTATTTTCCTTATTATTTGGTGTTAAACAGGTTTAATGATGGTCATGGCAACTTTTTGGCACAATGAAAAATATCGCCCATGATCAACGTGTTCTGTTCTGGGGAAGGGGGCAAAGGCAGGGTGAATCACTTTCTTAAAAAGTACAGCTCAAGTTGGGAGTGCAGAGGGAATGGGGAGAAAACCCTCCTGCCGCCTGTGTCGAAGTGCAGGAGCCCCCACCCCCATACTCACCTGAGTCCAGCCCCTCTGGGGAAAGAAGGGGTGCATGAACTCCCCCTAGTCCACAGTCGCCTCCCTGTGGCCCAAAGCCCTCTTCACACTCCATCTTGTAGCCCCAGCAGGAACTATTTTCTGAAAAGTGAAAAGCTGTGAAGGTCCCACAATTCATGGAATGTACAGGGGCTCGGAGGAGGGAAACTGCCCAGCTTTCCCCTGGCACAGCTGCAGGGGTAGGGGGTATAGATAAGAGGAGCAGGCCTTGGCCAGGCGTGGTGGCTCATGCCTGTAATCCCAGCACTTTGGGAGGTGGAGGCAGGCAGTTCATGATGTAAGGTGATCGAACTCAGCCTGGCCAAGATGATGAAGCCCCGTCTGTACTAAAAATACAAAAATTAGCCAGACGTGGTAGCGTGCACCTGTAACCCTAGCTACCCGGAAGGCTGAGGCAGGAGAATGGCGTGAACCCGGCAGGAAGAGGTTGCAGTGAGCCAAGATCGCACCACTGCACTCCAGCCTGTGCGACAGAGCAAGACTCCGTCTCAAAAAAAAAAAAAAAAAAAAAAAGAGACAGGCCTTATTCCATCCCAAACTGAAAGGATTAAATCTCTTTACCTGGGAGAAGATAACCATCTTGCCCTCCATTGCTACCCCCACATACTGTCCATGTTCTCAGGTTGTACTGTGAGTCCTGGGATCTTCTTTGGGGTCGCCTACCTGCCTGTGGTAGTTATGGAGACCCCCAGGTGTTGAGGCAAGGCTAGGGTGTCCCCTTCCAGCCAGGCTGTCAAGGCCCCAACTCTGGGGCAGAGGCAGTGGCAGGGCAGCCAGGGTTGCGCCAGAGCCTAAGCAGGGTGAGGTGGGGTCAGGCAGGGCTGGGAGTCAGGGCAGGGGCAGCAGCAGTGGACCCGCTATGCACACACCTTCTTTTCCAAGGTTTGTGTGCAGAACATCCTGCCCTTGCTGCCCCAGCAGCTTCAGTTGGCACCTGCCCCAGTCCAGCCTCTGGGACCCATGCAGCAGCTCCCAGCGGCCCTGCAGCCACCACCAGCATCTGTTTCACCTGCAGTTGAAGATCCATGAGGTGCCCAGAAGATCATGCAGTCATCAGTCCCATGGAGCAGCCCACAAGGCTGAGGCTCCTCCCACTGGACCACCCCCCAACTGGCACCACTGCTGCCCCTGCCCCTACTCTCAGCCTCATGTGACTCTCAGGCAGAGGCAGTGGTGGGGCAGCCAGGGCAGCGTCAAGAGTCTGAGCCAGGTGAGGTGTGGTCAGGACCCCCACAGGGCTGGGAGTCAGGGCAGGGGCAGAACAAACCTTGGAGGGGAAGATGTGTACATAGTGGGCCTGGAGGGCGGCTGTGGCCTAGTGGACAGGAAGAAGAAGGGGGCCTGGAAATGCTGCATGATCAGGGCTGGCACTGGTCCAGGGCGCGTGCAGTGAAGAGGACAGCGCCTACTCGGTCTCCAGTTCCCTGAGCCTGTCCTTGGCTTCTCCAACTGTACAGGCAAAGGGGAAGCTGTCCCCATCACACATGGCACACTTGGGGGTGTTGGGCTTTGGGCTGCAGCTGGAGCATCTTCTCATCTTGCATTTGGGTGTGGTGGGGTCCTCCAGTGTGGGATCCATGTCTGTGGGGTTCCCTCTTCCCCGACCCCAAAAGCCCAGTCAGTTTCTCTTCAGGCTCTGCCCCCCAGGTGGCTCAGCCCAGCTCCTGCCTAGGAAAGCCTTAGTGTTGGGAGGGACCCTGATGACTGAGGAGCCTGGTAGCTCCAGGTCACCCACACTTTCAGGTCTCTTGCACCAGAAGGTGGAAGGATCCATTGGGAGGAAACAGGTCACCTTGGAAGGCATCCCTGGGTCCACATCCCCAGGGGTAGGGGCTGTAGGGGGCCCGCTCTGCTGCCTTGACCAGACTCCTGGGCTTTGAAGGCTCCTGGGCCCAGTAAGAAGGAGGTGGGTGCCAAGATTGAGGAGGAAGCATCCGAGTATGTGTAGGAGGAGGACAGGGTGGGACCATAGACTTTGCCAAAAGCTGCAGGTGGATCGGGGGACCCTGGGGGCTCAGGATCCAGCAAGGGGCAGCAGGAGTAAAGGAGGAAGGAATGACAGGTGCAAATACCTTCCCACTAAAGCCCTTGTTGCCCTCTGGCTCCTCCCCAGAGTTGTCCCCACTCTCAGTCGGTCACCCACTCCTTGAACTTGAGATCAGTGTCAGTGGTGCTAAAGCCATCATCAGCAATGACATCATCACACCCTATTCCTCATGGATGACCGTGTGCTCCTTGTCACTCGCTATGTCCTCACTGGCCATGTGCTGGGAATGACCAGCTCAGGTGGGCAGCAGCAGGGCTGCCCACTGGTCACCTCCCTCACCAGGGGCTGCAAAGTGGCCTGGAGCTCCATACTGAGTAGAAGGCTTTGGGCCAGAGTATGATGCAGTGCCAGATACCACCTGTGTCAGTTCCTGTAGTGCCTGATGGTCTATTTCCCTGCCATCCAGGCTGTGTACCCCCCTGTGGGAGAAGGCTTGGGCCAGGCTGAGCCAGGTTCCCTGACTGTGTGCAGCCATTCTGCCCCACAGAAGCTGCTCCTTGGTATCCGAGCTCTGGAGTGTTTGGGCTGCAACTGACAGGAGTTCAGAGGACACCCCAGGGGCAGTGGCAGTGCCAGTCTCTGACATGCTCCACTCCCACGAGCCTTTGTTACACTCCTGCTAGCCCCTGGCTTGTGGGCTTGGCCTCTGAGCTGAACTTCTTTCAGTCCTTATTGCAAGTGGGCCACCTTCACCTGGAAGGCCAGTTCATGGTATTTCTGCCTCTCATTGGGCCCCAGGGTGTACCACCACTTGCTCAGCATCTGGCTGACGGTCCAGTTATCCTGGTTGGGGTGACCCTGGTGTGCCCTGCCAGGCCTGGTGCCGCTTGCTGAAGATCATGACCGCCACTCATGGGACACCGGATGTGGTCCTTGTCCCATTTGTTGGGGCTGCGTCCATCCTTCTCAGAAGATGAGCCCTGTTCCTTGTGCAGGGCACTGAGGAACTGGGCCTGACATCATCTGAGTGGTAGAGGCAACTGGGTGTCAGGAGACATGATGGAGAGGAAAGCATCATCATGGTCATTCTCTGTCTCACTGTCCAGCAGGGACTCCCCTGAGGGGCCCAGGGCTCCTCCTCCATGGTGGGAGATGAGCTTTTACCAGGTTCCACCACCCCCAAAGTGTGTGGGGTTGCGGGCCCTGGGCTTTCAGGGCAGGTGGCTCCAGGGGGCCGCCCAGGGTCAACACTCCCTGTCCCACCTGGTGGATGCTCGTGAGCAACAGCTGCCAACTTGGCAGGTTGTTTTCTCTGGTTGGAGGCCACTGAGTGACTGGCAGGTTGCTGGGCCTCGTGTGGCTGCAGGGAGGGTTCAGGAAGGGGATGGAGTACCAGGGGAACATGGCCACAGAATGACCTTCCACATTGCTCCACACGAACATGCTGACGCCACGGGAGGCCTCACTGAACGCAGGCCTGGGGGCTGAGTACTTGGTCTGGGCACAGGGTTCCTGGCAGGGGCCCACACCTCCTTGCCCCCTCCTCAGCCAAGGTGGCTTGGGCCCAGAGAAGGGGGGGTTGGAGAGGAGCAGAAGGACAGACCTCAAGTTTTGTTTTTTTGTTTGTTTTGTTTTTTGTTTTTGAAATGTAGTTTGACTCTTGTCACCCAGGCTGGAGTGCAGTGGCACGATCTCAGTGGCCTTCATACCTGGCGATTTGTTGTATTTTTACTGGAGGTGGGGTTTTGCCATGTTGGCCAGGCTGGTCTTGACCTCCTGACCTCGGGTGATCCACCCACCTCGGCCTCCCAAAATGGGATTACAGGCATGAGCCACCGCTCCTAACTTCATTCATTTTTACTTGAAAAACTCCGTTAAGCATTTTTTTTAAGGTAGACCTAGTGGTCCTGAATGCCCTCAGCTTTGTTTGTCGAGGAAACATGTTATTTCTTCTTTCTATCTGAAGGACAGCTTTGTCAGACATAGTATTAGTTGCTGGCAGTTTTTTTCTTTCAGCACTTTGAATGTATTATTCGATTCTGTCCTGACCTGCAAAGTTTCTTTAACTTTTGACTATTTGATTATATTGTGACTTGGTGAGTATCTATTTGGTTTGAACCTCTTTAGGAATCTTTAAGCTTCATGGGTTTAGATGTCTAAATCTTTCCTATGATTTAGGCAGTTTTCAGCCATTCTTTAAATAAGCTTTCTTGTCCTTTCTCTACTTTCCTTCTCAAACTCCCATAACCTGACAATGGTTTGCCTAATGGTGTCTTGTGGGCTTTCTTTTCTCTGTCTCTTTTATTTTCTTTTTTCTTTTTTCTTTTTTTTTTTTTTTGAGACAGAGTCTTGCTCTGTCACCCAGGCTGGAGTGCAATGTGTGGTCTTGGCTCACATTGCACTCCAACCTCTGCCTCCTGGGTTCAAGCGATTCTCCTGACTCAGCCTCCCAAGTAGCTGGGACTACAGGTATGTGCCACCACACACGGCTTATTTTTGTATTTTTAGTAGAGATGGGGTTTTGTCATGTTGGCCAGGCTGGTCTTGAACTCCTGACCTCTTAATCTGCCTGCCTTGGCCTACCAAAGTGTTGGGATTACAGGCTTGAGCCACCATGCCCAGCCTTCTTTTCTCTTTTTTATTCTTTTTTTCTTTATCCTCTGACTGGATAATTTCAGAAGATCTATATTCAAGTTTACAGATTCTCTCTCCTGTTGAAGTTTACTATTGTGTTATATCACCCAGTCTGGTCCTGAACTCCTGGGCTCAAGCGATCCTCCCACCTTGGCCTCCCAAAGTGCTGAGTTTACAAGCATGAGCCACTGCATCCAGTCAGTCCCAGCACTTTGGGAAGCTGAGGTGGGAGGATCACTTGAGCTCAGGAGTTTGAGACCAGCCTGGACAATATACTGAGAACTTGTCTCTATATTAAAAAAGAAAAAAAGTCTTTGGGAGGCCAAAGTGGGAGGATCACCTGAGGTCAGGAGTTCAAGACCAGACTGGCCAACATGGCAAAACCCCATTTCTACTAAAAATACAAAAATTAGCCAGGTGTGGTGGCACACGCCTGTAGTGGTGGTGCATGCCTGTAGTCCCAGCTACTCAAGAGGCTGAGGCAGGAGAATCACTTGAACTGGGAGATGGGGGTTGCAGTGAGCTGAGATCGCACCAGTGCACTCCAGCCTGGGCAACAGAGTGAGACTCCATCTTATAAAAGGAAAAAAGAAAGAAAAGAAAAATTCCATATCTGAGTGTTTACTCCTGAGTTTTTGAGATTATTAGTAAGATCATGCTCTACTGTGATGATTTGGGTTTGTTTGATAATCAGAAAAAAGCATATTCTTTTGGGTGTTCAGCCACACTGCTTTGGTGTCACAACTGCACATTGGTTTCACAGCTGCAGGACAAGTTCGAGCATCTTAAAATGATTCAGCAGGAGGAGATAAGGAAGCTCGAGGAAGAGAAAAAACAACTGGAAGGAGAAATCATAGATTTTTATAAAATGAAAGCTGCCTCTGAAGCACTGCAGACTCAGCTGAGCACTGATACAAAGAAAGACAAACATCGTAAGAAACAATAATTTCTCTTACTATTCTGAAAGCCTTATCATTCTGCATCCCATCTTCCTGTGAGATTGTCTTTGTAGCATTTAACTCTAATTGCAGTTCTCATTTTAAAAATTGGCTTGCTTATTGTATATTTTCCCCAACTAAAGTGTGAACTCCTAGCAGGGCGTGGTGGCTCATGCCTGTAATCTCAGCACTGTGGGAGGCCGAGGTGGGTCGACTACCTGAGGTTAGGAGTTCGAGACCAGCCTGACCAACATGATGAAACGCTGTCTCTACTAAAAATACAAAAATTAGCTAGGCGTGGTGGCTGGGACCTGTAATCCCAGCTACTTGGGAGGCTGAGGCAGGAGAATCACTTGAACCCTGGAGGTGGAGGTTGCAGTGAGCAGAGAGCTCACCATTACACTCCAGCCTGGGTGACAAGAGCAAAACTCCATCTCAAAAAAAAAAAAAAAAAAAAAAAAAAAGAAAGGGTGAACTTGAAGGCAGGTCCTGTGTCCATGTTTTCAGATTCTGTATCCCAGCACTTAGGACATAGACAAACACGAAGATGACAATCAATATTTGCCAAAATGAAAAAAACAAAAGAAACATGTAACATCATGTAAAAGAAGCTGGTTAGGTGGAGAAATTTCTTTACCATAGTCTTGCTTGTGGATCCAGTAGTGACTTTTACGTTTTATATCTAAATAGAAGCTGGAGGCTTTGTTGGGGACTCATAGGCATAAAATATTATTTATTATAGAGTTAAATGCTACAAAGACAAATCTAATTAATAGGCCTATTTTCCTTTTTAAATTCTACTCATAATTTCTTCATAGTTTTTATGATAAAAGGTTGGATTTTGATTAGAACTCCCATGCTATTGTGTCAGAATTAAAACTGATATTAGAATAAATAATTCAAAAGCTAGAGAAAGAGTACAATGAGAAGCCATGAGTTGCATTTGAATTATAATATTATGTCTTACAGATTTGGGGTATATGCTAAAGTTACCAAAGTTGTAGAAAATAAGGCCAGGCATTGTGGCTCACATCTGTAATTCCAGCACTTTAGGAGGTCGAGGTGGGCGGATCATTTGAGGTCAGGAGTTCGAGACCAGCCTGGCCAACATGGTGAAACTCCGTCTGTACTAATAGTACAAAAATTAGCCAGGCGTGATGGTGTGCACCTGTAGTCCTTGCTACTCAGAAAGCTGAGGCAGGAGAATCGCTTGTACCCAGGAGGCAGAAGTTGCAGTGAGCAGAGATTGTGCCACTGCACTCCAGCCTGGGTGACAGACTGCTATGAGTCACCACATCTGGTATGAGCCACCGTGCCTGGCCCACAATGACTTTTACACATGTTGTTAAATCATCTTACAGATTTTATAATTTGGGGGAAGAAAAGTTTTACTAAATGGTCTTTTAATGGAAACTCTACAAGAACCAGAATCTTTGCTTTGTTCACTTATGTATCCATTCCTAGGCCTAGAAAAATGTCTGACACATAGCAGCAATTATTCATTGAATAAATGGACCCAGTGATAGTACATTAGCTATGCTATATGCATACATTAAAGATGTAGATTATCGACTTTCAAAAGATAATTAATGTAACTTCTTACTGCTTCTGAACATGTTTGTGGGTTATATTGCTGAGGGACCTTTAACTTCTCATTCTTTCATCTTAACCCAGTGTTATAAAATTGAAATCACCAATATTATTCCATATCTAAAATTAATATCTACCTTGTAAAAAAATCACTCTGCTGCATTTGAGAATAGACTTTTTAGGTAATAATGATGCAATCCATAGGGTTTTTTGGGGTCACAGAGGGATTCATGCTAACAGAACATTTTATTTTCTATTTTCCCAGAGCTGTAAAACATGAAATTATGGTAGTATAAGGCATATTTTTACTCTTTTTATAATTTTTTCTAAAAAAAATTAGTGTTTGTTCCCTATATAACTTTTAACTTTATAGGTAAATATTTGTCTCTTTCAGCTCCAGTTTTATGTGAAATAGAGTTTTCAGTTTTATGTAGCATGGAAAGTTTTAATACATCAGAGTTACTGATTTTTGCCAATCATTTTCTCAATTATTTCTTTTTTATCTTTAGTTGATTTTTTTGTAGTGACACATTTTGTTTCTAGTCTCATTTCCTTTTGTTTATATTCTATGTATATTTCATTTTTGGTTACTATGAGAATTACATCCTAGAGTTATAACATTTTAATTTGAATTTATTTCAACTTAAGTTCAATCGCATTCCAAAATTCGACTGCTATATATATAGCTCTACTCTTTTTATGTTATTGATGTAACAAATTATATCTTTATTCATTGTATACCAGCTAACAGATTTACAATTACATTTTATGCATTTGCCTTTTAAATTATGTAGAAAATAAAAAGCAGAGTTGCAAACCAAAATAACAATAGGACTGTTTTTATGTTTGTTTATGTATTTACCTTTACCAGAGAGCTTTGTATATTCACACAGCTTGCTTATTTACTTATATAGTTATTGCCTAGAGTTCATTTATTTCAACCTGAAGGACTTAACACTTCTTGAATGGCAAATTCAGGGATAAATGGATTTTTTTCAGTTTAAAAAAAAAATCCGGAAATGTCTTAATTTCTCCTTCATTTTTGAAGGATAAGTTTTCCAGCTATAGATTTCTCAATTGACAGGTTTCTTCATTATTTTAAATATATAATCCACTGCCTACTGGCCTTCAAGGTTTCTGCTGAGAAATCAGCTGCTAATGTTATCTGGATCCCTATCTGTGACAGTTGCTCTTCTCTCTGAGTTTTCAACATTCTCCCATTATCTTTTTTTTTGTTTGTTTTTGAGACAAATAATTGTACATATTCATGGGATACAGAGTGATATTTTGATACATGTATACAATGTCCAATGATCAAATAAGGATAATTAGCATATCCATCACCTCAAATATTTGTCATTTATTTGTATTGTGAACAGTCAACATTCTTTCTTCTAGTTTTTTAAATTTATAAACATTTAAATTTTATTACAGAAATTTAATTTTTTTGATTCTGAAAAAGTCATATATGTATGCAACATCTTTTTATCATTTATTTATATATTTATGCATCTTTCCTTTTAGTTTTGACAGAGATTTTCTATTTTATCATTATTTCAAAAGAACTCTTACCTGTATTTATCAATTATATTTCCCTTGTTTTTTCCTAGTATATTAATTTATTTACTTATCTTCTAAAAATCCTCCATATAATCTGTTTATTTTGTTTCCTTTCTATAATTTCTTCCATGATTAGTTCTGTTCTATTTTCCATTAAAATATTTAACTCTTGTATGAATTTTTGTCAGGTTAGAAATTTAGGGCATTTCTTAATTTCTCTATATTCTAGCTTTTGACTTTTTTTTTTCTGACCTAAGAAGTATTTAGAGCACATTTTAGATTTTTTATTTTGACTAATCATTTAAAATGTATACTAATCTTCAATTTAAATAAAAAACTGGTCTATAGTGACAAAAATTACAAATGAGCCTAACTAATAAATTATCAGCTGTGTTTATATGTATAGGCATGCACAGATTTTGGTAAATATGTACCTAGTATATTGGTGAGCTTATTTTTATCATTCTTAACTCATTGTGTAGTATAAACATTGGGGAAAAAATAAAATACAATAATCAGATGGTGTGAATAAGAAAATTGTTCTAATGTTTGTAAATGAAGCAACTGTTTTAACTGCTCCTCTCTTCCTGATTGACTTCTAAAAGGGATTAATCCATATTGGGTCCTATCATATATGTCACGGTATAACATCTCCAGCTATAAAATGGAAATTTAAGAATAACTTTGCTGCTACTCAGATACATTTTATTTCAAAAACATACACTAAGATGTTGCTATTGGATCTTTCCAAAAACATATTCACACAGAACTTTCAATCACACTGAGCCATATTTGAACAATCTTTCAAGGTCAGCTCCGGCATAAGCTAACATTATACCATTTAACTCAGAAATTTCTTTAGTATTTGATTAATGGGTTTATGTTTGATATGTAATGTAATTTTCTAATGCTAAATCAAGTGGTAATTTTGTTAGTCAAGTTGATTTAGTGGCTTGGGAAGAAAGCTTTTAATGTTCCCCTAATTTTTCTTACCTTTGACATGATCCTTCACATGTCTTATTTTGCTTAGTAATTTTTCTTTTTTTTTTTTTTTTTTTGAGACAGGGTCTTACTCTACCACCCAGGCTTGAGTGCAGTGGTGCGATCACAGCTCATTGCAGCCTTGACCTCCCAGACTCAAGCTATTCTTCAACCTAGCCTCCCAAGTAGCTGGTACTACAGGCACATGCCACCAAATTTGGCTAATTTTTGTATTTTTTGTAGAGACAGAGTTTTGCCAAATTCTCAGGCTGGTCTGGAATTTCTGGGCTCAAGTAATCCTGCCTTGGCCTCCCAACATGCTGATATTACAGACATAAGCCACAGTACCTGGCCAGTTTTCTTTTTTAAAAAATCTATTGGTTATTAATTTGAAGCCTTCCTTTTCATAGCTGTGCTCCTTAATTGGGAGCAAACATGAATGGACCACAACTTAGCCAATTTTCTATATACGATCTTTGCAATCCTAATTTAAAGGAATATTAATTCTTTCTTTTCCTCTTTCATTCCACAAACCTGTATTGACTACATCTAAGTTCTAAATGGTGCACTGGATGTTGAAAAAGTTGATGATGAGCAAGAACAAAATTCCTCCTTTCAGGAGACTTACAGTTCAATATGGGAAAATAATTTGTTAAAATATAAAAGTGCAATTGTGTTACATGCTGTACGAAGTACATGATGACATGTGAGCATGTAATAAATGGGCTGGAGGCCAGAGTATTGCCAAAGAGAATGGGCCTCCTGCTGAGATGAAAAGTTGAGCAGGGATTAGTTGGCGAAAGTGGAGGGACGATCCTTTCTAGGCAGGAGGAAGAACATGTACAGAATCTCTGAGGTGTGATGCAACAAAGTCTATATAAAAAACTGAAGAAAGGTCTAATGTGGCTTAAATACAGAAGCTAGTAGGAGAGGAGTTGAAAAGAGGCTGGAGAAGTAGAAAGTGTCTCCATTCTGCAGGAACTTATATTGTATAAAAAGAATTTCTCTTTATTCTAAGTGCAATGTGAAGCCAATGAAGTGCTTTAAACAGGTGATGTGATTTGATTGAATTTATTACTTCACTTAACAAATATTCATTACATGCCCACTGTTTGTCAGATATTGCTGTAGCCCCTGGTGATACAGTAGGGAATAAAACAGGCAAAAATCCCTGTCCTCTTGCAGCTTATAATGGACTGCAATGTTTAATATGTCAGAGGAGGTCCACGGAGGAGTGACTTCTAAGCAAGAATCTGAAAAAAATGAGGATATCTAAGGAGGGAACAAATGGTTCAAAAGCCCTATAATTGCGAGCAGGCATGATGAAGCAATTGTAGTTGTCCTGACTCTCAACACCGTGGAACTCAAAGGAGATGGAAATATTCTTTCTCTACCTCATGTATTTTCTCTCTTTCTGTCTATATATATAGAATATGAGACATTTCCCTAATCATTAGGTGTAATTACAATTACATATATATGTATGTATGTCATAAATATATAAATAACATACATATATATGTAATTGTAATTACACCTAATGATTAGGGAAATGCTCATATTCTTCTACTCAGAAATAAGCAATATAGCAATTACTGTTTTTTACATTTTACAGTTATGGTTTCAGAGAAAGTTTGATATTTATCTAAAATTTTTCAAGGTATGAACTTTTTCACTTGACAAACCATAATTGTACATATTCTTGGGATACAGAGTGATATTTCTTTACATGTATAGAATGTGTAGTGATCAAATCAGGGTAATTTCCACTAATTTAAAATGCCACCTTTATGTTATTGTAATTTATATATATAATATATATACACACACACACATATATATACATGTCCACATACAGTGTGTGTGTGCACATGTACACACATGCATATGTGTATATAATGCCCAGTATAAGCAATGTGCACAAATAAAATTAGCTAACAGAGATAGTATAGAGTGAAAGGAGAGGCAGATTAATCTTTGAGGAAAAGCACAATTTTATGGCTGAATGGAGAAAGCTGAGGTGGTTTCTAAGATGGAGAATAAGATGAAAAATGTAAGTACATTGTTTGACTGAATTCAAGAAAGAAGGGTAAAAGAGAAGAAAGTAGTGGTCTTATCATTAAATGCCACAGAGAGGTAAAGATAAAAACAACATATTGTTTTGGGTTTAGTAATTTAAAGGTTACCAAATTCCGTTTTGGAGGAGGAACAGATTCCATGTCCACTAGAATGGAATGAACAAGAAATGGAGGAGGAAAATAGGTAGTTTTACAAAAGTTTTCAAAAATATGAAAAGAAGAAATGAAATGGTACTTGGAAGAGATTGTTGAAATGGGAGAGACTATGGTGGCTTGTTTAGAAGCAGTTGAGATAGATCCAATTGAGATAGAGATATTGACTATATAAACAAAAGAATGACAAATTAATAGTGTAATGGATAACTTGACTTTGGCAAATATTGTGAATTTTTGTGAAAGTACAACTAAAAGGCAATGTCACTCCAATAATCACCAGAGTAATCAATTTGCTTATTGCTGACCCTTTAAATATAGTTCTCTGGTATCAACTAACATATTTTTAACTAACGATGCTTCTTAAAGAAAAGGGAAAAGACCTTTTTCTTTCTTTCAGTCTTCAATGATTCACTGCTTCATCTCGCTCCACCAAAGATAAATGAAATCTACATCTCTTATACATTAACAATGTATGACAATTTATAAATAGCTAAATTTTTGGAGCTAACTTTAAGTACCTGATGGAATTTAATCAACCCACTAATCTCCTTCTCACTTCTCAGTTATTTATCAAGTTTATGTCAAGGGAAAAGGAAAAATTATCCAAACATTGTTTAAAACAATCATCATTAATTAGTAACACTTATCCAGGGGGGGTTTTAACCCTTCCCCCACTCAAGAATTATTCTAATGTCAGAGTAGAATAAAAAATAAGTGCAGCGTTGCTGACTCTTCCAAGCTTAACATTTCTCACAAATCAATTAGCTTTGTACTGGGAGGAGGGCATGAAGGGCTGCTTGCGGTAGTTGTCTAGCAGCAGCACAATGGCCGCAGACAAGGAAAACAGTTTCTAGGAATTCCTCGTATATAATTTTATATTTTTGACAAGATTAATGACCCATGCTGTCTTCCTCTCCATTTCGTTTTTTTGGAATTCTGTGTTGGTATGTAGTTACTATATTTTATTAAAGGAAATTAGCCTTATCTCTTATTATATTTTATTAAAGAAAATTATTATATTATTCCTTTGTATTTTTATTAAAGGAATTTATTATTATTATTATTAAAGGAAATTAGCCTTATATCTTATTATATTTTTTATGACCTTCAAAATAGTGTCTCTGCTTAAAAGTGTACCCTGGCGGGGCGTGGTCGCTCACGCCCGTAATTCCAGCACTTTGGGAGGCTGAGGTGGGTGGATCACGAGATCAGGAGATAGAGACCATCCTGGCTAACAGGGTGAAACCCCGTCTGTACTAAAAATACAAAAAATTAGCAGGGCATAGTGGTGGGCACCTGTAGTCCCAGCTACTCAGGAGGCTGAGGCAGGAGAATGGCATGAACCCGGGAGACGGAGCTTGCGGTGAGCTGAGATCGCACTGCTGCACTCCAGCCTGGGTGACAGAACAAGACTCCGTCTCAAAAAAAAAAAAAAAAAAAAAAAAAAAAGTGTACCCTGAAGCACATATCAAGCGACATGTAGAGTTCATAAATTCTGGCCAAATGGTCATACCTCAAACCTAATCAGCACTAAGGCTCTTTACTTGCACTGACAAACATGAACGCTGGGGAATTTGGAAATGATATATAATATATAATATTATATATAATATATATATAATATTTAATAACTTTCCATGTGATTTTCCTCTTAATTTTTTTTCTAGCTGATCCATATGAATTCCTCTTATTAAGAAAAATAAAGCATCCAGGATTCAATGAAGAACTGACTATCACCTTGTTAATCATTCAGAAACATGTTGCAGGCTTAAGCCATTTTTGATATAGATACTGAAACAATTACTTGCTAAGAGCAAACTTGAAGGTATGGATAAGGCCCTGAGTCATCATCTTGAACTGAATGATAGTTAAGCTGAATGTAAGTATAAAATATGATTTTCTAACCACTTGCTCGCCAACAAGGAAAACTTTTAAGTAGAGCAGAACCTGAATAGACAAGACATTTCTTTCTTTTGGTAGAAAATGATTTACCATCACTGTCTAGTTAATTGTAGACTAGGTAATTTTAACTTTGTGATTTATTGCCGGAGACATTTTCTTCTGTACTGTAAAGTGTGTGTCAGAAAAAATTAGCGATTTTGGAGGATTAGGGGACTTTGATAAATTGCCTGCAATTCTGGCAGTATGAACTGCATATTAATTTCTCTCTTTCAAGAACATTTTTATTTATTAATTCCTTACAAATACTCCCTAAACTTTGGAACAGCTCTCAATTGCCTGTATTCTTTTTTTTTTCTTATTATGGTACTCTTCTAGAGATTTGGCTTGCGTCTATGAATAAGCCAGGACATCTTCAGAAATTGTCTGATTAAAAACACCACCAATGGAGTTTCATTAAATTTGTATTGCTCTGACTAGGGAAACACACACATCTATGTTGCTTAGGATATTTTACTGCAGTTTGAGTTGTAATAATAGCTCTGTTTAAGATCCGTCAGTCACTTGAATCTTCTCTAAGGCTTTGTATGTTAGAAGTTAATTTGCTTTCTTACAAGGCCACATTCTATCTTGTAACTAAACAACTGAATTTTATGTCTTAGCATAGATGGTTTATTACTTTCTCGTTTTTCTTTAGTAAGAATCCTATAAAAACACTAGTATTTTTCTCTGAGTTTAAAATTCAACACTTGCCTACTGATATGGTTAGGCTTTGTATCCCCACCTGAATCTCATCTTGAATTGTAATCCCCATAGCCCCCATAATCCCCACATGTCAAGGGAGAGACCAGGTGGAGGTAATTGAATCATGGGGGCAGTTTCCCCTGTGCTGTTCTTGTGATAGTGAGTTCTCACGAGATTTGATGATTTTATAAGGGATTCTTTCCCCTTTGCTCAGCACTTCTTCATGCTGCCTTGCAAAGAAGCTACCTTGCTTCCTCTTTGTCTTCCGCCATGATTGTGGATTTCCTGAGGCCTCCCAAGCTGTACTGAACTGTGAGCCAATTAAACTTCTTTCCTTTATAAATTACCCAGTCTTGGGCAGTTCTTTATAGCAGTATGAAAACAGACAAATACACCTACTATGTAAAACTTAAAATACAAAAAAAAAACATTATCTCACTAACATAGGAGCTAATATTTTGGTGTACTTTGTTTAGTATTTTATATTAAAAATATGTACATATATATTTATATATAATTAAGAACATGTATGTACAATCATGCATACATCATGTACATACATCTACTTAAGAAAATAGCTATGTAATATACCATTACTCAACTAGATTATAATTTTTTCTCCATTTCTTTATTGTATGTTATTTATCATTTTCTACTTTTTTGTTTTCTCATTTTTATTGCATAATATTTAATTATGCAAAAAATACATTAAATACATAGAAAATACATAATGTAGCTATAAGAATAAAGAACGATGGTAAAACAAATGCTAATACCCACTACCTGACTTAAAGAATATGATACTATTTTTTTCCAATTGAAATCCCCTCAACTACTCAGAATTACTGCTATCCCTTTTATCCTTTCATTAATTTTCTTCTAGTTTTCTCACATGTGAATCTATTTCTAAATACATTTCTTTATTTTGCAAGTTTTTGGACTTCATATAAATGTAACCATATTGTATATATTCTTCTTCAGCTTCTTACTTTTTCACTAAACAATATGTTTTGCTGATACTTACATTCATATGTACAGTAATAGTTGATTTATTTTAATGGCTATATACTATTCCATTGTTAGAATACACCAGGATTTATTTTTACTTATTTTTTTTTTGCTGGTAAATTGGGTGTCTTTTTTATTTTTTGATATAACAAACAATGTTGTAATCATTTTGTATTTACTTCCTAGTCCACTCCTGTAAGTTTCTCTTGAGTACATATTAGCAATGAAGATGCTGAGTCACTGCGTATACATACTCACAACTTTATTCTATAATGCAATATTCTATAAATTAGCTGTATCAGTTTATACTTTAACCAGTAATGGACAAGATTTTCTGTTACTTCCCATCTTTGTTAAATATTACTTTTAGACTCTAACTTTTATCAGGCTCATGGATGTAAAAAGCATCTCAGGGTGGTTTTAATTTGCATTTATCTGCTCATCTATGAAGATGAGCTTCTTTTCATATAATTATGAGTCATAATTTTTGTTTTGCCTTCTTTTGTTTATGCATTTTGCTTGTTCTATGTCTTATTTTTCCTGTTGATTTTTGGGAGTTCATATATATTCTAAATGTATATTTATTCACTCATATATATGTTGCAAATATTACAGTTTATGATTTGTCACCTTATGATATCATCCAAATAGAGAAGCTTTATATTTTGATGTAGTCATATGTTCATTTTTCCTCCTTAATGTTTGTTTTTCTTGGTTCTATGACCTACCAAAAGTAACAAAAATTCTCATTTATTTTTAATCTAAATGTTTTAAGTATTTTCCTGGAATTCACCTTGAATTGATTTCTATTGGAGACAGTTATCCAATCTAATTTGCCTCATATGGATAACCACTTGTTCTATTACTGCTGTAACAAATTTCTACAAACTAAGTGACCTAAAATAACACAAACTTATCATCTTACAGTGTACACAAGTCAGAAATCAGGCATGCATTTTAGTGAACTAAAATCAAGTTGTCGACAGGCATGTTTCTTTATGGCGGCTAGGGTAGAATCCATATCCTGTCCTTTTCTATCTTCTAGAGAACATCAGCATTCCCTTTCTCATTGCCTCTCCTCTCTCTTTTTAAAGCTGGCAATGTCACATTTCTCTGACCATTCTTTTTTATTTATTTATTTATTTATTTATTTATTTATTTATTTATTTTTATCATTATACTTTAAGTTTTAGGGTACATGTGCACATTGTGCAGGTTAGTTACATATGCATACATGTGCCATGCTGGTGCGCTGCACCCACTAACTCGTCATCTAGCATTAGGTATATCTCCCAATGCTATCCCTCCCCGCTGCCCCCACCCCTCCACCGTTCCCAGACTGTGATATTCCCCTTCCTGTGTCCATGTGATCTCATTGTTCAATTCCCACCTATGAGTGAGAATATGCGGTGTTTGGTTTTTTGTTCTTGCGATAGTTTACTGAGAATGATGCTTTCCAATTTCATCCATGTCCCTACAAAGGACATGAACTCATCATTTTTTATGCTTGCATAGTATTCCATGGTGTATATGTGTCACATTTTCTTAATCCAGTCTATCATTGTTGGACATTTGGGTTGGTTCCAAGTCTTTGCTATCGTGAATAATGCTGCAATAAACATACGTGTGCATGTGTCTTTATAGCAGCATGATTTATAGTCCTTTGGGTATATACCCAGTAATGGGATGGCTGGGTCAAATGGTATTTCTAGTTCTAGATCCCTGAGGAATCGCCACACTGACTTCCACAGTGGTTGAACCAGTTTACAGTCCCACCAACAGTGTAAAAGTGTTCCTATTTCTCCACATCCTCTCCAGCACCTGTTGTTTCCTGACTTTTTCATGATTGCCATTCTAACTGGTGTGAGATGCTATCTCATTGTGGTTTTGATTTGCATTTCTCTGATGGCCAGTGATGAGCGTTTTTTCATGTGTTTTTTGGCTGCATAAATGTCTTCTTTTGAGAAGTGTCTGTTCATGTCCTTCGCCCACTTTTTGATGGGGTTGTTTGATTTTTTCTTGTAAATTTGTTTGAGTTCATTGTAGATTCTGGATATTAACCCTTTGTCAGATGAGTAAGTTGCGAAAATTTTCTCCCATTTTGTAGGTTGCCTGTTCACTCTGATGGTAGTTTCTTTTGCTGTGCAGAAGCTCTTTAGTTTAATTAGATCCCATTTGTCAATTTTGTCTTTTGTTGCCATTGCTTTTGGTGTTTTGGACATGATGTCCTTGCCCGTGCCTATGTCCTGAATGGTAATGCCTAGGTTTTCTTCTAGGGTTTTTATGGTTTTAGGTCTAACGTTTAAGTCTTTAATCCACCTTGAACATCTTGAATTGATTTTTGTATAAGGTGTAAGGAAGGGATCCAGTTTCAGCTTTCTACATATGGCTAGCCAGTTTTCCCAGCACCATTTATTAGATAGGGAATCCTTTCCCCATTGCTTGTTTTTGTCAGGTTTGTCAAAAATCAGATAGTTGTAGATATGCAGCGTTATTTCTGAGTGCCCTGTTCTGTTCCATTGATCTATATCTCTGTTTTGGTACCAGTACCATGCTGTTTTGGTTACTGTAGCCTTTTAGTATAGTTTGAAGTCAGGTAGTGTGATGCCTCCAGCTTTGTTCTTTTGCTTAAGATTGACTTGGCGATGCAGGCTCTTTTTTGGTTCCATATGAACTTTAAAGTAGTTTTTTCCAATTCTGTGAAGCAAGTCATTGGTACCTTGATGGGGATGGCATTGAATCTATAAATTACCTTGGGCAGTATGGCCATTTTCATGATATTCATTCTTCCTAACCATGAGCATGGAATGTTCTTCCATTTGTTTGTATCCTCTTTTATTTCCTTGAGCAGTGGTTTGTAGTTCTCATTGAAGAGGTCCTTCACATCCCTGGTAAGTTGGATTCCTATGTATTTTATTCTCTTTGAAGCAATTGTGAATGGGAGTTCACTCATGATTTGGCTCTCTGTCTGTCTGTTGGTGGTGTATAAGAATGCTTGTGATTTTTTACATTGATTTTGTATCCTGAGACTTTGCTGAAGTTGCTTATCAGCTTAAGGAGATGTTGGACTGAGACAATGGGGTTTTCTAGGTATACAATCATGTCATCTGCAAACAGGGAAAATTTGACTTCCTCTTTTCCTAATTGAATACCCTTTATTTCCTTCTCCTGCCTAATTGCCCTGGCCAGAACTTCCAACACTATGTTGAATAGGAGTGGTGAGAAAGGGCATCCCTGTCTTGTGCCAGTTTTCAAAGGGAATGCTTCCAGTTTTTGCCCATTCAGTATATTGGCTGTGGGTTTGTCATAGATAGTGCTTATTATTTTGAAATACGTCCCATCAATACCTAATTTATTGAGAGTTTTTAGCATGAAGGGTTGTTGAATTTTGTCAAAGGCTTTTTCTGCATCTATTGAGATAATCAGGTGGTTTTTGTCTTTGGCTCTGTTTATATGCTGGATTACATTTATTGATCTGCATATATTGAACCAGCCTTGCATCCCAGGAATGAAGCCCACTTGATCATGGTGGATAAGATTTTTGATGTGCTGCTGGATTCGTTTTGCCATATTTTATTGAGGATTTTTGCATCAATGTTCATCAAGGATATTGGTCTAAAATTCTCTTTTTTGGTTTTGTCTCTGCCCGGCTTTGGTATCAGAATGATGCTGGCCTCATAAAATGAGTTACGGAGGATTCCCTCTTTTTCATTGATTGGAATAGTTTCAGAAGGAATGGTACCAGTTCCTCCTTGTACCTCTGGTAGAATTCGGCTGTGAATCCATCTGGTCCTGGACTCTTTTTGGTTGGTAAAGTATTGATTATTGCCACAATTTCAGCTCCTGTTATTGGTCTATTCAGACATTCAACTTCTTCCTGGTTTAGTCTTGGGAGAGTGTAAGTGTCGAGGAATTTATCCATTTCTTCTAGATTTTCTAGTTTATTTGCGTAGAGGTGTTTATAGTATTCTCTGATGGTAGTTTGTATTTCTGTGGGATCGGTGGTGATATCCCCTTTATAATTTTTTATTGTGTCTATTTGATTCTTCTCTCTTTTTTTCTTTATTAGTCTTGCTAGCGGTCTATCAATTTTGTTGATCCCTTCAAAAAACCAGCTACTGGATTCATTAATTTTTTGACGGGTTTTTTGTGTCTCTATTTCCTTCAGTTCTGCTCTGATTTTAGTTATTTCTTGCCTTCTGCTAGCTTTTGAATGTGTTTGCTCTTGCTTTTCTAGTTCTTTTAATTGTGATGTTAGGGTGTCAATTTTGGATCTTTCTTGCTTTCTCTTGTGGGCATTCAGTGCTATAAATTTCCCTCTACACACTGCTTTGAATGCGTCCCAGAGATTCTGGTATATTGTGTCTTTGTTCTCATTGGTTTCAAAGAACATCTTTATTTCTGCCTTCATTTCATTATGTACCCAGTAGTCATTCAGGAGCAGCTTGTTCAGTTTCCATGTAGTTGATCGGTTTTGAGTGAGATTCTTAATCCTGAGTTCTAGTTTGATTGCACTGTGGTCTGAGAGATAGTTTGTTATAATCTCTGTTCTTTTACATTTGCTGAGGAGAGCTTTACTTCCAAGTATGTGGTCAATTTTTGAATAGGTGTGGTGTGGTGCTGAAAAAAATGTATATTCTGTTGATTTGGGGTGGAGAGTTCTGTAGATGTCTATTAGGTCCACTTGGTGCAGAGCTGAGTTCAATTCCTGGGTATCCTTGTTGAATTTCTGTCTCATTGATCTGTCTGATGTTGACATTGGGTGTTAAAGTCTCCCATTATTAATGTGTGGGAGTCTAAGTCTCTTTGTAGGTCACTCAGGACTTGCTTTATGAATCTGGGTGCTCCTGTATTGGGTGCATATATATTTAGGATAGTTAACTCTTCTTGTTGAATTGATCCCTTTACCATTATGTAATGGCCTTCTTTGTCTCTTTTGATCTTTGTTCATTTAAAGTCTGTTTTATCAGAGACTAGGATTGCAACCTCTGCCTTTTTTTGTTTTCCATTTGCTTGGTAGATCTTCCTCCATCCTTTTATTTTGAGCCTATGTGTGTCTCTGCTTGTGAGATGGGTTTCCTGAATACAGCACACTGATGGATCTTGACTCTTTATCCAATTTGCCAGTCTGTATCTTTTAATTGGAGCCTTTAGTCCATTTACATTTAAAGTTAATATTGTTATGTGTGAATTTGATCCTGTCATTATGATGTTAGCTGGTGATTTTGCTCGTTAGTTGATGCAGTTTCTTCCTAGTCTCGATGGTCTTTATATTTGGGCATGATTTTGCAGCGGCTGGTACTGGTTCTGCCTTTCCATGTTTAGCGCTTCCTTCGGGAGCTCTTTTAGGGCAGGCCTGGTGGTGACAAAATCTCTCAGCATTTGCTTGTCTGTAAAGTATTTTATTTCTCCTTCACTTATGAAGCTTAGTTTGGCTGGATATGAAATTCTGGGTTGAAAATTCTTTCTTTAAGAATGTTGAATATTGGCCCCCACTCTCTTCTGGCTTGTAAGGTTTCTGCTGAGAGATCTGCTGTTAGTCTGATGGGCTTCCCTTTGAGGGTAACCTGACCTTTCTCTCTGGCTGCCCTTAACATTTTTTCCTTCATTTCAACTTTGGTGAATCTGACAATTATGTGTCTTGGAGTTGCTCTTCTCAAGGAGTGTCTTTGTGGTGTTCTCTGTATTTCCTGAATCTGAACGTTGGCCTGCCTTGCTAGATTGGGGAAGTTCTCCTGGATAATATCCTGCAGAGTGTTTTCCAACTTGGTTCCATTCTCCCCATCACTTTCAGGTACACCAATCAGATGTAGATTTGATCTTTTCACATAGTTCCATATTTCTTGGAGGCTTTGCTCATTTCTTTTTATTCTTTTTTCTCTAAACTTCCCTTCTCACTTCATTTCATTCATTTCATCTTCCATTGCTGATACCCTTTCTTCCAGTTGATCGCATCAGCTCCTGAGGCTTCTGCATTCTTCACGTAGTTCTGGAGCCTTGGTTTTCAGCTTCATCCGCTCCTTTAAGCACTTCTCTGTATTGGTTATTCCAGTTATACATTCTTCTAAATTTTTTTCAAAGTTTTCAACTTCTTTGCCTTTGGTTTGAATGTCCTCCCATAGCTCAGAGTAATTTGATTGTCTGAAGCCTTCTTCTCTCAGCTCGTCAAAGTCATTCTCCATCCAGCTTTATTCTGTTGCTGGTGAGGAACTGTGTTCCTTTGGAGGAGGAGAGGCACTCTGCGTTTTAGAGTTTCCAGTTTTTCTGTTCTGCTTTTTCCCAATCTTTGTGGTTTTATCTACTTTGGTCTTTGATGATAGTGATGTACAGATGTGTTTTTGGTGTGGATGTCCTTCCTGTTTGTTAGTTTTCCTTCTAACAGACAGGACCCTCAGCTGCAGGTCTGTTGGAATACCCTGCCGTGTGAGGTGTCAGTGTGCCCCTGCTGGGGGGTGCCTCCCAGTTAGGCTGCTCGGGGGTCAGGGGTCAGGGACCCACTTGAGGAGGCAGTCTGCCCATTCTCAGATCTCCAGCTGCGTGCTGGGAGAACCACTGCTCTCTTCAAAGCTGTCAGACAGGGACGTTTAAGTCTGCAGAGGTTACTGCTGTCTTTTTGTTTGTCTGTGCCCTGCCCCCAGAGGTGGAGCCTACAGAGGCAGGCAGGCCTTCTTGAGCTGTGGTGGACTCCACCCAGTTGGAGCTTCCTGGATGCTTTGTTTACCTAAGCAAGCCTGGACAATGGTGGGCGTCCCTCCCCCAGCCTCGCTGCCAACTTGCCGTTTGATCTCAAACTGCTGTGCTAGCAATCAGTGAGACTTCATGGGCATAGGACCCTCCCAGCCAGGTGTGGGATATAATCTCATGGTGGGCCGTTTTTTAAGCCTTACCAAAAAGCGCAATATTTGGGTGGGAGTGACCTGATTTTCCAGGTGCGTCCGTCAACCCTTTCTTTGACTCGGAAAGGGATCTCCCTGACCCCTTGTGCTTCCCAAGTGAGGCAATGCTCGCCCTGCTTCAGCTCACGCACAGTGGGTGCACCCACTGGCATACGCCCACTCTCTGGCACTCCCTAGTGAGATGAACCCGCTACCTGTGATGGAAATGCAGAAATCACCCGTCTTCTGTGTCGCTCATGCTGGGAGCTGTAGACCGGAGCTGTTCCTATTCGGCCATCTTGGCTCCTCCTCCTCTCTGACCATTCTTTCATTGTCACATCTCTCTCTGGACTCAGCTAAGAAAGGTTCTCCATTTTTAAGAACTCATGTGATTAGACTGGGCCCATCTGGATAACCCAGGAAGATCTCTCCATCTCGGTTTGCATCCTTAATCACATCTGATAAGCCTTTATTGCATTCAGTGTAACATATTCACAGCTTCCAGGGTTAGGCATGGGCATCTCTGAGGGCCATTATTCTCCCTACCACATTATTTGCCTAGCATCTTTCATTACATTGTCCATCTATTTACTTACTGATTTCTAATGACATCCAAATCAGTTACAACATTTTATGTAAGCATTGTTTTTATTTTTATGTTATTCCACTAGTCTATTTTTCTACTCATGAATTATGGTACATGCATTTATTTTTGCACCTTTAAGCTCAATAACATGTTTTAAGATTTCCTCAACTTTCTTTTTCCACTTCTTCAGAAGTTGACTCTTTTGGCCCTTTGGTCTTCTATACACATTTTAGAAATGCTTTGTTGAGGACTAAGAGGAATGCTAAGATTTTGATAGGAATTTCATTGAATTTTGAATATATTGGCATGCTACAATGGTTAGTGTTTTATACATGAAAATAATATATCCCTTCCTCTTTTCTTAGTATCATGAGATGTTTGTTAGGCAGGCATGAATATTGAGTTGTATCAAATGTGTTTTTCTGCATTATTGTGGTGGTGATGTGATTTAGCTCCTTTAATTAGTTAATGTAATGAATTACATTTGTAGATTGCTCTAACTATTGAAACAAGCTTGAATTTCTGGAATAAGCCCAATGTGATATGTATTCAACAAATATTCATTGAGTATACCTAGTATGTAACATGCTTTAAGAATACACCAGTGAACCAAACAGAAATATCTGACATTACAGAACTTAACATTCCAGTATTTGGAGACAGATGATAAAAAAGTGAACATGTATATTTACAGTTTGTCAAGGAATGATAAATGAGGACTCTTAAAGTAGATGGGGAATTGGGAGTGAAGTCTGTAATTTAAATAGTGTGGACAGGAAAGCTTCGCAGAGAATGGGACATTTAAGAATAGACTTGAAGGACAGGCAAGAGCAATCTCTATGTTTATATGGGAGAAAAGGTTCCAGGCAGATGCAGTAACAATGGCAAATATCCTGAAGTAAGATCATGCTGGAGTTTTTGTGCAGTAGCAAGGAGGCTAGTGTGACTGCCACAGAATCACCCAAGGGAAGATGAGAAGATCAGACCAGACCAGCACTTGGGCATCTAATGGGAAAAGTTTCTCAAGCCATCATAAAAATTTCACTTACCATAAATACTACGAGAAACCATGGGATGTTTTACAGTAAGAAAGGTGGCATAATATGTTACATGTTTTAAACAAACTCTATAGCTTCTGAATTGAAATAGATTGTAGGGGCTCATGGCAGAAGCAGAGGGAACATTTAGGAGGCTACTGTAAAGAATATCATGAAAAGAACAAACAACGCTATGTAACATGCTTAAATGGACTGAAGAAGATGTATAAAATCAAAATGATGTTACCTTCACACCTTGAATCAGTATGATAAACCCCCCTCCCCAATCACAAAAGAAAAACTGAACACAAAAACCAGGCTTTGGTTGCTCAGACAATTTTACAGGTGAGTTCTAGCAAACATGCAAAGAACGTTTAATTGCACTGTTACAGAAATTCTTCTGGAGACAAGAAAATAAGACACATCACCCAACCAATTTCATGATAACAATGTCAATGTATAATAACAGAAAAAGTGGATCTCCAAAGAAATAAATTTATTTGGAAATAAACAAGGATTATAATCTGAGATATTTGTGCTATGATCAATCATAGGTGCATCCCAAGAGGTTGAGGTAAGGAAAATATTTAAAGACAAAAAGAAGTCTATGCAAGCTGTTTTGAAACAAACATCATTGGTCACAGGGCCTGAAGCAGGAGCTGGTGTTAACTTACTGGCAGAAACAGCCATTGCTAGGCAAGTGTTCTTGTGAGGGTGGCTTATCTGAAATGCTACAGTCTTGAGGAATTTTTTATGAAAGGTCCTATTATAGAGACACCTACAGGATGAGCTGGACAAACAGAGTGTGCTGGGCGGGCAGAAATTTCTTGTGAGTTTATAGAAAGTCCTTGTGATAGTGCTTATTGTGGACACACACACAGATCCCCTTTTTCATGACCCGGCTCCACTTTGCTTTGGGTCTGATGTAAGTGACTTTGCCTTGTCATTGGCAACTTTCACTGTAGTATAATTTGCACATTAAAGTTACCTAACAATAGTACAAAGAAAGAAAATTAAAGGTATGTCTCTTTCAAAAATATAAACCCCAAAATTGTTAGGAAATTGTAGTGAGTATAAAAGATAATTCATTATAATTGACATCTCAAGCTTCACAGAATTCTGACCTTTGTTTGCTACACTCTCATCCACAATCTTTTCTCCTAGTAAATGGCAGCTCCTTCTGTTAAGTTGCTGAGGCTTCTTATTGCTTTTTTCTTCAAATAACAGTCAGAACTGAACAACTGTAATCATCCTAGTCCATACAATTGTTATATTTTCATTTAAAGAAGATCAATGTGTGATTCTTTTTTATATATTTCTGGACAATTCTTTATATTTTAATAGTAGTCAGAATTTGATCAGGAAAACAGAAGACATCCTATGTATTATAATGATAAAAGTTTAATATTAATTAGGGCCTTATGCTATTATTGGAAGAGCTTGGTGAAAAGATATTAGAAAAGCAGTTAGACAAAATCAGAAGAGGTCTGTTTTATATGAGAGATCTTAGCCTGACAGTCTAGAGTGTGGGCACAGAACCCAAGCTTATAGGAATTTCTGAAAGGTCTGTAAATCTTATCCAGATGGACAGTGGGAGCTCATAAAGAATTCTGCAAGCCATCACATCTGTCAAACCTGCTATGTCTAATCCTTAAGCCTGCTTTATGTGAAGACCTCCTCTTCACTCCTCACTTCCAGCTCTCATGAATTTCTTTCATAGGCAAACCCAAACCTGGAACAATGTGCCTGAAGACTTCGGGTGACACAGTACCCAGGCTTAAATAGGAGGGGAGCCATGGTGGAAGTGGCTATCCAGCACAATTTTCTTGGTCTTTACTCATAGTTTTGATTCCTTAAAAAAATTAACCACATTAAAATATGTTTCATAATCTACATCTAATAATACAAATATTTAAAGTCTTTTCAAGTGTGAATATGCTACCCATGTTGCTGCTACCCCCATTTTGTGTGTGTGATTTTTGTGTGTGTGTTAGAAGCTCATGACCTTTGAAACCTGCTCTTATGAGCTTGCTTTGATGATTTATTTGTCCAGAGAGGATTTTTTTTCCTACCTGGCATTTTGGACTGCTATCAACCTGAGACCACTTTGAATTAAATTCTCAGCTTGCCAATTTGGAAGCCACACAGATTGTGTGAGTTCAGGCTGAAACCTGTTTGAGAGCTGGATTCTGGCTATAAACTCTACAGGGAACATTTTCTCTCTGCACTCAGAGCTGAGACCATAGGGAAATTTATTTGCTAGCTCTCTTTGCAGGTTTATTTTATTTATTTTTTTAATTTCTAGTACACGTGCTCACTGAAGGTGTAATACTTATGTGAGAATCTCAAAATCAGTTGTGTTCTTTGTATGACCCTGGTTTTGTTTCCTCCTGCTCTCTTACTTTCAGTGTGTCTCAATATGTCTGCTGATGCTATGGTCATCTTAAATTTCGACTGAGGGTGGATCTTCTTCCCAGCTCACTCACATGGTTCTTAGCTAGATTCAGTTTCTCTCCATTTGTAGGGTTGAGGACCTCAGTTCTTCACTTAGGGTTGGCTACAGGCAATCATCAATTTCTTGTAACAGGACTTACACTGGGCCACTGACAGCATGCCAGTTGGCTTCATTCAAATGAGAGGGCAAGAGAAAGAGAGAGAGGGAGAGGGCACAAGATGAAATTCACAGTATCTTGTAATCTAATCTCAGAAGTGGTATCTCATTACTTTTGTTCTATTGTATTCAATAGAAACAAGTACCTGGGACCAGCTTATACTATAGGAAAGAGATTATATAAGGGTATAAATACCAAGAGGTAGAGATCATCAAGAGCCATTCTGGTAGCAGCCACAATATCTTATCCAGAATATTTCTTATTCAGGCCTTCAAATGTGCTGTATTTTCTGGTCTAATGGAAATGAACCTTCCTTCCATACAATTTCTTCTCCTAAATTGTACTCTGGCTCTCTAATCACATACAAATGTCTATTTTAGGTATTGACTGTCTTGTCTTGATTCTTGGTAGGCTTTTAAACTCTGTGAATGTTGGACTGTGATGTAGACATCATTTCACCACACACTCTGTAACCACCAAACCTTAGCAGCTTATTCAGTAAGCACATACTTGGCTCTTAATGAGTATTGCTTAAATTGATGAATTGAATTAGTATTTTACCTTCTCTGTTGCTTAGCTAAGCAGAAGAATTTGTCATTTTTTTAATTTAGTGACTGGTTCTATTAAAAGTTACCTTTGTCTATATCATTTTGTTATACTAAAGCACAAATGTATAAGGTCAAAAAACATTCTGAAGATTTTGTTTAAACCACAGCCCTCAGTTGTGTATATTTATCTCTTGTTTTCATATGCAAGATTTCTCCTGAAATGGACAACAATTACAAGAGTTTTTTTCCTTTTCTTAACTAAGAAAATACATATTTAATTCACAAGTTTAGAAAAGTGAACCTGAAAAATCACAGGACTAGGTGGGTTATGAGGCCCACTGGTACATGATAGTGTTGAATGTGGATTAGAATGAACTCCGTGGATTAGAACCTCAGACCATAGGCAAACATTTACTTGTTTTAGAATAAGCACATTTGAGTCTGCAATAAGTATTACTATTTTTAAGTTGAAAATGTAATTGGTTTCTAATAATAACCATATTGGCTAGCATTATTTCAATCGTGTTTAATGTTTTCCAATGTCATTTCATGTCAGATATCTCTCTTGATTCTTAGTAACAATTTGGACAAGACAGCAAATGCTATTGTCCAAGTTTTCTAAAGAAGAATCTGAAGTGAAATGACATCAAGAGACCTATCAAGACCTGTATCCAGGAAAAGGTAAATCTGAGCTGAAATTGTATCCCTTGTAAATTACCTACATGACATACCAGATAGTGTTCATGATCCATTTAGTACTCTGTTCTAAAAATGAGACAATATCCATTTATTCACTTGTTCATTTATTTAGTGTTTGTTCAGCCCTTACTGCATATTCCAGGCACTATTCTGACTGTGGCAGGAGTGAACAAACAGGCATGGTTCTTACTTGCATGTAAGTACAGTCTTATAGTGAAAACAAGTGTTAAACAACAAAATCTCCCAATTATTTTAAAATTATAAACTTGATTCGATACTATGTGGCCATATAATTGTTCCTAATTTGGTTGGAGAAGGGAGGCAGTTAGGGAAGCCTTCCCTGAGTTAGTGCCATTTAACCTGATTTATGATAGATGATAAGTAATTTGTCAGGGGAAAAATATTCCAGGAATAAAGAACAAGTACAAAGATCAGGTTCTGGGAAGAGCTTGTCTTGGTCCAGGAACTAAAAAATGTTAGAGTGGCTGGATCTGGGAAAGAGACAAAGAGTTATTAAATGAGGCAGCAGGCTTCAGCAGGTGCCACATTGCTCAGGGCCTTGTAGGCCATGCTAAGGATTTGGGATGTTAATGTCAGTACAAACAATTGAGTTATAAGCAGAAAGTAAAAGCATGATTCCATCAAATGTTTTCTCTAAACAGTAATTTTATAAATACAGGTTAAATGTGTGTGGTCCCAGATACTCAGGAGGTCCCAGCTACTCAGTATTCCTTTTCAACAAATATTAGGTGCCTACTATTAGCCAGGTACAGCCCTTAGCTACTTTGAATGAAGCATATATTACAAACTGGCAGAACTTCTTAAACAAAGAATCTAAAGTTGTTTATACACCATAATCTCGGTATTTTATAAATTTCTTGAAATTATTTTTGTTTACACTGCTTTGCAGAATTTTAACTGGCTTTGAAATAAACAATAACAATAGTCCTCCGTGTTACTTGTTTCAAATATTCCCAATACCTACTAAGACATTACTTAATCCACAGATTTATTGTCAATAGTTTGTATCAAATTTTGATAACATATTTGAAATTAATATTTCAAATTAAAACAAAATAACAAATATTTACTTTATATTATGAATGAGATTCACAAAAGGAGCATGATAATATGTTCTGTCGTCATCGCATACAAAATAATAACATATAGAGTATGAATCAATAATTTTTCAAATACAAAGCTATTACAATTAGGAATACAAAGAAATCATAATTAGGAATACTTCTACAATATTAACACACAATAGTGGTAACACTTTCAAAATGATGGTGGTGTTTTTTTTTGTTTGTTTCTTTTGTTTTTTTTTTTTCCGACGAGTCTTGCTCTTGTTGCCCAGGCTGGAGTGCAATGGCGTGATTTTGGCTCACTGTAAACTCCACCTCCTGGGTTCAAGCGATTCTCCTGCCTCAGCCTCCCTAGTAGCTGGTATTACAGGTGCCTGCCACCACACTCAGCTAATTTTGTATTTTTAGTGGAGATGGGGGTTTCACCATGTTGGCCAGCCTGGTCCCGAACTCCTGACCTTAGGTGATCCACCAGCATCGGCCTCCCAAAGTGCTGGGATTACAGGTGTGAGCCACTGCGTCCAGCCAGTGGTGGGTCTCATATCTCAATGTGGACTTTTACTAACTCCCGATACCTCAGTTTCCTCATCAATTGAAAGGAATGAATGAAAGATATGTGTTTTTCATATTACCAGGTAGATGATAAGGAGATTTTAATTTTCTTTTTTTTAACTTTTATTTTAAGTTTAGGGGCATTTGTTACATAGGTAAACTGGTGTCACAGGGGATTATTGTACAGATTATTTCATCATCCAGGTATTAAACCTAGTACCCAATAGTTATCTTTTCTGCTTCTCTTCCTTTTCTCATCCTCCACCCTCAAGTAGACCCTAGTGTCTGTTTTATTCTTTGTGTTCATTAGTTCTCATCATTTAGCTCCCACTTATAACTGAGAGTATGCTGCATTTGGTTTTCTGTTCCTGCATTAGTTTCCTAAGGATAATAGAAGATCCATCCATATTCCAGCAAAAGACATTATATCATTTTTTAATGGCGGCATAGTATTCCATGGTGTATAAGTACCACATTTTCTTTATCCAATCTGTCATTGATGGATATTTAGGTTGATCCTATACTTTTGCTATTGTGAACAGTGCTGCAATGAACATTTGTATGCATGTGTCTTTATGGTAGAATGGTTTATATTCATCTGGGTATATACCCAGTAGTGGGATTACTGGGTCAAATGGTAGCTCTGCTTTTAGCTCTTTGAGGAATCACTATTCTTTGAACAATGATTGAACTGATATGCACACCCACCAACAGTGTATAAGCATTCCCTTTTCTCCATAGCCTCAATAGCATCTGTTATTTTTTGACTTTTTAATGATAGCCATTCTGACTGGTGTGAGATGGTATCTCATTATGTTTTTGATTTGCATTTCTCTAATGATCAGTGATGTTGAACTTTTTTTGTGTGTGTTTGTTGGCTGCATACATGTATTCTTTTGAAAAGTGTCTGTTCATTCCCTTTGCCCAATTTTAATGGGGTTGATTGTTTTTCTTTTGTAAATTTCTTTACATTAGAAATGTTTTTATTATTAAGTTGAGCGGCCTCATTCTTAGTATGGTTTTTCACTTTAAAAAGCATAAGGGTGGACATGGTGGCATATGCTAGTAATCCCAACTACTGGGGAGACTAATACAGGAGGATTGCTTGAGCCCAGGAGTTCAAGGCTATAATGTGCTATGATCATGACTGTGAACAACCACTGTACTGCATCCTGGGCAGAGTGACATAGTGAAACCACATCTCTAAAAAAAGAGAAAATGTAATTTAAATATTTAAATACATATGTATATGTGTGTATATATGTATATATATTGCATATATCACAAATGGTTTGTAGTTTCCATTCACAGCACATAGTAAAATGCCTTAACCTCCTCCCTCCTCCCTATTTGTGTTTTTCTAATGTGTGTCTTTTTTACCTTAATTTTTCTCTTAGTGTCTCATAGTCTTTTTAGGTCTCCCTCTTTCTTCTGTCTTTCACACACACACACACACACACACACGCACACGCACGCACGCATACACACATGTACCTTGAAACATAGCTTTTCTTTTTCTTAAAACTTCCCAAAGCTTTCATAAAATTAACCCTCAGGCACTCTTACATATCTCATCCACTCTTCTTCCTCTCTCCCCTTCCTGAAGCCATTTGTAACTTACTCTATTACACTAGGAAGGGGAAGCAAATATTCATATTATTTTCTTATTATATCCTTAGCATTACTAGACCTTTGTGGTTTCTATGGATGAGGGACATAATATTTATTGATTTATTCTAAACTTCAGTCACTCATAATATACCCTTTTATTCCTCCTTCTTCTGTGATATTGGGAGTGTATAGTTGTCATTGTGACAAACCCTTTGCTGTCAGTATCTAAAGTGGATGGGGAGAAAAGGAGGGCTTTGCCATTCATCATCTTCAGTGCATTTCCCACTGTCAGTGTCATTGTCTAATGCTGTTTGCATCCACACAGCCTAAGGGAACCGTTTAAGTGAGTGACTCCCTCCCTTCACTTCAGCCCATCACTTGAGCATTTCTCTTCCTTGAAAAAAGACAAGTGGTTCTTCTAAGACTTGAGTAATTCTGAATATAATTGAGGACTAGATGTTCCTGTTTTATATCCTACAGGGCTGACATCTCTAATGCTGAAAGTACAACAAAGTGCAGTGGTAGTCACTGAGTGTTCAGCCATGCTGGGTCATCAAAATAAAAGGAGATCATCTTCCCATTCCTATCAATGACCTCATCTCTACCAGATATATAACTGGAAAAACAATGCATTTGCTTAAACATCCACAGTGAGCCACACTTGTTTGGTGTTGTGGGGAAATGATGGAGAAGCACCCTTGTTTATTAAGGATCCAATTTTGATAGGCTGAGACATATTTTTCCTCCCAAGTCTGCACATGGTCATGCATTAAATATTAATGAGCCTCTTCTCTCTATCAGGCTTTGGGGGATATGTTCACCTCTTTGGAAGTGAACATGATAGAGGTGAACATGATAAATAAGATCCTTTCTCTCATGTAGCATTCTCTCCATTCTTTTTTTTTTTTTTTTTTTTTTGATAGGGACTAGCTCTATCACCTAGGCTAGAGTGCAGTGGTGCAAACATGACTCACTGCAGCCTTGACCTCATGGACTAAAGTGATCCTCAAGTGATCCTCTTGCCTCCACAACATCCAGCTAACTTTTAAAAAATTTTTTGAAGGGAAGGTTTTGCCATGTTGCCTCAGCCTCCTGAAGTGGTTGGATTACAGGTGTGAGCCACTGCACCTGGCCATATTTTCTTTCCATTCTTATGGAAGGCAGTAGTCAGCAAAACAGTTAATCAATTGAGAATATATTAGGTGGTTATAGGAACCATGAAAAAATAAAATACAGTGTGTAAAGAAGGCTTGATGACCAGGAAGATTTTACAGGGAAGTGACATTTGAACTGAGAGCAAATACTTAAAGAAGCCAGTTCTTTGAAGAGTTGATGGGAAAGTATTCCAAGAAGTGGGAATGGCAAGGGGAAAGGACTTAAGATGTAAACTCAGAATGATTAAGGAGGAGCATGGTACAAGAGGATATCAGAAACATAGCCAGGAAAGAGAGCTATGCTTAAGTATTAGGATTTTATTCTTTGCAAAGGAAAACCCTATTGAAGCTTTATAGCAAGGACCTAAGAGTTAACATAATTTTTTTAAGGTACCTTAAAAGTTTTGCTGAATGAAGAATTCATTGAAGTGAGTCAGGAATGTATGATTTTGGACAACTGACACAATGCCTGAGGCATAGTTTCTTCATATGGAAATTGGAGACAATGATCATATCTACCTTAGCAGATTATATAATGAATTATTTTCCTAGGGCTCCTGTAATAAAGTACCACAAACTGGGTAACTTAAGCAACAGAAATTTATTGCCTCACAATTCTAGAGGTGAGAAGTCCAGATCAAGAAGCTGGAAGGGCTAGGCTGCCTGAAAAGGTGCTAAGGAAGGAACTGTTCCAGTCCTCTTTCTCTCCTTCCAGTAGTTCCTTGGCTTGTGACAGCACAGTGTCAATTCTCATATGGCATCCTCCCTGTGTTCCTGTCTCTATGTCCAAATCTCCCTTTTATTTAAGGACAGAGTCACAGTGGATTAGAACACCCCCATAACATGAAGATTGCATGAAATTATATACATAAATAATTCAACAACATAGCTTCCAAATAGAAAACACTCAGCCTTTGTCATCTCATCATTATTTGTTTACACCTTTGTATTATTGGTATAGCTCTAGTCTTTTGAAAGGTGCAGTTACTCATCTCTGTGTTTTTCACTCCTTCATAGCTAAGTGTAAGGTGCTTTTGCAAAATCCAGTACTGCATATTTGAGAAATGCTTTTTATTCCTACACATACTGCATATAATGTCACACAATTCGATTTTGTAGGTCTAATGAAGTTGGTCTTTCTATGAGTTCCTATGGCTAAAAATAGTCACAATTGTGTACTCCAGTAAACTGTTAGAATGAAGAAAATAGTTTGGGTGAAATTATCAATCTGGTTTTTCAGACTTCAGCTGTGTGTCATGTTTTGTTAGTCAAGAGAAACATCTAATGTGAGGCCCCTGGAGGACAGCTGATAAGTAAGCATACCAAGTAGAATGGCTACTGGAAAAAGTGTGCCAGCTAGAGAGAGAGAGAAAAGAGAGAGTTAATTTACCATGCTCAAGTAAAGAATGATCCACAAATTCAACAATATCTAAGTAGTCTTAAAGGACATGTCATTGACAGATTTATCTTCTAGTCTCCCACTTTGTCTAACACTGCTTCAAAACAAAGCAATTTACTGAACCCAGTGGTCTCATTATTCTGGAGGTTTATAAGGTTAAAAATACCTGGAGTTTTGGGAGCAGCAATAGCACTGAAGTGGGATATTAGTAGTGATGCATGTGTTTACAGCACCTGTGAACACACAAAGACTGAAGCTTTAAGGCTGATGACCCTGAGTTAGGGGAAAAGATAAAACTTTCTATTAGATTTTTTTAATGTTGAGAAGAAAATTATTTATCTCCACATTTCTTGAATATTATCCTCTTACAATTAGGTCAATGATTCTCACCCCAGTTATATATTAAAATTACCTGGAGATATATAAAAACTATCAATGTTCTACTCTTCTACAGATTAAATCATCATCACTGAGGGTGGCCCTCCAGCAACCAGGTTTGAGAACCACTTTAGACCAGTTTTCTCTGTGCCATTCAGTAATGACAATGATAACTGTAGGATATGCAAATTGCAGAAAGACAACTGCAAATGATGTAGCTTATCCCCAAACAGCTGAACTATCTTAAGCCTCATGGCTACTTTAGAGTGACCAAATCCATGTAGATGCCAGAAGTTGTGTCATACACCTATTTCAAGGGACACATAGGATTTACCTATATATACCTACCTCAAGGGTCATGTCGGTTTACCATTCCCCTAAACAACAGCTTAATAGTATAAACTGTGAACTGCTGTCTGCCTAATATTTATTTTGGCTATACTTCTTCTTTTCTATATTAAAGGCCACTGCTTTTCCCAGCTTGCTCTTTGTTCTCCATCATCTGTTGTGGGTCACTTGTGCTTTCTGTTTTTAACACCCTGTTGCTGAAGTCATTTCTCCAATTCATGATCCATGAAACTACTTCAGCAGTGAAAATGGCACCCCTCAGATTCAAGTCAACATTTTTATATCTCCCTCTAGGTCAAGATCCAAGCTATGGAAGAAATCAGGATATGTCAATTTTCTAGAGCAGCCAAGTTTTCTAAAAGTCTACCTAGCCATGTAGTTATGTAGCCTCACTCTCACTTAAACAAAGAAAATTTAAAAGCACACCAGAAAAGACTTTTCTTGTTAAAAACACATGTTTATTGTAGAAAATATAGTAAGGCAACTAGAATTTCTCTAGTTAGAGATAACTATTATTTATTTGAGGGTGTGTATATATCTATACATATATATTGACATTCAGCTCTTATGTACTAGATACACACATCTACTGTTTCATAAGCTTTTTTCACAGAATAGATTATAATCAGTTATGTTTGCTATCACCACAACATTTTCTTCTTGAAGACCTTCTGGAATGAGGCATTTGCTTTTCTATCTAGAGAACCTATCCTTTCAAAAGGTCCTTTCTCTGTGGAAAGAGCTATTCTGGCCACAGTTACTGCCAAGAAATGAGGTGTTAGAAAAGGCCTAAAGTTAAGTGCAGAACTGCTGTGTTTTGATGAATATTCCGTTGTTTTGAGAGGAGGTAGAAGCATTCTCAGCTTCAGGATATGTGCTCACTACTCATTAGTCTCTCTGAGAAGTAGCAAACTTCAAAGGTTAAGTATGAAGAGATGAATTGTGTAATGCCTAGATGTCAGTAGCGGAGAAGGTATCTGAGCAAATTCAGAATTTTATCCCTGTCTCCATGGGCCAAGTGTGAAGAACAGTCATTTGTGTAAGTGGGTGTTTGTGTATATGGTACTGAATCAGGTCACTGAGTCAGAAACTTAGAGCTATAAGGAAAGTGAGGTGCTCTCCAGTCCAGTGTTCTGGAATTTCTTCTGCAGTGGCCCCCAACAGCAGGTGGCAGCCTCGTCCATGATTATATTCTTAAGTGGCATGGTATTACTCTTTCTATTTGCAATCCATTTCACTGATGGATAGTTCTAGAGATCTGAAACATTGAGATTTAGCTCAGTGTTGTTTATATGAAGATAAATTCCACTTTCCAACAACTTTCTTGTATGTGTCTAACGTCTGCCACATGGAATGTCACAGATTATGCTTCATACTTGTCTTCCTGAGTCTTCTTTAATCCCGAATACCCTGAGTTTTTGAATGGTTGACATGTCAGCTGGCTTTCTGCAGATGTACTTCTCGTGTGTAAATTTCCTTCGCTGTGAGGTATTCATATTGAACATGACCTCCAAGTGTGTTTGGATCTGTGCAGAAGACAATAGGACTGTGATTTCTGATGATTAAGACCTGGATTGTATGTTACTGTGATCAGACCCTGAGACTGAGTTAGCAAGTTTTATAGCATCTGAGTCGCTCTGTTGGAGGAAAGTGCATGTGATGGGCATTTGCTTGCTTCCCCACCAGATTCTCTACTTTCGCCCTTCCTGCAAGAGTCCCTAGGAAGCTGACTTCTGCTGAATGCAACACTCAGGTTCTCTGCTTCCTAGATTCTAGTTGAGTTTGGTCCATGGGAGGCCTTGGCAGAAATTTTGAGAGTAAGAGCAAATAATTACTTAACCATTAGAAAAAACATAACATGAATGTGTCCTTCTATCCACAGCCTCACTTCCTGTTGGGGAGCCTCGGTGCCAATCCCTCGGTGCATCACCATTTCTAATTAGTTCCTGTTTTAGTCTGCCTTTGTGTGTGTGTGTGTGTGTGTGTGTGTGTGTGTGTTGTTATAAAGGAATACCAGAGGCTGAGTAATTTTAAAGAAGAGAGGTTTATTTGGTTCACTGTTCTGAAGGTGTGCAAGATGCATGGTGCCACCATTTGCTTCTGGTGAGGGCTTTAGGCTGTTTCCACTCATGGCAGAAGGGGAAGGGAAGCTGGCATGTGCAGAGATCATGTGGCGAGAGAGAGGGGTTTGTGCCAGGCTCTTGTTAACAACCAGCTCTTGTGGGAATTAAGAGAGCTAGAACTAGGTGGGCACGGTGGCTCATGCCTGTAATCCCAGCACTTTGGGAGGCCGAGGCAGGTGGATCACCTGAGGTCAGGAGTTTGAGACCAGCCTGGCCAACATGGTGAAACCCCGTCTCTACTAAAAATACCAAAAATTAGCTGGACATAGGGGTGGGCACCTGTAATCCCAGCTACTCTGGAGGCTGACACAGGAGAATGGGTTGAACCTGTGAGGTGGATGTTGCAGTGAGCCAAGATCGCACCACTACACTCCAACCTCGGCAGCAAGAGTGAAACTACATCTCAAAAAGAAAAAAAAGAGCGAGCAAGAACTCACTTGGATGGCACCAAGACATTCGTGAGAGGTCCACACTCAGGACCAAAACACTTCCCATTAGGCCCCCCCTCCAACAATGGGGATCACATTTCAACATGAGTTTGGAGTGGTCACATATCCAAACCCTAGCAGTTCCCTTAACCCTGGAAAGAGAACCTTCGTTAAACTCTTTCTGCTTAATCCTTTGAGAGTGCAACAATTTCCTGCTAGGACCCTGACAGATAGAGGGACCATACAGATCACTAAAATGCTGAGGAATTTTTCAAATGAACTGCACCCAACAGACCTCCCTGATTCTGAATATATCAAACTTTTATTTTTTATTTTATTTTATTTTATTTTTTGAGACGGATCTCGCTCTGTCACCCAGGCTGGAGTGCAGTGGTGCGATCTCAGCTCCCTGCAACCTCCACCTCCTGGGTTCAAGTGATTCTCCTGCCTTAGCCTCCCGAGTAGCTGGGACTACAGGCATCCACCAGCAGGCCCAGCTAATTTTTTATTTTTAGTAGAGATGGGGTTTCACCATGTTGACAGGGCTGGTCTTCAACTCCTGACTTCATGATCTGCCCACCTTGGCTTCCCTAAGTGCTTGGATTACAGGCATGAGCCGCTGTACCCAGCCAAACTTTAAAAAAAAAAAAAAAAACCCAAATAGTACTTTGAACTTCACCTGCAGGGAGTTATTCAAATTGGTTGTCAGCCAGTTATTTCAGGTTGTTGAGATCATCTGGCTCTTGATTTTATTAATCATCTTAGCCTTCCCTTTCAGCTATTTGCTGACTTTGTGCAAATTTTATTAACATGTGATCTCTGTCTTTATCCATGGAGAAGCAGTATAGTATCATGAGGAAAAATAGACTTTGGAGTAGGCAGAAATTAGGTTTGAATTAGTAGCCACGAGGCTTTGGAAACATTACTTAAACTCTATAAGCTTCAATTTCTTTATCTATAAGGTAGGTATAAAACCTGAAAATTTTGGCATGAGTTTAGTAAAACTGTCTGTGAAGCCCTTGTGGACTGCTTGGTCCATGTAGGCATTTGATAAATGGTGGCTTTATATAGAGGAGGGAAATGCAAGCTATCTCAAAAAGAAATCAGGGAAATAAGAATGCCATCTGAAATCTGTCATATGAGAATGAAAGGAGCATAGACAGGTTTTGAGTGTGGGGTGAGGAGTAGGGGAGGGGAGGAGGTAAGTGAACTGCCCCTCAGACTTCCAGGGAGGAGAAAAATGATGTCACTGGGAACTGCAGTCATTTGAAAAGATAGCAATCAAGCATTTCTTTCAGAGCCCTGTTCATCTTTCAGTGGCTTTGCTTCTCCAGATGCTTTTGCTCTTTCAATTATCTCTGCCTTCTCCCACCTCCTCTCCAACCATCTCTTCCCTTCCTTAATTCACAATTTTTCTCCCTCTTTTCAAGGCATAGTGCTTTGATTTATAAATTAGTTCTGTTTCTGTTTTCTAATTTATTAGTTTCTGCTTTCTTATTTATTTATTTTGAGATGGAGTCTTACTCTCTTGCCCCAGTTGGAGTGCAGTGGCATGATCTTGGCTCACTGCAACCTCTGCCTCTCAGGTTCAAGAGATTCTCCTGCCTCAGCCTCCCAAGTAGCTGGAATTACAGGAGTGCGCAACCAAGCCTGGCTAGTTTTTGTATTTGTAGGAGAGACAAGATTTCACCATGTTGGCCAGGCTGGTCTGGAACTCCTGACCTCAGGTGATCTGCCTGCCTCAGCCTCCCAAAGTGCTGGGATTACAGATGTGAGTCACCGTGCTTAGCCTGCTTTCATATTTATTAATACATTATTTCCACTTGCCTAAGGATAGTTGTTGTTCAACCTTTACTAGCTTTTTTGTTGTTCACACTTAATACATTTATTTTTATTGTGCTATAGCTATTTCCCACATGTGATTTTTTATTTTTTTGAGATAGGATCTTGCTCTGTTGTTGAGGCTGGAGTGCAGTGATATGATCATGGCTTGCTGAAGCCCTGAACTCCTGAGGTTGGGTGATTCTCCCACCTTAGCCTCCCAAGTAGGTGGGATTACAAGAAGTACCACTATACCTGGCTATTTAAAAATTTTTTTTGGCGTGTGTGGAGGTGGAGTCTCCCTGTGTTGTCCAGGCTGGTTGTGAACTCCTGGTCTCAAGTGATCCTGCCACCTTGGCATCTCAAAATGCTGGGATTACACATGTGTAATATTTTTATTGTCACTGTTTTCCACATATTCTAGAAATTTTATTTGGATTTCTTTTTTTTTTTTTTTTTTTTTTTTTTTTTTTTTTTTGACAGAGTCTTGCTGTGTCACCTAGGCTGGAGTGCAGTGGTGCAATCTCAGCTCACTGCAACCTCCACCTTCTGGGTTCAAAGAATTCTCCTACCTCAGCCTCCTAAGTAGCTGGGATTACAGGCATGCACCACCAGGCCCAGCTAATTTTTGTATTTTTAGTAGAGACAGGGTGTCGCCATGTTGACGAGGCTGGTCTTGAATTACTGACCTCAAGTGACCTGCCCACCTTGGCCTCCCAAAGTACTGAAATTACAGGCATGAGCCACTGTACCCGGCCTGGATTTCTTTTTGACATAGAATTATTTAAGAGAAAGCTTTTAAATTTCCATGCTGTAATTTCTAGTTTTGTTGTGTCATAATCAGAGAATATAATCTGTAGCATTTCTACATTCTCTACTTTGCTTAGATGTTTTTGGGGTGGGGTGTATAATATGTACTCAATTTTGTAAACATTTTATGGACATACAAATTTCAATGTTTACTTTTTCAGGCTATAGGCTTTGCTACATAATTTTTGTGTATTTTGTGGTTCTCATATAGATTTTTTAATTATCTTTTTGCTGTGATAGAGATTAGAAGGGTAAATTAATGTCTCATTTACCATCATTTTTCTTTCTATATCTCTTTTCATTTCCTGATGCTTTGGCTTTATGAAATCTTTATGTATAAAAATTGTGCACACATATCTTTATGCACAGTGTTTTGGATTTTACCCTTCATAATGAGCTTTTTTCTCTCCTTTGAATTTGACCTGGCCTGGTGTTAACAGCCCAGGCGTAAAATTCCAGTGAGAAAGAAGTCTGATGAGGAGTCAGTAGGATCTTTGGGTTGCTGAGAACTGCTCAGTACCACGGACAGCTCCCTGCACTCCCGGAAACTTCCTGATTCGGTGTCTTGAGTATTGTGAATCACAGTTAGAGCAGAAACATGGAGAATCTCCTTAAAATGGCAAATTGGCTTCTGGTCTTGCATAAGAATTCATTGAGGCCTAAGGGGCTGTGCAGGTCTACTGTCCAAAGTACAGAGGTTATTCCTAGTGTCTTTAATATTACTGTCCCTTTAGGCAAGATTATCCTTATGATAAGGGAGACTGAATTAAGCTATTTTGGTTGAGGCATATTTTTATAAATTCATCCAATTAGCTTCCCTTGTTGTAGTTTTGGCTCACCAAACATTGTTCTGATTATAATTTAGCATCCTATATAATTTCATCTGCAGGGAGAGTCTGTACTAGGCATGACGATGCTTACATGTCAGCCCGTGTGACTGCAAGAGTCTCAGTATAATTTGATAACATGGCACTCAGATTCTAGACATTATTCTCTGTGTGCTTAGTGAGTGTGATGACATAACCTTCAGAAAGATTCGTCCTTTCTCACATACTGATAAATCAACTTTTACATCTACAAAGTTGAGAGCCAGAAATTAAAACCTTATTAATTCACTAAGGCATCCCTATGATGGCAGTCTTCCAACTAGCTCCATTCTGGGGCACTCTGACATCATTGTACACTTTCCAATGAAAGCAGGGAGTGTATGTGATTAAAGGGAGAGCCCTGTGGCACTCCTGAAAAATCTCCCCTCCCAGTTCACATTGACTTATTAACCAACACTCATGATCATGTGAAACTCTAGAACTGGATCTGGGTGCCTGGCAGGATGACATGGTGTGAGGCTCAAGCAGCACTGTGGGAATTCAAGCATCTGTTTATTTCTGAGAGAAAAAGTGTAAAGCAAAATAATATCTTTTAACAAATGTTTGTATTTGACTAAAAAGGAAGCAAGCACTTAATTTATGAATTTGCTAATTGCTCCTCTGAGCTGAGAATATCTGTGTTGAATATTAGTCATTATCCGTATTTGGCACAGAATAATCTCGAGGGTTAAATGACATTGTTCCTACAGTGGGCACCTGAAGACTGGCTATAAAAGCAATCCTGGCCAGGGGCGGTGGCTCACGCCTGTAATCCCAGCACTTTGGGAGGCCAAGATGGGTGGATCACGAGGTCAGGAGTTTGAGACCAGCCTGGCCAACATAGTGAAACCTCATCTCTACTAAAAATACAAAAAGATTAGCTAGGATGGTGGCAGACACCTGTAATCCCAGCTACTTGGGCGGCTGAGGCAGGAGAATCACTTGAACCTGGGAGGCAAATGTTGCAGTGAGTCGAGATTGTGCCAATGCACTCCAGCCCAGGCGACAGTGTGAGACTCTGTCCAAAAAAAAAAAAAAGAAGAAAAGAAAAAAAGAAAAAGAAAAAAAAAGGAAAAGTAAATAAATAGGTAAATAAATAAAAGCAACCCTAACACTACGGAGGCTATTGACAGTGGCACTTTGCTCTTCTGTTAGGACCTTGGGAAATTTTGTTCCCCCTGAATACAGTATAATAAACTTGGTTCTTATTTCTCTTTCTCTCCCCCTCCTTTTTTCTTCCCTCCCCACCACCACATGCACACACACAAATAGACAAATTTGTTTATATTTGACTTTCTAAAAGCCTGTTACTATAAAGTCACATTAATACATTTCTCCTGTGCTGATAGTAAGCAGGCAACTCTGGTTTCTATCGGAGGCAATTTCTGACGTATTAAATGCCAGAAAAAGGGCATCCCTCCATTTTTGTAGAGAGCCTTTCTTTATGAAGACTAATGACCACATTAGTTAGTCAGTCAGTCAATAATACTTACCAAATGTCAGTAGAGCAGAAGTGAACACCAACAGAAAATCACATTTTACAAATGCAATTTACTTGGTATCCTAACATGCCATGTCATAATAATTATTGAGGCTTTTCTTCTCTGCTGCATTGGTCTAATGAATGTGGCTAGAAATATATGGGTGCACGTGTAGCCTCCTGGAAGCACCTGTATGACTTTTCTAGAAGCGAGGTTCCTGGATAAAGATGAATTTTTAAAAGCTGGAATGAATGAACAGCAATAGCAGAAGGAGAAAAGTGAGTGAGAGCTCTCCAAGAAGCCATCTGGCAGGCTAACGGTTCTGAGGGAAGCTCTGGTTTCAGAAGCAACTCAGGAATTACTTCTGTCATATTAGGATGGGATGGTAGGAGATTGGGAACTCTAGGGACTAGAAGTCATTTAATTTCCTGTCTACAATCCTTAGAAGAGGTTTTGAGACTTGCAACCTAGGACCTTAACTAATCATCTTCCCTCAGCATTGATAGAATTCTTTATTATACATGTTAATATCAGATTAGTCAGGATGGGCTAGATTATGCTGTGTTAACAGCCATTCTCTAAATCTCTGTGGCTCAAAAGGGAGCTCTGCCTGTCATGGTCACTTGGGACCCAGGCTTTTGGTATAAGGCTACAGCACATGGAAAACGTGTGAATGTTTCTCAGATTCTTAAAGCTTCTGCTGGAAGTGACATGTCATTCTGCTTACAGTTCATTGGCTAAATGAGTCACGTGGCTCTCTCTAACTTCAAGGATGGTATGAAATTGCAATCCTACCATGCCTCTAGAAGGAGAACCAGCCCTAATCACAATGCTACATGTTTATAGCTTGTCTCATAGAGTTTACTGTATTCTCCTGCTACAATTTTCTTACATGCTCAACTGGAGAGGCAGCTCTTAAATAGAAAAAAATCACAGTAAATTTCCTTTAAAAGATCTATTTTACAACTCTGGCATGATGGAGCACAATGGAGTCCTTAGTAATGGACTCCATCTCTTCCATCAGATAGAATCTTGAGAACTGAAGTTAAAATTTGAATAATGAAACCAAAGGAAAAAAATTAAATGAATTTTAAGACAATTGAGATAAGAACAACTGTGGCATCAACATAATTCAATTTAATAATGTATTAAATATTTTGCAGAAAAGTGAAAACAAATTGATAGACAAATCAATGCAGCATTAAGCCACCATTTGGTCTAATTTCTTGCTGAATTGACAAAACAAAACACTAGTTTAGTTATATAAACATGGCTGATGTTTATACAAACAACAGGATTTGCCGGTAGCATTATCACTGGAAAATAAGATGTGTACTTAATTCTTGTATGTTCTGAGCCCATCTAGGAAGAACATAAAAAACGAAGAACAAAGCAATCACAGGATGTTATCATGAAAATATCACCTTTGGCTGGAGTAAAGTTTTGACTAAATGTGGCACTAGTATTTATTATAGCTCACCTTTTTATAATGAAAGGGTATGTACTGAACATTCTTATTATTTCCCATTTTCTTACCACTCTATCCCGACACAGATGCACATGCATGCACACGCGCACACACACTGGCACCCACACCCATGCATGTGGGACACACAGAGCAGCCCAGGCAATTTCAATTGTTGGCAGCTTTGCTTTTATTAGGTATTAGTCTACCGACTTGCTTTCTCTTTAGAGAGACTAAGTGAAACCAAACTCATTTCCACCCAGTTAGCCTGCTGGAACCTGTAACAGTTACTGTAATGTTAAAAGCAGTAAAACAAAATAAAAACCAGTCAGTTCACTTACTCCCGAAGTCCGCAGTTTGGTGTTCAGCTTTAAAACATATGCTCTGGGCGTCCTGTGGTGGCTACCAGAGGCTTTGGTGAGTCATTGTCAACCCAGTGGCTAGAGAAGTGCTGGAATGCCCCTCTTAAATACAGAGCCACGTTTGTCCTTCAGAATGGCTGCTTGAACGAATTTATTGCTCAACTCGAAAGGCCGTTTTTTATAACCCACTGCAGTTGTGCTTCATGGGTGTCTCCACCTATCCTGTAAAGCGTATTGGGAAATTGATTTTGTAGATTTCCTCATACTGCAGTGACTAGGGAAATCACCCATTCGTTATTATCTAATGAGGAGAAAGTGGAAATATCTAGAAGCACTGCTCCCATCCTCCTCCCCAGCTCACACAGACACCTACCTCAGGCCCTCCCTGTCCCAGGTGAGCAGAGGGCCCCACCTTCGGAGGTTGCCTCCCTTTCACGTTCACCAATCCTATGACCAGATTATCCCCAAGGAAATGTCAATTTCCAGACAGCAAGGGAATCATATAAAGATAAGATCATTGAGAGATTTTTTTCCTCCGTGATTGCCAGTTTATATTTTCTTGGGTCTACAAATCTGACAGCGTTTATTAAATTTTCTAGTTTGATACTGACCTCTGTCTGATGCTGGGCTGTCACCATGCCCAAGACTGAGGGGACCCACAGTCTAGCTAGAAGGCATGGATCAATTCCAACTGTCCTACCCCTAGCCTGTGGGCAGGAGAAATCTCTCAGGCTCTGGCAGAGGAGTCCCAGGGGAAGGATGCATGATCTTCCACTGTGCCTCCCAGCCATGCTGAGCAGCAAAGCATACCATGAGCAGGTCTCCCTTAAATTCATTTGCTTGATTTGTCCTTGATTGTCCTTGGATGGCTTTGTTCCCTCCTTGTCGAGTATGTCTTGGTCATCCTGATTCCTGGGCTTGGCTCCCAGGTTGATTCTTTCCCTGACACAAAACAGGCACTATGGTCAAAGACACCTGCAGCCTTGTAGAGACCAGAGATGCTGGATGTTTCCTGTTAGCACTCAGGAAAGCTCAGATCTTTGATGAGCATCTTTTGATCCATTAGTTAAAACCACACTGGGTTCTTTATAGTGGTTAGTTAGCTCTGGGCTATGGGATTGTGGAAGACATTTATTTCTTCTTTGGATTCACCTGGATTTTCTGCAACAGACATGTATCAATAAAATACATGGTGCTTTTCAGAAATTGCCCCATCATCATGTTGCTGTTGTTGTTATTGATATTGTTGTTTCTGATGGATAGAGATCTAGGCCTGACACTCCAAGCAGTGTGAACAGCATCTACCTTGATAAGCATTCTTACATCTTAACCCTCGGGAATTTTAAATAGAAGTGTTCCATGTGATTAAATTAACAGGTTTAGAGATGGGTGTCCTGGTTATTTCCTTTGTTCTCCACCTGGTAGCTGCCTGCACTCACAGCATGTTGGGAATGGTGATTATAAATGTAACCATGCTCTCTTCTTGTAAGTGGAGAGCCCAGGTACCTCTTATCCAGCATGTGACCCTCTTTCTACCTCAGGATAGTCATACTCTTAGGCTACCTGGATTTATTCAGGGCCAAAGGAGTGGTCAAGGTCCTTTTTGTTTTGCCCTATTCCCTTTGGAAAACATTTAGTTTATGCCCATGTTACAGATTGCAAAATACAGGCACATATTCTCACTAATGTGGTCTGCATGTCCCTTTGCAAGGACATGCAATGTGACTTCACTACTCCTTTCATCAAGAAAAAGAGCCTCTTGGTTTGGCACGGTGGCTCACGCCTGTAATCCCAGCACTTTGGGAGGCCAAGGCAGGCGGATCACGAGGTCAGGAGATGGAGACCATCCTGGCTAACACAGTGAAACACAGTCTCTACTAAAAAATACAAAAAAAAAAAAAAATTAGCCGGGCGTGGTGGTAGGTGCCTGTAGTCTCAGCTACTTGGGAGCCTGAGGCAGGAGAATGGAATGAACCCAGGAGGCAGAGCTTGCAGTGAGCCTAGATTGCACCACTGCACTCCAGCCTGGGCAACAGAGCAAGATTCTGACTCAAAAAAAAAAAAAGAAAGAAAGAAAAGGAGCCTCTTTACCCTAATCTGGGCAAGCCTTGCAACCTGATTTGCCAAAAAAATATGAAGGAAGCAATGTGATGTGATTTTCCAGGCTAGAATGTAAGAAGCCTTGGAGCTTCTGCTTTTACTGGCTTCAGATGCTGCCTGAAACCACTGTAAGAAGCTCTAACCTACTGGAGGATAAGGGGTGAGCCCAAGAGCATCAAGGCTCCCATCAACAGCCAGTCCTGTGAGTGAGGCCATCTTGGACCTGCCAGCTCAGTAAACCCTTTTGCTGAACACAGCCCAAGGAAGGAACCCTTGCAAAATGAAATCATGTGGTCAGTTTGTGGGGTGGGTATTACATAGCAGTAGATGATTGAAAAGGCCCAGTGTCTTCCTGGGGACTGAAACACCCACCTCCTGTTCATGTTGATACACGGTGAGCAGTATATGGATGTGGGAGTGGTGTTGGTTGCAGGTGAGGTAGAGAAGCAGTGAACAGAGCATGAAGACCTGATGTTCCAGGGTCGGGAGTTTAGACTTGATCCTAACACCGGCCATAGGTGGATTTAGGCAAGAGAGTAACGTGGTCAGATTTTCATTTTAGAAAGTTACTCTGACATCCATGTGGAGAATGAACTTGAAGGTCACAAGGCTGATGGAGCCAGGAAGACCATTTGGGAGGTGATTGTAGTAATCTACTTAAGAGCTCATTACGAGCTGGGGAATGGGGAGGTGTTAGAGAAGAGAAAATGGATTTGAAGAGCTGAGGGATGTTAAAAAGGCAAAACTGGGCCAGGGATGGTTGCTCACGCCTGTAATCCCAGCACTTTCGGAGGCCAAGGTGGGCAGGTCATGAAGTCAAGAGATTGAGATCATCTGGGCCAATATGGTGAAATCCCCTCTCTACTAAAAATACAAAAATTATCTGGATGTATTGGCACACACCTATAATCCCAGCTACTTGGGAAGCTGAGGCAGGAGAATCGCTTGAGCCCAGGCAGCAGAGGTTGCAGTGAGCTGAGATTGCACCACAGCACACCAGCCTGGTGACAGAGCAAGACTCCGTCTAAAAAAAAAAAAAAAAAAAAAAAAAGGAAAATTGTTCGGACTTGTAATTAATTGGGTGAGGAAACTGAGTGGCAAATGGTCTCAGCTCTACATGTGGAGAGCCCTGGGGACATAGGGAGAGCACATTTGGAAGGAAAGATGATGATTTTAGTTCTTAAAATTTTGTTTGTGGAGGAGGCATTCAGACAGAGAATTCTGTTGGGCAGTTTTATGTAGAGAACTACATCTAAAGAGGTCAGAAGTGAACTTTGATAAAATTGAGGTGACCAATGATCATCAGTTTTAAAGAGGATATATTTTCTTTTTCTGTTAAAGGGAATACACCTATGAGTCAGAAAGCCAGACTTTTATTTTTTCTCGCTAAAAGTTATTGTACTACCTACAGAAGAGAGTGTAAACACTGGTTTTTAAGATGAATTGTAAAGCTCTAAAGAGAATAAGAAAAATTGTGTTTCATGATTTATAATGGATAACATATTAGAGTTGATTTCATAAGAGAATTCATTAAGCCAATAGACAACCATGGCATTTTAACTGTAGTGTTTAAGTATCTTTAGCTCTGATTTTTTAATTAGCAGAAGCAAATAAAGAGAGCTTCATTTTAACCATGAGAAATCTCTCTTCTGTACTTCATGTGACTAAATTTGTCCAGATGCTGCTGTTCAAATAATCACAGTGATTGCCAACATAATGGTTAATTTCCTGAGAAGTAAGTTCATGTTTTGCCACAGTTTGCTCCCCTGTAAGATCAGACAGAAAAATAAGAATAAAACCGACTAATAGGTATTGATTGCCTCTGGAACAGCTATCAATATAAAGAGCCAGACAAAACACATAATAAAGAATTGTGTTAGTGCCAGAGAGACTTTAGAGATCATTTGCCCATCTCTTTACCTTTCTCCCACTTCTTTCTGTCCCTCCACCCCACCAGCTCTGATACAGACACACAGGATATTAGTAAAGGATAGTATTTGTTGAGAGCCTTTTGCGTGTCAGGCACTGCTTCTAAACGTTGTATAATACCAGCTCATTCAATCTTCAAATCAATGCTATACAGTAGGTACTCTTCTTCTTTTTTTTTTAATTTTACAGCTGAGGGACTGAGGTATGGAGAGGTTAGTTAACTTATTCAAGGACACCAAGCCAGTCAGGGTGCCACTGGACCTAAGACAAGGTAACCTGGCTCTGAGACCAACCCCACAGAGAAGTATGTGGATGCTGACAACACTGTAGGAAGTTACAAGGAGCAAAAGAATAGCAGCCTCAGCCCTGAATTCCACTGTAAGCTCCCCTCTAATCTTCCCTGCCTCACTCTCAATCAAATAAAGAGCTGATCAGGAAGCAACTATGCACGGTCTTCCCCTCCACACCTCCAGCCCCAGCTCCCTTCCCCAGACTCAGTGCCAGCATGTGCCAGCCCCCAAGATGGCAGTGTGGAGCCATGCACTAGGTCTGCCGGGGACCCAGCAGTCAGCTGTGGGTTCTTTGTATCTGCCAGAGTCCTGGCAGGAAATGGTTTCATTCTCAAAGGGTTAACTAGGAAGAATTTAGTGAAGGGTCTGTTTACAAGGTTCAGAAACTAATTGAAAATGGTGAAGCACCCAGGGATTGGCACTGGAGCTTCCCCACAGGAGCTGAGGCCAGAGAAGTATACATCCATTGTTGTCTTAAAGAGTGGTTAACTATCTATTTGCTCTTACTTTCAACATTTCTGCTGGGGCCTTGCATTGAGCAAACTCAACTGTAATCTAGAGAGCAGGGACTCCTGAGTGGCACATTCAGTGGGAGTCAGCTTCCTAGGGAATCATTTATTTATTTATTATTTATTTATCAGACAGAGTCTCACTCTGTAGCCCAGACTGGAGTGCAGTGGTGCGATCTTGGCTCACTGCAACCTCTGCCTCCCGGGTCTCTGTTCAAGCAATTCTCCTGCCTCAGCCACCTGAGTAGCTGGGATTAAAGGCACGTGCCACCATGCCCAGCTAATTTTTGTATTTTTAGTAGAGACGGGGTTTCACCATGTTGGCCAAGCTGGTCTTGAACTCCAGACCTTGTGATCTGGCTGTCTCGGACTCCCAAATTGCTGGGATTACAGGCGTGAGCCACTGAGCCCTGCCTTCCTAGGGAATCTTGTAGGAAGGACAAAGGTAGAGAATCTGTCTGATGGCGGAAGCAAATGAATGCCCATCACATGCACTTTCCTCCAACAGAGCAACTCGGATGCTATGAAACAATGCTAAGTCAGTCTCAGTGTCTGTTGCAGTAATATTGTACATACTGTAGGTCTTAATCATAGGAAATTACATGCCCATTGCCCTGTGCACTGACTGGAGCACACTTATGGGGGGCCCGTAGTCCTCCTTTCAGACATCTTTTGTTTCTCTGCCCCAACAAGTGGCCTTCCCATAGAAGACTGCCCAGAGAACCCTATGGCAACCTTACCCTCTTATTCCACTTTATTTTTCTTCAAAGTGTTTATTACTCCCTGTTGTTATGTTAGACTCTATATTTCTGTATTTGCTGTCCTCCAACTTGAAAAGAACTTCTGAGAGGGGAGGGACTTTCCTGGTCACATTCACTTGTCCCAGCACCTACGATGGTGCCTGACATATCTCAGGGGCTCCTTAAATATTTATTGCTTGACAATGGGTATCATGGCTCAGCCTCCTCTGGGGCTAGGAGGCTAGAGGAAAGAAATTTTAGCATGAGCGCAGTGACAGTAAAAGAATTCAGCAGCTCTAATCAGGGAATGAATCTGGTGTGTAATAGGATCTCAAGGCTTGACTCCTAGTCTAAGAGCATTTCTGGAGTTTGCTGACTTGATCCCCATCCTTCATCATTAGCACTTTGCAGGGAAGGAGATGAGCATGGATCTTGACTCTGAATTGGCTGGGGCATGCAAAATTGGGGGAACGCTTGGTGTTGCCCAGGGTCAGCTCTACCTAGACACATGTGAGGGCCAAGATCTGGTTTGTGTTTCATGAGCTCTCCCAGGATGAAGACCCAGCCAGGCTGTCTGAAGAAGGGGTGTTCTTGAGTAGGAGGGAAGGTTGGCTCCAATACAAAAAATCTAACCATAGCATAGTCCTTAAAAGCTTGAGCTTTGGAGAGGGAGAACAGACCCATTTAAGGCATGAAAAATAAAGGAAACTCTTGAGTCCCTCCAAGGAAAATTCCAGCCACCTGCCTAGGCTCAAGAAGTAGATGAGCACCGTGATAAGTAAGAAGGTAATAATAGCCTAAAACAATAGTCAAGAAAATTAGAGCCACAAACTAATCTTAAATGATGAGTTAATGGGTGCAGCACACCAACATGGTACATGTATACATACGTAACAGACCTGCACGTTGTGCACATGTACCCTAAAACTTAAAGTTAAATTAAAAAAAAAGAAAAGTAGAGCCACAAAATATTTGTTTCCCTATAGAAACTAGAGATAACATCTTAACATATGTCCCTGAGTTGTTTTGTAGAAATCCAGACCCCGCTAAATGGAAAATACCACCTCTTGACTCATAGATCTCAGATAAGGAGGAACTGAAGACTGAACTCTCACAACTGTTCTTTGTTCTAAATTTCTTCCTGAGGGACCTGGAGGAAGTCACACCCACAGGCCAGAGCAGAACATTCCTTTCTGCTGACCCCAAGTTTGTAGCCAAAACTTAACCAATCACAAATCAGAAAATCTTTGGGTTTTTGTTTGTTTGTTTGAGACAGAGTCTCACTCTGCTGCCCAGGCTGGAGTGCAGTGGCATGATCTCAGCTCACTGAACCCTCTGTCTCCCAGGTTCAAACGATTCTCATGCTTCAGCCTCCTGAGTAGCTAGGATTACAGGTGCACACCACCACGCCCAGATAATTTTTGTATTTTTAGTAGAGATGGTGTTTTGCCATGTTGGTCTGGCTGGTCTCAAACTCCTGGCCTCAAGTTATCCACCCACCTTGGCCTCCCAAAGTGCTGAGATTACAGGTGTGAACCACTGCACCTGGTCTCAAATCAGAAAATCTTTTAATTCATCTAATGATCACCTATCCTGTGGGCCCTCACTTCGAGATATTTTGCCTTTTTTGGCCAAACCAATATGTAGCCTCCATGTATTGTATGACCTTGCCTGCAACCTCTGCCTTCCCCCCTTTAAAAACCCTTACACATAAGCCATCAGGGAGATTAGGCCTTAAGGATTAGCTGCCTGATACTCCTTGCTTGCTGCCTGCAATAAATTCCTCAACTTCTGTCTCAGCAATGCTGATATCAGTGCTTGACTTTGATAGGCTGGGTGGGTGGACCCAAATTTGGTTTGGTGACCCTTTGAGCTTAGATTTAAAATTCTAGGTTTGTCACTCTGCAGTTTTGTGATCTTGAGCAAGTTACTTAACCTCTCTGAGTCTTGTTTGTCATGTGTAATGAAAAGAGCTATACTTACCTTGTGAGGTAGTCCTCAGGATTCAATGAGATAATAAGTACTCACTAAACAAAACTCGTTATTACAAAAGAATCACTTTGTCTCTGAAGTGGGCAGTTCAACCCATTTCTAGGAGATTTTAAACATGATTTTAGATATTTGGTGTGATTTTGTGAATGGATTTATCGTTAATAGCTTTCATGCTCCAGAAGTTTCTTGAATAATAGGTTTTTGCAAAGTGCATTCCATGGAATACTCATTTGGGTGACGTTAATAGACATCACTCAAAAGCTGGGTGAATATTACAATGTTTACTTCATCTGTAGCAAGCTGAGTAGCTACGGTACATATCTAATGGGGGCTCTAATTCTCAATATTTTCCAAATTTATTAGATCACAGACTTTTCTTTTAGTGAAGTGCTTAATGAAACTTAAGTTCTGTGAAAAGTACTTTGAGAAATATTGCTTTAAAAAGAAAAAGATTGAGCCCTGTATCAGGGGAAATATCTAATATTATATGAAACAAAAAAGTCCCACTGAAGAAAATCATCTTATTGTTCATAGACCTTAGTTTAGGTATTGAGGCCAAAGGATGGATGACAATTTCAAATGATCCAGGCTAAGCCAGGAGGAGAGCTCAAAGTCTGATATGGTGAGTAAGTTTTGAAGGGAATATGATGAAAAAGTGCACTTCTATTGCAAAGAAATCATGAGCTAGGTTTATACGCTATGCTGTGAATGGCCAATAGATTATAAATTCAACAGCCTCCCTGTCACAGCTATGGTAATGATGACTGTTTAGGCCTTAGGGGAGCTTTAGGGAGAGGCAATTTCATACTTAAGTCACACTGACTTAAAAAGTGTAATATTTGAAATCATTGTTGAAATCTCGTGGAGGTCGTCAGCAAGCAGGTGAGGTTGGAATGCCTATCATTTTCCTCAAGCTCACGTCCTCTCATTTTCTTATTTAAAAATCTATTTGGCTCAGAAAGTACACCTAGAGTTAGTCAAAAATCACCTCCTGATGTTCCTTTTAAAGGAAGCTTCCAAGTTATTTGAATAGCTTCCAAGTTATTCATCGAGAAACAAAGCAAATTCAAAGATTATGTCCTAGGCACAAACTGGACTTTAAGAAATCCTGGCTGCATAAACAATTGTCTTATAGAAAAAGAATTTCTGTTCCTCTTTTCCCTCCCCTTGTCAATCCTATTTGTTTCAGACCTGGGTTCAAACACTAGCTGTAGAGGCTATAAGCTATTGGAAGCACATTTGAGCCTGAAATAAACTGAACCTCTTTTGCCTTGGTTTTCTCACTTGTAAATGGGGATTTTTATGCCTACCTCAAAGGTACGTTGCAAGGATCGAGGGACAGAAAGTGCAGCAAGTGGCCAATGAATAGAAGTCTGGTTTTCTGAGCATCCTTGCAGCTGCAGGCTTCAGTCTACCAGAGAATGTGAGGTGTTATTCTTCTAGGGCAGTGGTTAGAAAAGAAAATGAAAGTAGCAGTACTCTTTTCTTAATGCAACCATAGATGGATGACCAGAATTTGTAATCCATAAGGTAGAAGCTGCTGTGCCTGAGGAAATAGAAAGTGGGCAGAGGTGGAGGGGCAAGGTAGGGAGTGGAGTGGAAGGTAGGGAGAGTTTGATCCTAGCCTGCACTGCTCCTCAGAGGTACTTTAGCCCCTTTGGAACAGTATTAGAAAATCATGGCTCTATCAACTCATGTCTGAAAATCAATTGCTATTTCAGAGCAGGAGGTGACCAATCTTGGAAATAAGGAAGGGAGAGAGGCATCCAAGCCAGCAGCTGCTAGGATTAGTCACTGCCTGGAGCCAGCTCTTGGAAGTTCCCCAGGAGCCGTCCAGTCTTATGTCATGTCTAGTCAGCAGAGTCCCAAAGAAGCTAGTCATTCTCTAGGCATTTGTGCTTACATTCTAATGGGCCTAATAGCTGGGAGATGACATGGAGCCCAGGCAGAACAGCTGAGATTTCTACTGGTCGTGACCTCCATCTTCTCCTTCATACCTTTCCTACCTTCCTTTTTCCATGCATTCAACAGACATTTATTACCCAATAAGTGCCAGGTAGTAAGCCAGGACCTGGGGAGAGCAGATGAGTAAGACACCATCTCTGTCTCTCAGGAACTCTCAGATTCTTAGGGACACATGTACACCCTAATAAACACAGTGCATCTCATGAATGTGTAAGTTTAAATTATTGATATAGGCACACACAGACAGAGGGACTTCATTCCTTGCAGGTTCTATAGTATATCATACCCACTCCCCTTTCTTCCCTTGCTGCTCACATCATCCTTCCTTCAAGGAATTTGGGGGGATGGTAGACTGAAAGTGGCCCTTTCTGCATAATTCTTCTTGAAAATAAACATTTGCTCTCTTCTTAGAGGCTGACTATACTGAGAGCTACCACTCCTTGGCTGCTTATTAGCCATTGGATTATTGCTAAGCCCTTTACATATGTTATATCATTTAATTGTATTGAATCTTCACCATAACACTTCAATGGAAATATTTTTCCAAATAAGGAAAGGTGAGACTCAAAGTAGTTGTATTAGTCTGCATTGCTATGAAGAACTACCTGAAACCGGGTAACTTATAAAGAAAAGAGGTGGGCTGGGTGTGGTGGCTCATGCCTATAATCCTAGCACTTTAGGAGGCTGAGGTGGGCAGACCACGAGGTCTGGAATTAGACACCAGCCTGGACAACATGGTGAAACCCCGTGTTTACTAAACACACACACACACACACACACACACACAAATTAGTTGGGTGTGGTGGCACACACCTGTAATCCTAGCTACTCAGAAGGCTGAGGCAGGAGGATTGCTTGAATCCTGGAAGTGGAGGTTGCAGTGAGCCAAGATCACACCACTGCACTCCAGCCTGAGTGACAGAGCGAGACTCCATCTCAACAAAAAAGAAAGAAAGAAAGAAAGAAAGAAAGAAAGAAAGAAAGAAAGAAAGAAAGAAAGAAAGAAAGAAAGAAAGAAAGATGTTTAATTGACTCTCAGTTCCACAGGCCATACAGGAAGCATGGCTTGGCAGGCCTCAGGAAACACAATCATGGCAGAAGGTGAAGGGGAAGGAGGCATGTCTTACTTGGCTGGAGAAGGAGGAAGAGAGCTAAAGCGGGAATGCTGTACACTTTTAAACAACCAGATCTCATGAGCACTCTATGATGAGAAAGCACTGGGGGATGGTGCTAAACCATTAGAAACCACATCCAACACTGGGGATTACAATTCAACGTGAGATTTGGGTGGGGACACAGAGCCAAACCATGTCAGTAGCAAAGAGATTTTCCCACACAGCTAAAAAAAAAATGGCAGAATCTGGATGTGTGCTTAGGTTTGTCTGATTCCTGGTACACTCCCCTATGCCATTTCTGATCTGCAAAGAACCTGATCCCAAAGCCTGATCCCAATATGATCCTAGAGCCAAGAGATGAGGCGTGAAGTAGCCACCTACTTTGTGTGCTTTCAAATCAGATATGGCAAGATTCTTTGAAAAATCAGTCAACTGGATTAAGCAATGCCTAAGTATGAAAGGATCCTTAGAGGAACTAAACCATGTCTTCATTTTGCTCCATGTTCTTTCTGTGGCTCTACCAAGTTTGTAGGTTAAGAGCAAGGCATCAAAGCTTACTGAGTTTTTCTTCAACACCGAATCGACTGGTTGTCTCAAGAACAGGGAATCATTGCCCTAGTCTCATCTCATAACATTTACGTTTCTTTCTTTCGACTAATGGAGATGGTGCTCCCTGCTCTCTCCAGGAGACCGCAGGACCTAGATGATAACCTGCATCCCTAATCCTAAAGGGAGCCTAAGAGTAGTAATGATGGCCCTCTATTTGCAATAGATTACACTTTTCCCATATAAAGCTCTTAGAACTGTCACTGTGAATGATGTGCTGATTGGAGATAATGGTGACAGTGATATTTTTATAATTGCACTTTGTTCTTCTCATCTCCTCCTGGAATCACAAAAGAATTTGTACATATCCCTTACTCAAAATAGATCCATTAGTTAAACTATTATAAGATAAAAAGGCTACAGATAAAATGCTGCCCATTGAGGCCCAGAGGGGAGAGAGCCAAGTGGACTTAGAAATCCCCAGCCCAGTGCGGTGGCTCATGCCTGTAATCCCAGCACTTTGGGAGGCCAAGGCGGGCAGAATACCCTGAGGTCAGGAGTTTGAGACCAGCCTGGCCAACACGGTGAAACGCTGTCTCTACTAAAAATACAAAAATTAGCTGGGTGTGGTGGTGGGCGCCTGTAATCTCAGCTACTCAGGAGGCTGAGGCAGGAGAATCACTGGAACCCAGGAGGCGGAGGTTGCAGTGAGCAGAGATTGTGCCACTGCACTCCAGCCTAGGCGACAGAGTGAGACTCTGTCTCAAAAAAAAAAAAAAAATCCCCATATCCCCATTCACTGTCCTTTTCTCCAGGAAATACCCCATTTCATATAACTGTCTAAACAACGGTTTAAGGTCTACACAAGATTGTGAAGTGAACCTGCAGGATTAGGAGGGTAAGGATTCCCACCTAGGTGGGCTCACTTGCTCTGCCATACCTGGGTAGGATCCCAGCCTGCTTCTGTGATTGTCAGGAGGCACCAAAGAGGCTACCCTAGGTTTTCTGTCATTCGGCCCAAACATTTCCTCTACTGGGCAAATGTGGAAAAGAGGCATTAAGCTGGTGCTCCCACAACTGAAAGGAAAGCAATTCTCTTTCTGTTGTGGTTCCTTCCTCTTTGGACTCTTTTCTTCCATTCCAGCCTATCCCCTTCTTAGAAAAGCTCTTCTACCAATAGCAGGGAAGAAACAGTCCTGTGTACCTGATATGCTGCCCTGGGCACAGGCGATTGACCAGGGATAGACACCTGAACTGATCTGGGCAGATGCCCTCTTCTGGCCATTGAGAATTGACAGCATCAGACATCTAGAACATAATAGAATTTTTAAATTCTGCAGGGACATCCACCACGCTGAGAGAGACCAATTTTGTTTTAAAAATGTCTCCTGAACTTGGCCGGGCATGGTGGCTCATGCCTGTAATCACAGCACTTTGAGAGGCCAAGGTGGGCAGATCACTTGAGGTCAGGAGTTTGAGACCAGCCTGGCCAACGTGGCGAAAACCTGTGTCTATTAAAAAATACAAAAATTAGCCAGGCGTGGTGATGTGTACCTGTAATCCCAGCTGCTGGGAAGGCTGAGGCAGGAGAATTGCTTGGACCGGGCAGGTGGAGGTTGCAGTGAGGTGAGATCATTCCACTGCATTCCAGCCTGGCTAACAAGAGCAAAATTCCATCTCAAAAAAAAAGTAACCCAAACTTGGAATTAAAAATAGGATGACTGCACGTCTTTCTAATGCCATACTGGAAGGTTGCCTAACAAACCACCAAAGATTTTTTTAACTCTCTAAGGGAAGGTACTTTTGTTTGACTTACTATTTACTATTGATTAGGGCCCAGACTCTGCCAAGTTACCTGTTAATTTTTGTCTGGTAGAGATACAAATGATTTTTGTCCTGTAAAAAGATTTTATTACTCTACAGGACATTAATGAGTGAGGTTTCCAAATTAGCAAACTTATGTCAGCATGCTGTTTCTGATGGTCTATCCAAATCTTTCTCCTTCCAATTCTCTTTTCAAACAGCTTTACCATCCTCTGGTTCCTTCTTTTGTGAAGTAAACAGATCTTTATACACACTCCCTATAGACTTATATAAGAATCATGTTTACACTTTTTGAAAATGATGCTTTGACAATTCCACTGAACAGGCTGGGGAGAATTTTATGAGAATTGTTGGATCCTGCTCAGAAGCAAGATAAAACCAGGCTATCCTCTATCATGGCTGATCTGGGGTTCATTCCCAGAAATGAGGGTCTTGGATCAGGGTCAAATATGTGGGTGGGGTGGGCTCAATTGCTGAGATACCCATCTCATGAGGAAGGATGGGACCCATATTATGGGAAACAAAACAGGAAGAATGAGAGTGAAAAGATTAATCCTTTCACTAAATTGGGAAAACAGGAGAAAGTGTTGTTGGATAAAGAAGGAACTTTAGCACAATGAGCAGAGACAAGACGGTAAATGTTCCTTATCCAGTAATCTCTGATGAAAGACCAGTGCTCACATCATTAGTAATGTCCAGAACTGATAATATCAGTAGTAGCAATACTCACAATGTAAATAAGTAGCTCTCATGTTTTGATTGCCAATAGTGCTAGCAACCTTACATGTATCACTCTCTACCTCAGCCCTGTTAATTGGTACTATGATGAAGAAAGAGACTCAAAGAAAATAAATGACTCACTCGTGTATTTTTACACAGCTAGAATTGCTACAGAAAGGATTAAAGCCAAGTCTATCCAACTCCACAGTCTATGTCCCTCCACCCCTCTCTCCCTCCCTTCCTTCCTTCCTTGCTCCTTCTTTCCCTCCCTTTCTGCCTCCCTCCCTTTCTGCCTCCCTCCCTCTCTCTCTCCCTTCCTCCCTATCTCAAACATCTATTGAGTGTCTACCATGTGCCAGGCACTGTGTCAGGCTCTTGGGATACAGCAATAAGCCAAGTCCTTGCTTTCAGGGAGTTTACATTCCAGTGAGAGGGACACAGAAACAAATGTATCTCTATGGCAGCAAGTGGTATGAAGAAAATCAGCTTCATTTTTATTGTTTCATGCCCATCATGCCGGTTTCCCACAGTCCATCATCCCCACTCCACCCCCCACCCAATGTAGTGCTTTCCTCTGTCCTAGAGAATTGGAAGGACTTCACAGCAACATCTGCAGTCCCTTTGTTTCAGTGACTTTGGCACAGAGAAGCAGACACAGTGTCAGACAAAGCTGCTGGAAGCTGTCAGGCTACTGGCAAAAGCTTAATCATACGTTCCAAAGGCAGTGTGTGTGTGTGATGTTGCATCTCTGGCCCTGGAAGGCAGACAGAGGTCACCTTCTTGGGAGTCAGAGTTGGCCCCTCAGCTCCCAGGGGTGCAGCTGAGCAGCTTCAGAGGACTGACTGTAGAGACCAGGAAGGGGCCATTCACTCTGATGGGAATTGGGAATCATTGATGCTCGAGCAGAAGCTGAGTTAAAATTCATGCTAAGAAATCAGCATTCACATGTGTACATATTTAAGTCAGGATCTCAGTGAAGAGGGCATGACAGCAGTGAAAACAGGTGCCAGACCTGAAGTAGGCTATCTTATGGTTGCTGCTTCACCTGTTCCTCTACACACACATACAAACACATACACACACACACACGATTCCAGAAGATAGTGGGACAGTAGCAATTTGAAGGCTCTGCCTGAAAAGCATTTGCTTAAAGTGTTGGGAATTTTTTGTTGGATTGTTAGTTCATTCGTAGGGCTTCTAAATTTCACTTTTGCATTTTAACCATTTCAAGGAATTCCCCCTGATTTTGAGTGTGAATGGGTATAAAAGACCAGGGGTTGTTAACCAAAAGCCTGGAACATTCAGGTGAATGGCTGTTCTGCAGGGAAGGAGGGAAACAGCAGGGTGAGGTGGATGGTCAACCTTCAAAGGCCTTACACAGTCCCGGCCAGGATAATCTTTGCTTCTCCCTTCTACTGGGGAAAATTCTGGATTGCTAAGACCAGGGTCTCTATAGTGGCATCTCCAACACTCAGGCCGAGCTTCATGGCTGGGTTCCTGTTTTTTCATTTGCTCATGCCCCTCAGTGGTATCATCTGACTCAGCTCCTTTCCCTCCTGTTGGGCCAGTACTTACAGTGGGTCTCCTGATGAAGCTGAGGTCATGGGTTCATGAGCCCAATTATCACCATGCTGACCGCACCACTAACCTGGCTCCGTGTAGTTGCAAACTTGGCTGCACATTGGAATTCCTAGGGAGAGTTTTAAACATCCCAACGACCAGGCTGCAATGAAATCAGACCGATGAAATCAGCATCTCAGGGGGGGAATGGGACTGGTAATTTACAGAATCTCTCCAGCTGATTCCATATTCAGACAAGTTAGAGCACCAATGCCCTCAGTCCTGAGAGTGAGGGCTGGTCTCATGAATCCATTCACACAGATGGAAGTCCATCCTCACAGGGGTCAGGCCTCACACAACATCGGGCATGTTGGTAGGCATATGCCTAAGTTTCTGTGCAATGAATGCATGCCTTACTGGTGATGCGTCAATAGCAAGGCATTCAGGGGAGAGAGTACCCTGCCTCAGTGCCTAGCATGAGACATGTATCCAGGACCATGTTTTTATTCCCATCTTATGGATGAGAAAACTGAGGTTCAGAAAGGGTAGGCAAAATCCCCTAGCTCACCTGGCTGGAAGGGGTCAGAACTTCCCTGTACGTGCTGAGAACACCACTGTTCGAGCAGAGGGGAAACCTCTGCAAATTTCACTCTGTGTTCAGTGGGTGACTTGCCAAAATGACTTGCCAAAGCCCTTTAGGGCCAATAAATTAGAGTGTTTGCATCAAATTTCCATGCACAAGAGCCAACTCAAAACCTTAGATCCAATTCCATTGGTTCCCATAGCTCTGAAGTGGACAGATGTTAGTAATAAATCCTACAGGCTGATGGCAGGACTTTGATATATAATATTAACTCTGATCTGCCCTTGGTGGTGGTCTGACTTAAGACAGAGGGAATATTAAAAGCAGTAGTAATCCTTTTAAAAGTTATGTGCACTTTTGCCCAGATATCAAGGGTTTCTGGCTGAGTTAGCCTACAGAAGCAATTGTGCAGATTAGGTGATGTTGAACCATGAGAAAGTGTCTTCCCACTTAGCAAATCAAGGGTCCATGGGATGGAGAGAAAGGAGGGAATAGAGTTTGTCACTTGGGCTGTACTGACCCCAGTGGTGATGTCTTCCCTTTGATGGGTGGTGTTGGGACAGCAAGGCAGTCATCATTTAGCCCACTAGTGCTAAGGTGGAAGGCATCCGCAGTGCATGGTCTGGCATCCCCAGGCAAAGACGAGAGGATGGGCCCTGCAGAGTGTTTTGGGTTAGAAACAAGCTGAGTGAGCTGAGTGTTTCTTCAGGGATCGCACTACAGATGAGCTGACAAATCCACGACAGTGGGGAGTGAGGTGAGGCAGGGACACAAATCCACAGCTGACTAACCCAGCACATTCCCACCTCCTCAGCATAGAAAACCACAGGCACAAACTGACCAGAAGGCTATTCATCCATGGGTCTATCCCGTGCCTTGATCTGTCTTCCTAAATCCCACCTTTGCCAAAGTCACTCCAGTCTGTGAATTTTCCATGGCTTCCTGATGCATATGGAAAGACGTTCAGACTCCCAATCTGAGGTCCAATGCTCTCCAGAATTCCATCTTTCCCTACCTTCCTGGAATCATGTCCCATTGACTTGCCATCTACCTGGGCAAGCTGGAATGGCTGCTTTGGCTGTCTTCTGAAAATGCCCTGAGGTGTCTCTGCCCCAGGCCTGTCTCCTCTGCCCCCAGAGCTGCCCAGGCCCCTGCTTCCTACAGAGACCAGCTCACAGTCTTCTTGTCAGTGGTCATCTAACAGTGGTCTTGTAAAAGCAGAGCAAGTTCCAATCTTATTTATAGCATTCAGCAGTTTTTTTTATTATTATTTTTGTTTTTATTTATTTATTTATTTATTTATTTTTTTAGAGCTGGTGTCTTGCTCTGTTGCCCAAGTTTGAGTGCAATGGCTCAATCACAGCTTCACTACAGCCTTGAACTCCTGGGCCCTAGTGATCCTCCTCTTTCAGCCTCCTGAGTAGCTGGGACCAGAGGCATGCACCACCATGCCCACCTAAACACAGTCTACCTTTACGTGTGTGTGTCCATCCATCACCAGATGCTCACGGAAGGTAGGGCAGAAACATTTTGAAAAATAATTTTTACCTTTGAAGAGTAATCTTAATGATAACCTAGCAGGTGCTCAGATACATCAGGTCGATTCACTTCCTATGGCTGTGTAACAAATTACCACAAACTTGGTGATTTAGAGCAATGCCCATTTATTATCTCAGGGTTTCTATAGGTCAGAAGTTTGGGTGTTGCATGGCTGGATTGTCTGTTTAGGATCTCATAGGGTTGAGATCAGGGTAGCCAGGGTTGCTTCTCATCTGGGGCTCCAAGTCCTCTTTGCAAGCTCACTGGTTGTCAGTAGAATTCAGCTCCTGTGGTTGTAGGACTGAGGTCCCCATATTCTTCTTGCTGTTTGTCAGTCTGGGGTGCTCCCAGCAACTCAAGGCCACTCTCAGGTTGTTGACACAGGGTGCCAACATCTATCTTCAAAACCAGTAGGAGGATTTCTCTTGCACTGAATCTCTTTTGCATCTCTGACATTCTCAGTCTCTGACCTCTAGATCCAGATTTAAAGGGTTCACTTGATTCTGTCAGACCCACTCAGGACAATTATTTTGTTGTGCGTCCCTCTTTCTGGGAAGTGGGTCCACCACTTCTATCAGGTTCTTAAAAGGGTCTGGGAATGTTCACCCATCACAGACATCCACACCAGGCCAGTTAAGTCAGAACTGCTGGAGATTCCACATTCTCCTGGGCAGCCTGGGTGGAGAACCACCTATGTGGAAGGAACACTGGGCTCCAAAGATAAGGGGCCTTGCATTTTATTTCATTACCAGTGTGTATTGGCTCTGAGACCTTACAGAAATCACTCAACTTTTCAGGGCCTCATTTGCAAACAAGGATGGTAATAGTAAGCTCCATCTCTCACGGTTGTTAGGAGGATTAAAAGTGTATGAAAATGTTCTGCAAGCTCTGAAGTATTAGCCAACCGTCTTGTCAGTGTGAAGAGGCACTGAAAAGTGAGGTGGGACACAGCATTTTAAGTGAAAAAGAAGGGAGAAGCTTATCTTTATCAAAGTTAAATATTAGATACTGAGTACTTTGTAAAGTCTGTTGCTGCTGGGGATCAGGCAAATTGTTATAACCTTCTTGGAAGGCAATTTCCCATAATTATCAGCAGTTTACAGACTATCCAAGCCATTTGACCCTAAGATAATGTTTCTAGGGATTTCTCTTAAGGATTTAATCAAGGACACATACACAGATTATAGCAGTTCAAAATTGGAACCCATCTATTTAACAATAAGGGATTGTTTAATTACACATGAAATATTATTTAAACATGAACATTATATTGCCTTTAAATATTTGACATGGGAAGAAGCTTAAAACTCAGTCCTATTTCCTTATCAATGTTCTATCAACAAGGCGCAGGAGGTGTCACCTCCTTGGGAATCAGAGTTGGCCCCTCAGGTAGGTGTTTGGAGCTTCCAGGTAGGGGCTGGGGACAAAGTGTGGATGGGGCACCTGCTGGACCTGTGGCAAGATCATCAGGGATTGCTATTGGTCTCAGCAAGGGAGTGAGGCTGACCAGTTCTCAGCTGCATTTCAGAGAAGGATGAAATGCCCTAATCAGAAGTCAGCTCCCCTCATGGCCCTGGAGGGAATTCTGCCCACTCACAGACTCTTTCTTATTCTGGGCCTCTGCTGTTACCTGGGTATTGCTCCCTGTCACAGTCAGTTTGGGGACTGATCCTCCAGGAAATTCCTGGGACCTCTTGGCAGGCTGAATGCTTCTCCTTTGTGACTCCCCTGCCATGGTGGTTGTGCCCCTTCTTACCTTCTACAGACACGACTTTTCATGGGCCTCTTCCTTTCTCCCCACTGGTAAATCACCACCCTTCAAAGGCGGGAACTCTCTCTATTTCATCTTAGTATCCTACGGGCCTGGCCCAGAGTAGATGCTCCAAAAAACTTGTCCTGAACTGAAATGGGCGTGAAGCTGGGGCCTGTTGCACTGTGTTGTTGTGGGGCGGGGTGACTTCCAACCACACTGGGAGCCATCTCCCTCTCTCATTCCGAGGGAAGAGTCCACAGCACAGATGGGCGCAAACCAATGTCAGGAGCTGACACTGTGATCAAAGAAAATCATTTCCATTGCTCTTGTAAATGAAAAGAGTCAAACTCAGTAAAATATTTGAAGAGATGTATTCTGAGCCAAATATGAGTGACCACGGCCCTTGCCATAGCCCTCAGGAGGTCCTGAGAACATGTGTCCAAGGTGGTCGGGGTACAGCTTGGTTTTATGCATTTTAGAAAGGCATGAGACATCGATCAAGTACATTTAAGAAATACACTGGTTTGGTCCAGAAAGGTGGGACCAAAGCAGGAGGAAAGGGGTGCTTCCAGGCTATAGGTAAGTTTCAGTGAGTTTGTCTAAGGACCTGGGATCCATAGAAAGGAAATTTTCAAGTTAAGATAAAAGATGGTGGAGACCAAGGTTCTTTTGAAATCTTATAGAGGCTGTCCTCACAGACAATAGATGGCAAATGTTTCCTATTCAGATCTTTAAAAGGTGCTAGACTTGGCCAGGCATGGTGGCTCACGCCTGTAATCCCAGCACTTTGGGAGGCCCAGGCGGGTGTGGATCACAAGGGCAGGAGTTTGAGACCATCCTGGCCAATGTGGTGAAACCTCATCTCTACTAAAAATATAAAAATTAGCTGTGTGTGGGTGTCTGTAGTCCCAGCTACTCAGGAGGCTGAAGCAGGAGAATCGCTTGAACCTGGGAGGCAGAGGTTGCAGTGAGCCGAGATCATGTCACTGCACTCCAGCCTGGGCGACAGAGTGAGACTCCGTCTCAAACAAAAAAAAACAAAGTGCTAGACTTTCAGTTAATCTCTTTAGGATTGGGTGGGCGGGGAGAAAAATATCTAGCTATGTTAATAGAGATTCTTTACAGATACAAATTTTCCCCCACAAAGGACAGCTTTGCAGGGCCATTTCAAGATATGGACAAAAAAGTCTATGTTTTGGGGTAAAATATTTTTATTTTCTTCCTTGTCTCATAATGTTATGACAGAGTCAGGTTGGAAAGTAAGTCACAATATATAGGGTTAAATAAAATCCAACTGATGAGAGTTTATGGTTTGTAGGACATCACTCCCCAGACCCTTTAGATAGGGGATTTGGGTAAGATAAAAAAAAAAAAAAATCAGAGCTTAGTCTTCACTTGCAAGGGTGCCCCTGTCTTCCTCCACTCTCCATCGTCAAGCTGGGCTGGGATTTCTTGAGCCAGATGAGTTGAAGATGCTGCAAAGTTAAAATGGCCTTGCCTTCCTGCGCAGTCAGGTGGAGCATCCCCTTCCCTCATCTGGGCCTGCTGAGTAGGGTCTCACTGATCCCCACACTGTGTGTCCCTTAGACCTTTCCTGAGACCCAGCCCTTCCCCCAGTGGAAGGGAGAATTATTTGAAAAGTGTGGGGTTTGGTGTCAGACAGACTGGGACCCAGGTCTAGGCTACTGAACCAGTGAGCTGTGTGGCTTTGTGTGTGCTATTTAGACACTCTGAGTTTTAATTTCCTAATTTCTAATTGCCAGACAGGTTGGTTGGGAGGAACAGCTTAGATTGACCTATGAAAGCATTTGTAGACTCGGAAGTGTTCTCATGGCACTTTGGATCAAATCGTTCCTGCTGCTTCAAACTACTGTGTGATGAGTTTCCAAAAATCATTGCCTGTGATCTGCAGGCTCGTTGTATGTCACAGATCATCAGATGTGCTTCCATTCCATGCTTGCTTCTGCAGTCCTGTTCTAAGCTCTGGCCTAATATTCTTCCCGCCCATGGAGCTCTTGCCACTGCCTCACCGCAGAGACTGGAACCCTGTCCTTTAACTCCCAGCTCAGAGTGTAGGGAAGTGTTTCTCAAAGTATTCTCTGTGTTATCTGCTTCCAAATTGCCTGGATATTGGTTAAAAACCAAACCTCTCATTCCCCTTCCAGACTTAAGGATGAGAATTGGCTGTGGGAATGAGTGGGAATCTATGCTGTTGTGAAGTTCCCCACAGGGATCTCCTGCATCTTAAGGCTCAAAGACCATGGACCTAGCCCCTGGATACTGGGCATAGGCATCTCAGATGCTGTCTGTTTCTTCACTTCCCTGACTGGCCTGGGCTCTGGGGTTGTGCCCTTCCCATTTCTGGATTTGTGATACTTGTCTTGTATCCCCTTTTATCATAGTGTGCTTTTGCTTACAAGTGAACAAAAACCCAATCCAAAATGATTTAAACAAAAAGAGCACTTATTGTAAAAGTTCAGAATAAACTGTCTTCAGGCATGGCTTGATCCAGGGGCACACACTGTGTTACCAGGAGGCAGTTTCTCTCTGCCTCCTCACTTGGCTACATTTTTCTCTCACTTTTGCATCCTGAGCCATTCACAGAGCTCAGGAGGATGACTGTTCTGATGGAGCATGGTATGCTGGTGGTTAGTGCCATCAAAAATGGAATGAGATAATGATATGGCTCAGATGACTGGAGGAACACCAGGGTTCTTGGTCTAGCACACTTTTGGATAAAATGACACGGACACACCTGGAATGGTTTTAAGGAGCGAAAAGTTTAATATACAAGAAAGAAGGAAGGAAGAAGAAAACAGGTCCCCAGTACAGAGACAGAGGGAGAGGGGATTTGAACAGAGAGAAAACTCCGGTGGAGAGAAGGGATGTGGGGAGAGGGCGTGTGTGTGGTGTAATCAGCTACTTATATGAGGAGGCTGGAGGAGGCGGTACTGGCTTGCACAGGGCTCAGAGGATTGGTTTGACCAGGCATGTCATTCACATAGCCTGAGAAAAAGCTGGCCCTCACACTCTAGCCTTTTAAGATGCAAATGCAGGGCGCCATGATGTTCTACACACGTGGGGATATGTGGGGGCAGCCATGTTGCCAGCCACCTGTTGGGGCAAGGAAGAAACCTGAAATCTCCATGTTTGGGTGGACTCAGTTTCCAGTGGCCTGCATTTGCATATCAAACCTGCCAGTGGCTCTTAGAGCTGGTGCTCTCCTGTTAGACAAGAAAGGTTTCTGGATCTGCTTTAAAAGAAACAAAAACTTCCCAAGGACCTCTTTTCCTCTCTATCTGCCTAAAATAATTTCTTTATAACTCCTATAACAATAAGGGGATGGTCCATTCCCACATGTAAATTGAGGCTTTTCCCAGAAATAGGGTGAATTGATGCTGAGTTACCCCAGTCAGCAAATGTCCATTTATCTCATTTGTAAACTCTGAACTCTGCACAGAGACTGTGGTGACACAGGCTGTCCTGTGACCCTGTGGCTGGGTCAGCTCCTGTGTCTGCGACAGGATGCCCTGAGTCCCCATGGATTCCTCAACCCCACACCCTGTCCTACTCTTAGCCAAGTCAGCCATGCCCCTCTGAGGGCTACGCTGCTTCAATAGGCCTGGCTTCCTAAGTACCTTTCATTATCACCCGGGCTCATACCCAGAAGCAAAGCAGAAATTTCTTTTGAGATCCAGGGTGGGAAATGGTCAGTTGAATTGAGTTGCAACCAAAGGTGAGGAAACATTTTTTATGAAAACCCATTTTCCTCTGTCGGAGGTGATTTCAGTCACATTTTCCAAGCTCAGGATAATTTACCCCCTACCAGGGTGCACTGCAGAAGGTCTGGCTGGAAGGCCCTGAGCACAGGAGTTGATTGCTAGCTGCTAAGAGGCTGCGCTTTGTTCCCGAAGGAGAAAGCTGCAGGTTAAGAGAACATTCCCCACCTTGCCAGGGGTGACAAAGCAGGGGACTGCTTGAGGGCTGACACTAGAGTTAGAGATAATGAAAGGAGAGGAGCAAGAAGAAGCCAGGGCCTGGCTCGGCATCTCACCACATTGGTGGGGAGAGGAGCTGTTCACTTTCTCGCACCTGTTGTTGGGCTGAGACAGATTTTCGGAGAGCAATGCCTCCTGGACAGAGGCTCTTCCCCACAGGGCAAATGTAATTAGATGAAAGAAAAACAAAGCTCTGAAACCCTAATTAGGTGCAAAGCCCTCAGGCTTTATACATCTAAACAGCTAAGGAACAGAGGATAAGATTCTCCAGTTGGCACTCCCTTGCCAGTCCTGGCTGAGCTAATGGTGAAGTGAGAGCTGTGCCACAGATCCCATGGTTGGCTTTTTGTTGTTGTTATTTCAGATGGACTTTCACTTGCCACCCAGGCAGGAGTGCAGTGGTGCAATCTTGGCTCACCACAATCTCCGCCTCCTGGGTTCAAGTGATTCTCCTGCCTCAGCCTCCCGAGTAGCTGGGACTACCAGCGCCTGCCACCATGCCTGGCTAATATTTTGTGTTTTTAATAGAGATGGGGTTTCATCATGTTGACCAGGCTGGTTTGAACTCCTGACCTCAGGTGACCTGCCCACCTTAGCTTCCCAAAGTGCTGGGATTACAGGCGTGAGCCACTGCACCTGGCCTCGTGGTTGGCTTTTACTCATTCCATTCTGCCACCCTGAAGCTGATCCTCTGGAATTTGCTTGTTTTTGGTGTGTCCAGAAATGAAGGTCTATCAGTTCTTGAAATTGGGTTGTTTGAAGTAACTGATGTGCCAGGATGACAGTGAAGAAGTCAAGATAGGGATTCCTCTCCCTAAACTTTAGGGCCTGAAGGGACTCCTCATTGACAGCAGATGGGATTTTTAATTTCACTCTGGGATGGAGGAAGTGGAGAGGTGATCCAGGCTGGATTGAAATCTCTCAAGCCTGGGAGATTTTGCCCAAAGGCTTGTGACATGGGAACAGTAGAAATATTGGGAAAATTGGACTTTCAGGTCAGCATTCTGGGAATTTCCCCAGTCTTCCCAGGGTGGGATCATCTGGCCCCAGTTATGGGAATAATTCCACATAAATAGAAGATGACTTGGGAAGTCAGGGAGGAGGTGGAGGACCACTGTTCTGATCAGCCTCCTTCAGCCTCACAGTGGGGTTGGTCTCAGATGGTGCCCAGGAACCTTCCAGCAGTGGCACTTTGATGGCACCAAGATCGTGGGTGCAGGGACCCAGATTTCCTTCCTACTCATGTCTCCGTAGCCACTGAGAAATGGAATATCAGTGAGGAATATCTAGAGGGCTGCCTTTACTCCTTTTGCCAGAGAACCAATATTGGTTATGAACAATTGGGCCTTATCTGGTGTGCAGAAAAATGAATATTTTAATAGTGCTTCATAGGGTATCATAGCATCTTATAAAAAGTGGCCCATCAAATTATTGATTCAATCATTTAAAATGCATTAGCAGAGGATGCCTATCAGACTAAGACATCCGTATTTCTGATCCAGTGAAAAGGGTCCAGGTAAGGAACACATATTAAGCCTCTTGGCATCCTTGTGTGAGCACGGTGCATGATGTGGCCATTAGTATCATTGTTTTCTTTGAGTTTTTGCTTGAGTGTTGAGATGTGTGAGGGATAGAAGATCCTTGTTTGCTTCTAGTCCGGATCTACACTGTCCATTAGGGAAATAATTTGTTTTCTTGAACCCATCATATGAATAATTTTGTTTTTAATCAATAGAAAAAATGGTATTGATTTAACTAACAGAAAAAATTCCAATGAGGCCAGGCCACATAGGGGTTTCTGTAAGTGTCATATCATTTCTGTTCTGTCCCCTCAGCTAAGAGAATAAAAAGTTCAGGCTACCTCCAGGGGCTTTTGCCTACTTAAATAGTATTACTTAGAGATGAGCTAGTACTTGGTTTTAAAAGTAATTTTTTTTTTCTTTTTTGAGACAGAGTTTCGCTCTTGTTGCCCAGTCTGGAGTGCAATGGCACAATCTTGGCTCGCTGCAAGTTCCACCTCCCAGGTTCAAGAGATTCTCCTGCCTCAGCCTCCCAAGTAGCTGGGATTACAGGTGCCTGCCACCATGCCTGGCTAATTTTTGTATTTTTAGTAGAGACTGGGTTTCACCATGTTGGGCAGGCTGGTTTCAAACTCCTGACCTCAGGTGATCCGTCTGACTGAGCCTCCCAAAGTGTTGTGATTACAGGCGTTAGCCACTGCTCCTGGCCCTAAAAGTAACATTTCTAAGCTTTGTACTTATGACACCAAAAACATACAGACTGACATCTAAGTAATTAAGTCAACCATTAAGATGTTTAGTTATGTCATGCAAAATAATAATCTCCAGTGAGTTCTCAAAGAATTCAGTAGTTTGATGTTATTGCCAGCACAGCCTTTACTGAGTCCTCTTATAAATCTTAAGGAAAAATTTAAGATTTTTAATTTTTAAAGATTTAAAAATTTTTAATTATTTTTTTTTTTTTTAGGGCTGGACTCTTGGTCTGTCGTCCAGGATAGAGGGCACGGATGCCATCACTACTCACTATAACCTCAAACTCCTGGGCTCAAGCAATCCTCCCACCTCAGCCTCCTGAGTAGCTGGGACTACAGGCATGCCCCACCACATTCGGCTAATTTTTAAAATTTTTTTGTAGAGACAGGGTCTCACTATGTTGTCCAGGCTGCTCTTGAAATCCTGGGCTAAAGTGATCCTCCTGCCTCAGCCTCCTGAGTAGCTGGGTTAGATCCTGGCAAATGAAAGGGCCCCCAGCTTTGAACTACCTTTGGGGAAGATCTCACTGTGTTCCCTTTGGGGATTGAAGATGTGGTTCAAGAGAGAAGAGTGCACTCTAGGCAAACCTGCTAATTCTGTTCCTCAAAAGAAGGCAGGGAGAGGAGAGAAAATGCATTTCTGTTTGCTGCCTAAAGGTTTATTTGCTTGTATTCCTTTGGGAAATGGAATGATTCTGTGTGCCTGGGTTATAGTTGATGGAATAAAGCATCATTTTATGCTGTACCTGAGAAATAATATCTGAACCTACATAAAAATAATAAAGTGCATCAGCTCCCTCTGGGAATGTTCTGTGTCTGCCCCTGGACTCCCACTTCCATGAATATATATGGATAATGCCTGCCATTACTTTATAGTTATGGGCCTGTCAACCCTATATGTATTAATACATCCCTAGGCTTTCTTGTAGTTCCATAAGGTAATAAAAACAGTTTTAACAGCAATGCCATATATCCAGTTGGACATTTCTTAAAAACAAAACACTCTCTGCTGAATTATAAACTGTTGCACAGGATAGAGGCTGTTTTGCAAGGGCCAACCCCTACCCGCCCCCACCCAGCCTGGGCCCCCTAGTACCAGGGCTTGAGCTGGGGCAGGACTGGCCTGTCGGTGATGCCTGTGAGTCTGAGTTCAGATGACTCTGGAATAATCCTTGCTTCTAGGGCCCATTCTACACTGCTGAGTAGTTCCTGCCTGCCCACCTTTGTTACTCTTTCGCTTTATGACCTCAGGATGATTTTTTTTTTTTTGACAGAGTCTTGTTCTTTCCCCCAGGCTGGAGTGCAGGAGTACAGAGGCATGATCCCAGCTCACTGCAACCTCCGCCTCCTAAGTTCAAGTGATCCTCCCACCTCAGTTTCCCGAGTAGCTGGTATTACAGGCATGTGCCACCACACCCGGCTAATTTTTGTATTTTTAGTAGAGATGGGGTTTCTCCATGTTGGCCAGGCTGGTTTTGAACTTCTGACCTCCAGAGATCCACCCACCTCAGCCTTCCAAAGTGCTGGGATTAGAGGCGTGAGCCACTACGTCTGGCCTGAATTTTTTTTCTTGAGTGCTTGGTCTCAAATTGATAAAAAAGAAAAAAATAAAATAGCCATCACCCCATTGACCCTGAAAGGAATGGCTCTGTTAAGTATCCATTACGTACCAGCCACTGCTGTCGGCACCTTATGTGTTTTAAGTCATGACATACATCATCATAGTAACCCCAACGAGGCAGCTGCTGTCATTGTTTCTACTTTGCATGTGAAGAGGGTGAGGCACTGACGGGATAGGTCATGTTCCCAAAAGCACATGATCAAGACAGAAGTCCAGGCGGTCTAGCTCCAGAACCTAGCTCTTCATACACTAGCGCCTCCATCAGGAGCAGTTGCTTATAATATGCCTGGGACCCTTAGAAACACAAGACCAAGGAAGCTTCCTGGATTCCAAGCTGCTATATTGCCTCTGTAGCTCCCTCAAAAGGCAGTTTTATTCACTGAAACTAAACAAGGCCAGTTGCTGTGGCTCCGGCCTGTAATCCCAGCACTTTGTGAGGATGAGGTGAGAGGATCACTTGAGCTCAGGAGTTTGAGACCAGCCTGGCCAACATGGGGAGACTTGTCTCTTCCTATCTAACTAACTAACTAAATAAATAAATAAATAAATAAATATTAGCAGGATATGGCTGGCCAGCTAGTCAGGTCCCACTTACATGAGAGGCTGAGGCAGGAGGATCCCTTGAGCCTCCGAGATTGAGGCTGTAGTGAGCTGTGATAGTGCCACCACTACACTCCAGCCTGGGCAACAGAGTGAGACTTCATCTCAAAAAACCAAACCGAAGCAAAATTAAAAAACAACTACTACTAAACAAACCCCCACTGAAATAAAGCCATTTCAAGTCTTCTATTTGCTCAGCTCAGTTGAGCCTTGGTGTCCCACATGCTGTTGCTGGGCAGAACACTTTGATTTACTTTCATCCTCCCAGCTCAGAAAACATTCTTAGGCCCACACGAGCCATGCCTGATGACCAGCATGCAATTATAAATGCTAAGATTGTAAAAATAGGAGGGGCTTTTTCACTCAGGAGTTTTCCCTTTCTCCTTCCAGGCCAGTCACTCAATTTCTTTGTTTTTTTTTTTTTTTTTTTTCTGAGATGGAGTTTCGCTCTATTGCCCAGGCTGGAGTGCAGTGGTGTGATCTCGGCTCACTGCAAGCTCCACCTCCCAGGTTCATACCATTCTCCTGCCTCAGCCTCCTGAGTAGCTGGGACTACAGGTGCCCACCACCATGCCTGGCTAATTTTTGTGTTTTTAGTTTCACTGTGTTAGCCAGGATGGTCTCGATCCCCTGAACTCGTGAGCCGCCTGCCTTGGCCTCCCAAAGTGCTAGGATTATAGACGTGAGCCACTGCACCTGGCCCAGTCACTCAATTTCTTAATGTATAGTTTCCATAAGTAAGTAGTGTCCCAGCCAGGCACGGTGGCTCATGCCTGTAATTCCAACAATTTGGGAGGCCGAGGCAGGCAGATCATCTGAGGTCAGGAGTTCGAGACCAGCGTGGGCAACATGGAGAAACTCCCACTCTACTTAAAATACAAAAATTAGCTGGGCATGGTGGCATGTGCCTGTTGTCCCAGCTACCTAGGAGGCTTAGGCAGGAGGATGGCTTGAACCCAGGAGGTGGAGGTTGCAGTGAGCTGAGATTGCGCCACTGCACTCCAGCCTGGGTGACAGAGTGAGACTCCACCTCAAAAAAAAAGAAAAAAAAAGGGAAGGGTCCTTATGAAGCCATCCAGTCAGACTTTTCCAAGCACAGAAATGCAACACACAGACACACAGAGCAAGACACTAGTCAGGGCTCAAATCCTGGCACCACCATTGGGCAGCAGAATGACTTTCAGGAAGTGACTTAACTTCTGTAAACAGTTTCCTTACCTGTAAAATGTGGATGATATTAGTACCTACTCTATAGTATTCTTAAGAGGAAGCATGCAAAAAAAGAAATGCTTAGCACACTTCCAGAAACATAGTAAGCACAGAATAAAGGAGGCTGTCATGGTTATTAGGATCATCTCATCTTTGCTCAAATACTTTCAGTGATGGGGAGCTACTGGCCTCCTAAGCTTGTTGGCAAGCTCTAGTTCAAGGAGTCTTAGGATTCTAGATATGGAAGGCCAATTAATCCAACTTCATTTGTTCCCTGGCAAGAAATCTGAGGCATGGAAAGATTAAATGATTTATCCAAGGATGTACCACTAGCCGAGGGCAGGGCCAACACTAGAACTTCAGAGCATCTGATGTCTGCTCTATGTCCTTTCCTTTCTTCAGTTATGACCAAGTCTGCCTTCCTGTCATTTCCCCTACAGGTCCAACTTTCTTTCTTTTTTTATTTTTTGAGACAGAGTCTCGCTCTGTTGCCCAGGCTGGAGTGCAGGGTCGCGATCTCAGCTCACTGCAAGCTCCGCCTCCTGGGTTCACACCATTCTCCTGCCTCAGCCTCCCGAGTAGCTGGGACTACAGGTGCCCGCCACCCCACTACCATGCCCAGCTAATTTTGTTTTTGTATTTTTAGTAGAGATGTGGTTTCACCGTGTTAGCCAGGATGGTCTCGATCTCCTGACCTCGTGATCTACCCGCCTTGGCCTCCCAAAGTGCTGGGATTATAGGCCTGAGCCACCGTGACCGGCCCAGGTCCAACTTTCACCCTGTTATGGTCCCTGGCAGTACATCTTAGATACCCTAAAAACATGAGTGTTGAAGTGAGAGTTCGCATGGCCCATGACCAGACTGTCATAAATACTAGAATTCTTGCTTTTGTCTTGGCACTTCACAGATAGGAGATGGAACCACAAGAGCTGCCCTTTGTTTTTGAATATGGCATGGCTCTGCTATTTCTTATATTTCCTTTTCACATTGTGCTGAAACAAGCTCTTGCTCTGTCACCTAGGGTGAGTGCAGTGGCATGATCATAACTCACTGTAATATCGAATTCCTGGGCTCAAGTGATCTTCTCAGCTCAGTCTCCCAAGTAGCTGGTACCATAGGTACTTGCAACCGTGCCTGGCTAATTCTTTTTTCTTTTGTAGAAACAGGGTCTCACTATGTTGCCTAGGCCAGTCTTGAACTCCCAGGCTCAAGTGATCCTCTCTCCTTGGCCTCCCAAAGTGCTGGGATTACAGGCATGAGCCTTTGGGCCCAACCTTGTGTTCTATCAAAAAGTAGTCTTAACACATAATTCTCCATATTATTTTACCTGGACTTGTTTTGAGTAACACTTTATTCATCCTTCAATCTGTCAAATGAGTGTCTACTCTTTGCCAGACACCATGATATACAGAGGAAAAGACATGCTCTCTGCTCTCCAGATGCTAACACAGTAGTGGAATGACAGGCCCATAAATGATGGCAATTGAGCAATAATTAATATGATGGAGATAAGATGGGTGCAAGGTTCCCTGGAGCAGAGAGGAAGGGGGTTCAATCTGTCTTGGGTTAGGGATGCAGGTAAGAATGGAATAGGCTCTGGAGGGGAGATGGCTGAGGAGGTTATCTATGGCTGTGCAGGAGTAAGTGGTGCCATTTACTGTGGCAGAGACGGGCTAACTGTTCAAGCATCTGTCTCCCCTTCTTCCTGTGCTTACCAGTGATCTTTGTGGTCAGGAGCCCAAGTGACTGAGGCTTAGACAAGAAAATCTGAGCAGAAGTGATGCCTGTGACTTCACGGCCTGGCCCACAGACTCTCTACCTTGCAATTCTTTGTGTACCTTCTCTGTGTCCATGTGGACAAAGACAGCAGATGGGAAGCCATATGTCTGTCGCAAGATGGAAGGGTCTGGGTGCCTGGCTCAGATGAGCGCCTCCTACTGATCACGAGTGTGTGTTCTGGGCTTTATGTTAATGAGAAATAAGCTTCTATTGTGTTGAGAGCCATTCTACATTTTGGGGTTAATTTTGTTGTTGTTGAAGCAGTCAGTGTCACCTCTAATACTGTGATTACTAAACTCAGAAGTTTGGATTTATTTATGCCATGTTGAAACCAACCAAACTAACCATGCTGGTTTGGAAAGATACAACCAGTAACCCTGGCTTCTCAGTGTATTAGCCAGCGGACTAACTTGGGAGCTAGACTCACAATATGTTCCTTTCCTGGAAAATTCCATTTGAGATATATTGGGCTCTTTATCCTTAAATAAATCATCTTAGCCCTGATTGAAATGTTCCTGTTTCTCCTAGATAGCATGGCTTACTTTAGAGCAGGTTGCTGCTGCTAAAAATCTACAGCTTGCTTTTTTTGTTTATAAGCAAAAAGGAAGGAGCAGGGGAAGCAACTTTATTCCCTATAAAGAGGAGGAAAAGAGGACTCCCAGCTTATGCATGAGTGTGGAGAAGACAAGACAGAATTTTGTCTCATGCCAGTGTGACTTTTCAGCATTTTCCCTCCAGTTTGCTAGACTTCTCACACATCTTACTTGATCTTAATCAGATCATATCATATTTCATTATATTTTTATGGTTATTTTGACAGCTCTACCACAAAATTACCCATGGAGTTGTATGTTTACTGACACAACCAAAAAATGAATAAATTGGAGAACTTAAAAGAAAAAAAAAGATGTTTGGATATTGACACTCTTCGGGTACATAAATGTGCAACAGATTTTCTATTCATTTATGCATCTGTATTAGTTACTATTGCAGCATAACAAATCACTTCAAAACTTAGCGGCTTACAACATCAATCATTCGTCTTCTTGTAAAGTTTCTAAAAGTCAGGAATGTGAGAATGGCTTAGCTGGGTGGTTCTGGCTCAGGGTCTTCCATTAGACTGTAGTCAAGATGTTGGCTGGGAATGCCGTCATCTCAAGGCTTGCCTGTGTCTGGAGGATTTGCTCCACAAGGGTTCATGTACATGGCTGTTGGCTGGAGGCCTCAGTTCCTCATTATGTGGGCCTTGCCATAGGGCTGCTTACAATACATCAGCTACTTCCACTCAGACTGAGAGATTCAAGAGAGAGTGAGGAAGAAACTGTGGTGCATTTTGTGATCTTGTCCCTGAAATTATATGCCTTCACTTCTGCTTCATGCTAATTTTTGATACTTTTTACACTTCTGTTTTTGTAGAGATGAGCTCTTGCTACATTGCCTAGGCTGGTTTAGAATTTCTGGCTTTAAGCCATCCTCCTGCCTTGGCCTCCCCAAACTGGGATTACTGGTGTGAGCCACCATGCCCAGACACTTCTGCTTTGTTTTTTTCATTAGAAGTGAATCACTAAATCCAGCCTACACTTAAAGGGAGAGTAATTAAGTTCTATTTCTTGAAAGGAAAGGTGTCAAGGAATTTTTGTGTGTGTGTGTGTGTGTGTGTGTGTGTGTATTTTTTTTTTTTTTTTTTTTGAGACAGAGTCTTGCTCTGTTACCAGGCTAGAGTGCAGTGGCAAGTGGCGCTATCTCGGCTCACTGCAACCTCCAATTCCCTGGTTCGAGTGATTCTCCTGCCTTAGCCTCCCAAGTAGCTGGAGTTACGGGCATGCCCCACCACACGCACTAATTTTTGTATTTTTAGTAGAGTTGGGATTTCACCACGTTGGCCAGGATAGTCTCGATCTCCTGACCTCATGATCCACCTGCCTCGGCCTCCCAAAGTGCTGGGATTACAGGCGTGAGCCACCATGCTCAGCCTATATATATCGTGAAACCCCATCTCTACTAAAAATACAATAATTATCCAGACATGGTCGTGGGCACCTGTAACCCCAGCTACTTGGGAGGCTGAGGCAGGGTAATTACTTGAACCCAGGAGACAGAGGCTGTAGTGAGCCAAGATTGCATCACTGCACTCCAGCCTGGGCAACAGAGCGAGACTGTCTCAAAAAACACACACACACACACACACACACACACACACACACACACACACACAAATTCCTTGACATTTTTCCTTTCAAGAAGTAGAACGTAATTATTCTCCCTTTAAGTGTAGGCTGGATTTAGTGATTTAGCATAAAGCAGAAGTGAAGGCATACAATTTCAGGGACTAGATCACAAAATGCACCACAGTTTCTTCCCCACTCTCTCTTGAATCTCTCAGTCTGAGTGACTGCACCCGACCTGTGGATGTGTTTTAAAGCCACAACAGCATCCAATATTGTTCTAGTAACTCTTTTGTACCAGGCACTGTTCTAGGTGCTGGAAACCCAGGAATAAAGAAAACAATGAGGTTAGGTGCAGTGGCTCATGCATGTAATCTCAGAACTTTGGGAGGTGAAGGCAGGAAGATCGCTTAAGCCCAGGAGTTCGAAACCAGCCTGGAGAACATAGGGAGACCCCATCTCTACAAAAAAATAAAAGCCAGACATGGTGGCATGTACCTGTAGTCCCAGCTACTTGGGAGGCTGGTGTGGAAGGATCACTTGAGCCTGGGAGATCATAGCTGCAGTGAGCTATGATTGTGCCACTGTACTTCATCCAGGGTGGCAGAACAAGATCCTGTCTTGAGGGGAAGGGAGGGGAGGGGAGGGGAGGGGCGGACGGGTCAGCTTGGAGATGTTTTCAGCCCTCTTTCTCCACTATAGGGTATAATATCAATCAGTTATCTTTGCTGATTGCCTACTATGTCTCAAAATGCAAAGAAGGAAAATATTATATATGGAATGTGGAGTTGAGGACATACCAGAATTACATTTTTCACCTGATATTTCTCAGTCATAAATATGACATACAAATTTAGATGTGCTTCATGGTGTGTACTTATGAACATCAAAGAAACCTTTGTGCAAACAAAGATTTACATTTTTCCCCATGAGTTCTGTTTTCTAGCCAACATGCTTATTTATAAGTTGCAGATAGACTGAAAAGTAGAAAACAATGAAAGAAACATAACTTTTATGACATTGACACAATGAGCTACTTACGACTCACAATAAGAGTAACTATAAAAAATTACATTCTCACGGCCAGGCGCAGTGGCTCACGCCTGTAACCCCAGCACTTTGGGAGGCCGAGGTGGGCGGATCATGAGGTCAGGAGGAGATCATCCTGGCTAACATGGTGAAACCCCGTCTCTACTAAAAATACAAAAAATTAGCCGGGCGTGGTGGCGGGCGCCTATAGTCCCAGCTACTCTGGAGGCTGAGGCAGGAGAATGGCGTGAACCCAGGAGGCAGAGCTTGCAGTGAGCTGAGATTGCACTATTGCACTCCAGCCTGGGCAACAGAGTGAGACTCCCTCTCAAAAAAAAAAAAAAATTACATACTCACTGTAGGATTGATTAATTCAGGTGAGTCTTTTAAAACTACAGTTGACTCTTGAATAACCCGGGTTTGAACTTCATGGGTCCACTTATAAGTGGATTTTTTTTCAACCAAACTTGGATCAAAAATACAGTATTCCTGGACAAGAAACCCATGTACACAGAGGGCCAACTTTTTCTGTACACAGGGCTGAGTATAGGACTTGAGTATGGTCAATGTGGAATATGTGGGGATTCTAGAACCAATCTTCTGTGCAACAGAGGGAAGAATCTACTCCTTTTGATAAATGGATAAATGGATAAATGGAAGTAACCTTGGGTAACCTTGGATGCTCTGAGATGTACCAACTCTGACGTCAGAGAAGTAATGCCTTAGACTTCTAGGAGCCAACTCTACATAACCTAGCAGCCCTGAGCAGGATGCAGGAGCTGAAATACCCACTGAAGACTCTTAGAATCACACGTCAGAGGTCAGAGGCAGAAAGGTCATTGAACATGTACTAGTCCAACCTCTCCATTTCACACTGTAGAGACAGGCTCAGAGAAGACAGGGGACTCACTCTACATCACTCAGTGGTAGGTGGCAGATGTGAGATTGCAACCCAGATATCCTGGTTTCAATCCTGACTTATTTCCCTAAAACCCACTTTGCCTCTTGCAGTAGCAGTGCCCAAGGGGTGCTTACTGAGCAGGGGCAATGCCATGTTTCCAGAGGGAAACGCAGCTGGCTGTCATTAACTTCTATAGCACTCCTATTCTTTGCAAATTGCCATCCAAACATTTTGTGCAATGTAAAGGTAACCAATATTTTTGATAACTTACTGTTGCTAGGAACTGTTCTCAAACTCATTTAATTATCATAAAAACCCCATGAGGTTGGTATTACTATGATCCCCTTTTCATAAGCAAGGAATCAAGGCACTGAGAGGTTATGGTAGAAAGTGGCAGAGCTGGTGCTCAAATCCTGACAATTTGGCTCAAGGGTTCATGCCCTTTAGTGCTAGGTTATAACTAATTCTAACTCCCCTGCTCACTGACAGTGTTTCTCCCCTATGCTGAGGCTGTTCCTGCCGGGATTCTTTGCTTCTGCTACAGATGGATTCCTCCTGTGTTTTCCTAATTAACCTTCAAGGCATACAGCAACAGTCTTTCTGGATATCCTCCAGGTTGTAAGGCAATAATTTTGTGGCCAGATCCTTGAAATACTCCTTATTCAGCACTTTCCTGCCCCTCAGTGCAGCAGAAGCTCTCTTTATACACAGGTGAATTACAGTCTAAGGCAATGGCACCAGAAGTGGGCTAGAAAAGGGAGCCCTGGGCTCTAGTCCCTGTTCTGCTACCATCCTGTCTAGTGACTCTGGAAAGTCTGTCAAACCATCTAAGCTTTTGAATCTGTAAGACGAACTGTTGGCCGTTCTGTAATCCCAGTGAAATGATTGATTCCAGTAAGACTTGTCAGTCTTAGCAGTGTCTTACCAGACTTAGCAGTGTCTGCTAAAACATGAGGTGGAAAGATGCTGGGAGTGGGCTGCTTGTGTGTTTCAATCTGTCACCCCACAGATTGCTTGCTCTGTACAAATGGAAAGCAAACCTTTCATTTGGAGAGACATGAGGTCGCCATCTCAACTAAGAGGTTGAGCATCATTAAACAGGGATGGTGTGAACTTGGGAGCCTCTTGATGTAACACAATACAAAATGCACTGCAGCATCTATGAACATTTTCTTTTTCTTCTGACAGATTTATTTAGGTATAATTCATATGTCACACAATCCACCCATTTAAAGATACAATTCAAAGGCTTTTTGTGTTCACACAGTTGTACCACCACCAGAATCTAATTTTAGAACATTTTCATCACCCCCAAAAGAAGCCCCATAGCCATGAGCAGTCATTTCTCTATCCCCCTCCTACCACCCCTAGCCCTAGGCAACCACAAATCTACTTTCTTTTCTGTGTATTTTCTTATGAACATTTTATATAAGTGGAATCATATATTATTAATATGTGGTCTTTTGTCACTGGCTTCTTTCACCCAGGATGTTTTCAAGGTTCCTCAAGATATCAGCACTTTATTCCTTGTATAATATTCCATTGTATGAATATGCCACATTTTATCTTTTTTTGTTTTTGTTTTTGTTTTTGTTTTTGTTTTTTTGAGACAGAGTCTTAACTCTATCACCTAGGCTGGAGTGCAGGGGTGTGATCTTGGTTCACTGCAACCTTTGCCTCTTGGGTTAAGCGATTCTCATGCCTCAGCCTCCTGAGTAGCGGGGATTACAGGTGTGTGCCACCATGCCCAGCTAATTTTTGTATTTTTAGTAGAGACAGGGTTTCAGCATGTTGGCCAGGCTGGTCTCAAATTCCTGACCTCAAGTGATCCACCCACCTTGGCCTCCCAAAGTGCTGGGATTACAGGTGTGAGTCACCACACCAGTGAATTTGCCACATTAAAAAAGTCTATTATTTAATGGACAGTTGAGTTGTTTTCCAGTTTTCAGCTATTATCAATAACGTTGCTATGAATACTTGTTACAAGTTTTTGTTTGGACAGGTTTTCATTTTTTGGGGGTGTACACCTCAGAGCAGAACTGCCAGATCAGGTGGGAACTCCATGCTTCGCATTTTGAAGAGCTTCCAGATTGTTTTCTAAAACTGCTGCACTGTCTCATATTTGTACTTAAGTTTTCTTGTCAAGCATGTTTAATCAAGTTAATCAAGACTTTTGACATAATTTCTGGTTTTGGTTTATAGGAAACATTGACAGAGAAAAACATTAACGGACACCATGAGAGGGCAATGAAGCAAATCTATAAAGTAGGACATTCTATGACTGGCCTGAGCGCTTCAAAAAGTCAGGGTGCCTTATGGAAGAGGAGTGGTGGTGCCTGTTTTAGATTAAAAGATACTGAAGAGGCCAGGTGCAATGGCTCACGCCTGTAATCCCAGAAGTTTGAGGGGCTGAGGCAGGTGGATCACCTGAGGTCAGGAGTTCGAGACCAGCCTGGCTACCATGACAGAACCCTGTCTCTGCTAAAAATGCAAAAATTAGCCAGGAGTGGTGGTGGGCGCCTGTAATCCCAGCTACTCTGGAGGCTGAGGCAGGAGAATCGCTTGAACTCAGGAGGCAAAGTTTGCAGTGAGCCGAGATTGTGCCTCTGCACTCCAGCCTGGGCAACAGAGCAAGACTCTTGTCTCAAAAAAAGAGAAAAAAAAGATACTAAAGAAACATGACAACCAAATCCAATGTGTAAACCTTAATTGCATTCTGGTTAGAACAAAACAGCACCAAAAGATGTTTTGGGGACAAGTTAGAATATTTGAATGTTTATGGGATATTAATGGTATTAGGGAGTTAAAATTTTCTTAGATATAGTAGTACTCTGGTTAGATAGGAGAATGTTCTGATTTTTAAGAGATGTGGGCCGGGCGCGGTGGTTCACACCTGTAATCCCAGCACGTTGGGAGGCCGAGGCGGGCGGATCAGGAGGTCAGGAGATCGAGACCATCCTGGCTAACATGGTGAAACCCCGTCTCTACTAAAAATACAAAAAATTAACCGGGCGTAGTGGTGGGCACCTGTAGTCCCAGCTACTCGGGAGGCTGAGGCAGGAGAATGGCGTGAACCCGGGAGACAGAGCTTGCAGTGAGCTGAGATTGTGCCACTGCACTCCAGCCTCAGCGACAGAGACAGACTCCGTCTCAAAAAAAAAAAGAAAAAGAGATGTGGCCAAATTATTTAGGGGTTTTAAGTGTCATGATCTCTGCAACTTACTTTCAAGTTGTTCAAAATATCAAACACACACACAGTGACAAAGCAAGTAATCACAGCTATTAGTTTTTTAATTGAAGGGGTGAGTATGTGGGTGCTCAGTATATTCCTTTAGCTTTTCTGACTGTTGACATTTTTCATAACAAAAAGTTGAAAAGAAAGGAGACCACATGCTCCATGATTGATAATTTAGCCATCTCTCTCCAGTTAGACTACAAACCCCTGAAGGTCTAGGGCCTGACTCTGTACCTCCGTAGCCAAGCCTGGTGCTAATGCCTCAATACAGGTGCCTGGTCCTTAACTAGAGGCAATAGAGAAATTTTACACAGACCAGCAATTCAAAAAATGCGGCTGCAGTTGAAGAAGACATTGTCATTCTTCACTCTTTATAGCCTTAGCTTGGAAAATGAGAGGGTGGTAATTGCAGTCATGTTCCCGATGCCTGCCAGCGAAAACAAACTTTTCTAACTTTGCTCTCAGAGCAGTTGATGCAAAAGAAAATAGAAATCAACCAGTCTCCCAATCAGCATCACTCATTTTAATTTGATTGCTGTTTCTGCCCAAGCGAAAGCAAGTTAGCTAAGTAAAATCCTGAAACAACACATAACCCCTGGGCTACTGCACTCATGACTGTCCTAAAAGATACAGGCTTTGGAAAGGTCCTGGGCAGATATGCATCATTCTCATTACATAGGGGATGGTGACTGTTGTAGATTAAAAGATAGGGACATTTCAAAGACTAGCCCTGGCGGAGGGTATGATCCTGGGGATATTATAGAAAAGTTAGGGTCGCCTGGGCCAACTCAGTGTAATCCTAATATAATATTGTTTCAGCCTTCCATTTTCTCCCTGTCCCTCATTGGAGATGGGAAATCATTGTCCTCTGCCAGTATAGCTGCTTTCATTTTGAAACATAAATTGAGCCACTTTTTCTCTATAGTATTGGTTTTAGGATTATGGAGTGAGCACTAGACATAGAACATGTACCTCAAGAGAAACTGAAAATCCAGTGCTTGAACTAGATAAGTCTATGCGGCCATTTCTCGTTCAAAGATAGCACATCTCAAACCTCTTAGAGACACCTAATTGCAAATGTTTTGCCTTGTTATGTCTATAAACCGATAAAATGTCCTAGACATTTCTTACTTTTGGAATTAAATCTATATTTCTCAGATCGCTTACTTCTAGCCCCTTGTGATACAGAAATCCTATTTCATACACTATGTTCTATCAGTTTTGGAAAGCATAGTCACTACGCAAGTTGTTGCATAGCAAGAATGGGCTGTTTTCCCTGGTAAAGAACAGCCCATTTTATCCAAAAGCCTGATCACACGTGCTAAATTCTAAGAATAGTGCTGATTTAAATATTGTGCATTTTTGCTAAGTCATGTATTCAAACCATGTATCAATCCAACATATATTAAACTTTTATTTGCAGAAAATATGGTGGCCATTGCTCTACTCACATGCTAACCCTGTAACCATTGTTCTGAAACAATCCCTTCATTAACAGAATTTAGGCTGTGTACAGGTGAAACTGGTCTCCATTGAGATTTCTAGGAGGACAAAATGAACTCCATTAAATTTCACACAAGGAAAAGAAAACTGAGACAAAAATCTTTGCCCATGGCAATATTTTCTAAGGTGTGTTTCAGAAAAAAAATTTATGTTCAAACTGATTTGGGAAAAGCTGCATACCAAGTGCCTCTGTTGAAGGTCTCAATGCACACTAATATATCGAAGGCTTAAGAAAGTCCTATAGTGAGAGTCCGGGCGCGGTGGCTCACGCCTGTAATACCAGCATTTTGGGAAGCCTAGGCGGGCAGATCATGAGGTCAGCAGATCAAGACCATCCTAGCTAACACGGTGAAACCCCGTCTCTACTAAAAATACAAAAAATTAGCCGGGCGCGGTGGTGGGCGCCTGTAGTCCCAGCTACTCGGGAGGCTGAGGCAGGAGAATGGCGTGAACCCAGGAGGCGGAGCTTGCAGTGAGCTGAGATCGCGCCCCTGCACTCCAGCCTGGGTGACAGAGCGAGACTCTGTCTCAAAAAAAAAAAAAAAAAAAAAAAAGTCCTACAGTGAGAAATCTGTTTAACTCTGTTTTACTTCAGTGTCCTCTAAATTTATTGGCCCACAAGATGTTTTGTAAAAATTGCATAACATCACTTAACATCTCAAGGAAGACACTTTGGGAAACGATAACCTTTAATTATGACAAAGAACAACATGATGCTCAAAGTATAAAAAAAAGTTAGGACACAATCAGAGAAATTGGAATGCTAACTGAATATTTGATAGTAACAAATTAATACTTTTTTAAAAGTATAATAATGAGATTCTGGTTCTGTGGAATTTTTCCTTGAGTTGTTAACACACGCTGAGTTATTTACACATGAAATGATTTAATATCTGGGGTTTGCTTAAAAATAATCCAAAGTGAGGCAGTTTAGGGTAGTTGGCTGTACGAATTGAGATCAGACGTCAGTTGATAACTGAGCATGAATTTTTGTAAAAGAACATGGTCATGTTTTTAAAAATTCTGACATTGAAGATCTGAGTGTCTGAGTATTTTTTTTTTTTTCCAGCTAAAACAGCGGAAGAGGTGATTTATTATATGGTTGTTACACTCGGCCACAAATAAACACAGAAATAGTCCAGAATGTCACAGGTCCAGGGCAGAGGACCGACATGGGCAGTTTTGTTTATGAGCAAGTTGGGTCTCAGAGGTGATCGGCGATCAGAGGGCGATGAAGTTCTAGATCCATTGAGACAAGCTCTAGGCAGTAGCATGTAGTCCCACAACTTGTACCAGCATCCCCAGCGTCTGGTGTTCCATGTTTCTGCTCCTGTGGCCTCCACGGTGCAACAAGCTAGCGGTTTACTTGGACTTCTGCCTCATCTTTCTTCTTTGGCGCTTCAGCCTGAGCGTTCGCTTCTTCCTCCACTTGGCTCTCATGGCGCAGAGGTTTCCAAGAAAATGGCGCTAAGGTCGAGAGCCTGAGTATTGTTTTGATGACAACAACTTGCTTCAAATAGTATCTCTAAGTAACTTCTAATTTATAGAATAATAGTAAAATGAATACTTCTTTTTATTATTTTTTTAAGACAGAGTCTTGCTCTTTTGCCCAGGCTGGAGTGCAGCTATACAGTCTTGGGTCACTGCAACCTCCACATACTGGATTCAAGCGGTCCTCCCACCTCAGCTTCCTGAGTAGCTGGGATTACAAGCATGCGCCACCATGCCTGGATAATTTTTGTATTTTTAGTAGAGACAGGGCTTCACCATGTTGGCCAGGCTGGTCTCAAACTCCTGACCTCAAGTGATCTGCCCACCTTGACCTTCCGAAGTTCTGGGATTACAGGCATGAGCCACCGTGCCTGGCCCAGTAAAATGAGTATTTCTAAGCAGATGCTAAAAACGCGAAGTAGTAGCATACCTTAGCACCCAGCTAAAGTCTGCCACCGTGCAATAAGCACTTGCTAATTAATACATTGACATTGTGTAGAAGTGAGGAGTATTCCAGTGCATTTTATGTATCCACACACTTTATTTCCATGGGTGGAATTTGTGAGAATCCAGAATCTTAAACCAGTAGACTAAAGGTCTCATTTAACAAGTTATGACTAGGAGTCCAAGAGACTTTATATAACATGGTAAGCTCTAGTGGCGCAGAGGCACAACGGAGAAAAGGACATGGCTTTGGAATCAGATTATTGGGTTTGCCTCCAGGTATTAATACTCTCTAGCTATGTGGTCCTGGGCAAAGGACTTTAGATCTTTTCGCTGTTTCCTCATCTATAAAGTTGGAATAACAACAATAATAATATCCTCCTTAGAAAGATGTTGTGACTTTTAAACCAGATAATCTAACATAAAACACTTAGTGAATATATATATTTATTTATTTACTTTTATTATTTATTTCTTTGAGACAGAGTCTCACTCTGTTGCCCAGGCTGGAGTGTGGTGGTGTGATCTCAGCTCACTGCAACCTCTGCCCCTTGGGTTCAAGCAATTCTCGTGCCTCAGCCTCCCAAATAGCTGGGACTACAAGTGCCACGACCACGCCCAGATAATTTTTGTATCTTTAGTAGAGACAGGCTTCCACCATGTTTACTAGGCTGGTCTCAAACTCCTGGCCTCAAGTGATCTCCCTGCCTCGGCCTCCTAAAGTGCTGGAATTACAGGCGTGAGGCACCGTCCCAGCCACTTAGTGACTATTTCACAATTATCCATCATCATCATCATTGCCATCAACATCATCTTTCTAGGTAGTTCATGGCAGGGATGGCTCATGTTCTGAGTAACTCTTAGTTAAGTCCTCTCATTACTGAGTAATCATGAGCTCACTGTCCAAGGTGCAGAGAGGCTAATACCATTGGACCAGCTTTTGAGAAAAGAAAAGCTTTATTGTGACTCACCTGGCAAGCAGACAGGAGGAAATACTCAAATCTGTCTCCCTGTGCTGGGGTTTGGGTTGGGTTTATAAGCATAAGGTGATGAGATGTGATCTGATTGGATCTTGCAATGAGATTTGAGATGATGCTGGGAGGTAGGATCTGCCTGGAACCTGTCATGGGGTGATGCCAGAGCTTGATCTAAGTAGACCCTGGATCCTACCATGTTGTATCCACTTCTTAATTCAGTCCCTTCCCCTCAGTCTGAGCTCTTAGGTTTCCCCCTGTGGTTGCACACTTGGTTCATCTGGGCATGCTCAGCTTATGTGACCTTCAATCTGTGCTTTATGGCAACTGAAAAGCAACTACAACATTGTGACATGAAAGCTGAGCCAGATTGGTCTGGTGTGGTCACACTCTGAGCCCGTGCTTCTCAGCGAAGAATGGGAAACTGTTATGAAACTAATGGAAATATGTAGCCACAAAGAGTTTCAAAGAGACACAGAATACTTTTTTTTTTTTGAGACAGGATCTTGCACCGTTGCCCAGGCTGGAGTGTAGTGATGTGATCTGAGTTCACTGCCGCCTCAGTCTCCTGGGTTCAAGCAATTCTGCCACTTCAGCCTCCTGAGTAGCTGGGATTACAGGGGCATGCCACCATGCCTGGCTAATTTTTGCATTTTTAGTAGAGACAGGGTTTCACCACATTAGTCAGTCTGTTCTCGAACTCCTGACCTCAGGTAATCCATGCCTCAGCCTCCCAAAGTGCTGGGATTACAGGCATGAGCCGCCACTATGGCTGGTTGAGACACAGAAGACTCTTTTATCTGTTAGGAAGTAAGTTTTCCCCTTTGAACAGCCTTTCTTACAGCTTGTTTAAATGAGAAGAGCAAGTGATACCACCTCAGTCTACCATGTTGAAATAGAAATTGGGTTGAATTCTAAATATTAAGCCTTTATAAGTAGCATGTTAAATACTATTGATGATGTAGATTATTCTAGTTTTAAATCATTGTAACATTCCTGAACAAAGCATGCATGGAATGAATATTTACATTTTAAATTCTAATTTTTATAATATATTTTATAATAATTTCATATATATACCACCTAAGGAAAAAAAAGTCAAGAGTGATTATGCAGTGAGGGGCTTAGGCATCTAAATATTTATTTCAAGCAACATTTAGTCTTTGCATATCTTTAATTTCCCTGCACAATTCCTTTGAGAATTTAAATAACTGTTAGCAAAAGGTCAGGGGTTCGATCTAGGTCCTATTGCTCTTTGCACAGAAAGCCAATCACTGGGGCCAAGTGCAGTGGCTCACACCTTTAATCCCAGCACTTTGGGTGGCTGAGGCAGGTGAATCGCTTTAGCCCGGGAGTTCAAGACCAGCCTGAGCAATATGGTGAAACCCTGTCTCCACTAAAAATACAAAAATCAGCCAGTCTCATAGCCCAGCCTCAAAATAAATAAATGAATAGATTAAAATAATAATGAAGAAAGCCAATCATGGAGACAATGAATATTGCCAAGGAAAATACTTTAATTGATTGCTGCAGCCAAAAAGATGGGAAATCAGTTTCAAATCCATCTCTACAACTGACTAAAATTAGGGGTTTATACAGCAGTGAAGGAATTTAACTGCATGTAGAAGAACAGAATTAGAGAGGGGTAAGGAAGAGGATTTGGTCAACAGGAACTATGTGTAGGTGAACAGGAATTAGGGAGGGGTCTGGCATCTCATTGTCCAGATGCAGTGATCTAATAAATTTCAGTTCTTTGATACTATCTGGGAGGCCTGATGGTGGGTTTCCTAAGAAAGGAACTCAGATAAGACAAATGTAAGTTTCTCAGGTTTTAAGACCAGAGGGGTCTATTTCTATGTTTATTTTTTTTAACCCATAAACTTCAGTTCTATGGGGATATTGGGCTGGTTTCATAATCAACTCAGATGATTTGGGGCAGTTAAATTGAAAGTATGCATATGTTTTAAAACTTCAGGTTTTTGCATTTCCCTGGGAATGTCACAATGATGCCTTGGGACTTAAAGAAAATCTGCCTCAGATATTCAGAAAATTTTAGCAATGTAAGCACCTCCTGATTTTCATTCAGATCACAAACAGCAGTGGAAGAGTATCCTGGTCTGGGCTAAAAGCTTTGTAAAATAGTTTCTGAGCAAATTATTTCACTTCTGCTAAGCCTTGGGTTATTTATCTATTAAAAATTTTTTCAATGGCAGTATTTGATTCAAGAGTTAGAAGGTATATGAAGTTGAGCATATCACATGCTAAACACTAGTCATTATTATTAATTATTTGTGAATAATCATTAAGTGACTTACAGGGTTTTAAATTTTTTATTTTAGAGACAAAGTCTCTCTCTGTCACCAAGGCTGGAGTGCAGTGGCACAATCATAGTTCACTGTAACCTCAAACTCCTAGACTCAAGGGATCCTCCTACCTCAGCCTTCTGAGTAGCTAGGACTGTAGGCATACATCACCACACCTGGCTAATTTTTTTTTATTATTATTTGTAGAGACAGATCTGCTATCTTGCCCAGGCTGTTCTTGAACTCCTGGCCTCCAGTGATTCTCCTGCCTCAGCCTTCCAAAGTACTAGTATTACAGGCATAAACTGTTGTTCCTGGCCATCTAATAGGCATTTTTAAATTGGTTTAGCATGATAGGAAGTTTTGAAATGCTGATGAATCCTGTCAGATTCTTCCCCCTTTGGAGATTATGTCTGCTTTTGGCCTACAAGTTGCGAATGAAAAGGTTGTATGTTCCTCTCTCTTTGGAGTAGCATGAGTTTAATTCAATGTGTTACTTTATAATCTCAGCTCTCTGAGGACCTGAAAAATGTTATTCTCTTGAAGACCTTTTCACTTGTTCTGGTTGTAGAGGTGGTAGTAACATTCTCTTGTGGCTTTCAATGTCCTAAACTAAAGTGGAGCATTGAGTGGTCAATGTTATTTATCTGACCACTGCTGAGAAACTGTTCATGGAAAAAGACATTAGACAGTGAAGTTGGACCATTGCCCAGCTACGTGAATCACCAAAAGAACTGATCATCTTTAAAAAAGATGTATTTTAAAGGTACCTTGGAAATATATGGGTCAGCTTCTATAACATTCACTCTATGGTTTCTGGCTAGTGATCAGGTTGTTGGATACATTTCCTAAAAGAGCCCAAATCCAGGAATGCTTAGTTGTATAAAAATGTACATATCCAAGAAAAATATGGTTCTGTGGGCATCATGATCTGTATTTCAAAGAGTAGTGGGCTTTGCCTTTCTTCTCTCCTTTCCATTTCTCTTTTCTTTGTGATGAAAACAAGGAAGGAAATCCACAAACCTTAATCAGAAAGCTTTTATTGCATTTAAAATGGCCAGTATAGGTAGATTTGTTTTCCCAGTTTTGCTTCGAAGCTGGCACATGCAGATATGGTTTGTTTTCTCAATTTGTAAGCAAATCATCCTATGTCATCTTAAAATATGAATGAGTGACTGAGTCCACAGCCCTTTGATTGAGGACACACTCTTTATCTCTAAAGGAAATTTCCTAAGCTATTTAGTCCTTGAGATTGCTAGCTGTCCCTTAGGATATTAAATGTCAGGGAGTTTATGACACTTTTATTACTTTGTTAGAATGGCATTATATAATCTCAGCCACGTGTATTCTCTCTACCTTTTTGACCTCCTTATTCTCCTGAGCTCCACATCTGATAATAAAAGGAACACTTAGATTAAAAATAAATAAATTTAACTAGTCTTTATGCTCTCTATTTGTTATTAATCTCCCACTTCCTACCTCCAGTGGATGGCTCTTTATTCCTGTAATTTACCTTTGAGAGTCAGGTTCTGCAGAGAATAAGTGGGAATTTAAAATGGTTTACGTCTGATGGTACAGTATTGTCAGAACTTGCTGGGGTAAGTTGAGAACTGAATATCCTAATCTATCTCAGGCCCCAATTCTCTCCCCAGATATGGGAGCTGACATTCACTCAAATTGTTCATCTAGAGAGTAAAAATATTTGAATCAAATTAGGGTCAGAGAGAGGAGACTCACCCTTTTATTGAAAACACAGCAGTAGCTGATCATCAATGAACAATAGTTACACTCACATTCTTCCAGGCTCTAATCCATTTTTCTCTGCTCCATCGAGCATGCAGAAATAAAGAGCTCTTGGCCAATGCAGGGAAAACTTTAGCATTTCTGGTGTTTATTTATGATCATCTGGAGTCATTGGCTTCAGGCTAAGTAGATTTTTCCTGGTCCAGTCATGTAATTGAAGGGGATATGCACATTAGAGAGGCAAGGAAAACTATTGCAAGGAGTGGAGGGGGAATGCGAGAGACTTACTTGGTTCTAAAGCAGATGCAGTTTGGAATATAGTCCTAGAAAAATAGGATCCACTTTGCATGACAAGGGAAGAGCTGAGGAATAAACATGAGGTCAAGATAAGAGTGAGCAAGTCTCATTTGTTTAGTCCCAAAGAATCTCCTGATTTGGGCACCAGCTGGACTGAATAACAGGTCTCAAACCACAAGGCAATCTGCATTCTCCCAACTAACTAATAGGAAGGCCGGCCTAAAGAGCAATATCCTAGATGAAGCTAATTTGTATTTCATCATCCCCTTCACACTTGCTTGGTGTCTTTAAGAATCAAGAATATCTTAGTGTCCTTGGCAATTGGCACAATTGTATTTAACAGAGGAGCAAAGACTGCTGCAGTCTGGACACTGGAGCTATCTTTGAATAGCCAGAAAACAAGCAGGGGAATTAAGCTCGGCTAAATGCCATGTCCTTACTATTAGTCTTGAGCCAACAGGCCAGGCCTATTTGTTACCCTTAGTACTGAGTTGGAAATGTATCTGCAAATGCCAGTGAGAATCTCAATCTCTCTCTCTCTCTGTCTCTCTCTCTCTCTCTCTCACACACACACACACACATACACACACACACACACACACTCACATCCTGGAAAAGTTGTTTGAGCCAGGGCTGTCATTTAAACAGTTTACTATGTCCAGCTGTATAGGTACCTTTTTTGTCTCAGTTGGCTTGTATGCAACCCTGGTATGTGATTAAGGGAGAATAGGATTAATGTCCTTCTTGACAAGACCATCAGTGGCATAAGACCAGGAGATAATTTATTTTTAAGAGCACTGTCAATCTGAGCATGATTTGTGGCTGGCTTTCCAATTGGGCCACAACCCTCAGGAGAAGCTCCCTACTCCAGCCTGGCAACAAATACATTCCTCACCTTGATGAGTCTAAACCTCAGACAGCAGCCAGAAGCTGAAGAATCCCATTGCCTCCTCTGAAAGTGGGAGACTTTATACACAGAAACATACAAGAGCAGGACCAAAGGCAGGGACCACACTGTGTCCACTACACCATCTCCAGCACCTAGCATCCAGCCTGGCATGTGGTGAGTACTCACCAACAGTTGGTAGCTAAATGATTCTAATAAATGATTGGATGAATGCATGTAAATTCTTTAAGTTTTAGCCTCAACTTTATTTGCAAGCTTATTGGTAAAGCTCAATCCAAATATTTATATATGACTTATAATATGCAGAATTTCCTTAGCAGGGGTAGGGGGACGGGGGAGAATTAATATGGAAGTGGCAAGACACACTTTTTTTCCATGAAAACAATTATTAGTTTTGCCAGAAAGTCAAAAGCAGTGGTTCTCAAACCTTACTAATTACTAGAAACATTTGAGGAGATTTAGAGAAATACAGATTCACTAGATATTTCTAATTCATTGGTTTTTTTTTTTTTTTTTTTTTTTGAGACAGAGTCTCACTCTTTCGCCCAGGCCAGACTGCAGTGGCACTATCTCAGCTCACTGCAAGCTCCACCTCCCAGGTTCATGCCATTCTCCTGCCTCAGTCTCCTGAGTAGCTGGGACTACAGGTGCTTGCCACTGCGCCCGGCTAATTTTTTGTATTTTTAGTAGAGATGGGGTTTCACCATGTTAGCCAGGATGGTCTCTATCTCCTGACCTGATGATCTGCCTGCCTCGGCCTCCCAAAGTTCTGGGATTACAGGCATGAGCCACCGCGCCTGGCCTCATTGGTTTATGACTGAAACTGACCCAGTTGTCCCATCAAGCTGATTTTTATGGTTTCTTTTGAATAAACATGGAAATTGACACTCCTAGTCTTGAAACTTGAGAAAGTTGCATTTGTCTTATCTGAGTTCCTTTCTCAGGAAACCAACTATTCAGCCTCTCAGATAGTATCAAGGAACTGAAGCTTACCAGATCACTGCATCTGGACAATGAGATGACAGAACCCTCACCCTTCATGACTGCCTAACTGACTACGTGCTTCCTATTGACCAACTCCTTCTTCTTACCTCTCCCTATTTCCTGTTTTCCTGCATGGTTACATTTCTTCCCTGCTATATAAATACCTGATGTTAATCAGTCAAAGAGGTGGATTTGAGACTCATCTCCCATCTCCTTGGCTGCAGCACCCGATTAAAGCCTTCTTCTTAGAAATACTCATTGTGTTAGTGATCGATTGGCTTTCTGTGTGACAAGCAGTAGGACCTAGACTGAACCTCTGATATTTTGGTAACATGATGGGGCCCAGTAATCTAGATTAAAAAAAATTCATCCTAAGAGCTTCTTTTGATGAGCCAGGTGTTGGGAGCTACTGGCTTAATGTGTTCCACCTTCCTAGTGAATGTAAGTATGAGCTCATTGCTGCATCAGGTTTTTTTTGTTTTTCTTTTCTGGACGGTGGCATTTTAATATGAACAGGACTAAGGAGAGGGGACTAAGTTGATTTTAAAGTGAAAATTGTGAAATACGGGCAATTTGACTTCAATATTCTGCTTCTTTGCTGATATGGGCTAAATTGTGCTCCCCCACAAATTCATATATTGAAGCCCCAACCCCTTACTAGGGGTTATTATTTCATAATGCGACTATATTTGGAGACACAGTCTTCAAAGAGGTAATTAAGGTTAAGTGAGGCATTAGGATGGGGCCTTATTTCAATATGACTGGCATCCTTTTTAGAAGAGGAGATGAGGACATGAATACCTATAGAAGGAAGACCATATGAAGACACAGGGAAAAAAATGACCCTTTGCAAGTCAAGGAGAGAGGTCTCAGAAGAAAGCAACCCTACCAACACCTTGATCTCACTCTTCTACCTTCCAGAATAATGAGAAAACAAATGTCTGTTGTTTAAGTCCACCAGGCTGTGGTGCTTTGTTATAACAGCCCCTGCATACTAATATATTCTTTCTGGAACCCTCTCTTCATGGGGAAGGCAAGGACTGTTTTGCATCTCTGAGGTCTCCTCACAGAATTGCTTTATCTGGGGCCATCTACTTCCAGATGCATGCCTTTTATTCAATTCAGAGATCATCTATCAACTCATAACACCTAAAGTGCTGTTGCTGGACAGGCATGGGGGAGCCAAGAAGATGCTGTTTGAAGGTTCTCATTGCCCATCACAGTGGACCTGTCTGCAGGTCAGTCCCAATGGTGTTTGCTAGGTGACCTCTATAACCTGATCAACAAATTTCTGTCTGGATTATTATAGATCTTCTAGTCTAAATGCTTTCTTTAAGAATGATCACCAGCCAGGTGCGGTGGCTCACACCTGTAATCCCAGCACTTTGGGAGGCAGAGGTGGTGGATTACCTGAGGTCAGGAGTTCAAGACTAGCCTGACCAACATGGAGAAAACCCGTCTCTACTAAAAATACAAAATTATCCAGGCATGGTGGCGCATGCCTGTAATCCCAGCTACTCAGAAGGCTGAGGCAGGAGAATCACTTGAACCTGGGAGGTGGGGGTTGTGGTGAGTTGAGATCACACCATTGTACTCCAGCCTGGGCAACAAGAGTGAAACTACATCTCAAAACAAAACAAAAGAACACCAAAAAAAGAATGATGATGAAAGAGGAGCTCCTTGGGATCATCAATATTTTCTTATTTATTTTTGTATCTTCAACATCTAGCAAAGTAGTTAATACACGGCAATGCCCAACACCCTCTTGTTTTCGGAATCAAGGGGATCACCTTGCTTCCTCTCAAATCCTGTTGGTGTCTGAGATCTCATTATGTATTGACATGGCAAGATCCTTACTTAGCATAATGATTAGGGCATATAATTTAGAAATACATTATAATTAATTTATATTACAAATATATTGATTATGATGCTAATAAGGAAATAAGAATTTCTTTTTTATAGTGTTGGTACAGTCTTATTTCCATTGGTCTTAGCTCTGACCTATGAAAATCTCTCTTGCACTTGAAATCCATTTAGCATCATGTAACTTTTTACACCTTACTATGTGGTAGGCACTGGGTATACAGTGGTGAACAGATGTGATTCTCACCCTCATTTAGGTAGTCTAGTAGTGGGGACAGATTAAAATCTAAATACAAAAATATAACCACAGACTGCGAAAAATGCTCTGAAGCAAATGTATGTAAAGTTTGCTTACATGAGAGAGGCCAACAGAACCATTTTTTTGTAGAATGAAGACTCAGAGAAAGGAGCTTTGAAAAGTTGCATTTAAACTAACGTCTGAAAAATGAGTAGCCATTACCCAAGGGAGAGAAGGGGAAAGAATATTCCACTTGAGGGTCCAGCATATGTGGAGACCCTGAAGTAGAACCTAGTCACATCCAGGAGCCAGAAGGTCCCAGTGTGGCTGGGGAGAGGGGTGTGTGGGATTGAGCAAGGGAGGGTGGTGAGCAGTAGCACTTTGTACATTTGAAATGTTCATTAGCATTGTTGACATTTTCCCCTCTAGTTTCACCTAAATGGTGAACTACCACCTTAAGAGGATGTGGTTTCTGGTCCAGATACCTTTCTCAATCTCTCTTTGCCAAGCTTGTGCTTGGCTTGAGCCCAGATGGACAATCCTTCCAGCACCCCGAAGAACTTGTGTATCTATCCCTGGTAGCTTATCTTGTATGTCTTAGTATCTTCTTTTTATCGGGTAGCCTTCTGACATAGGAGATGGGGTTCTCAACTAATAAGAATACATGAATAAACATATTCTAATCATAGGGGGCCAGGCACAGGGCTGATGCCTGTAATCCCAGTACTTTGGGAGGCCAAGGCAGGGGGATTGCTTAAGGCTAGTAGTTTGAGACCAGCCTGGGCAACATAGTGAGACCCTGTCTCTGCAAAAGATATAAACATTAGCTGGGCATGTTGGTGGACGCCTATACTCCTAGCTACTCGGGAGGCTGAGATCATTTGATCTCAGGAGTTCAGGGCTGCAGTGAGTTATGACTGCACCATTGCACACTCCAGCCTGGGTGACAGAGTAAGACTCTGACTCAAAAAAATAGAAAAGACAAGAAAAGAAAAAAGACAAAAAATATGGTTTGGGTCATACCTTATTTCTTCCTTTGTTAGTTTCCTGCCCTAACAGGGTTTAATCAGGACTTCACTTTTTACCTAAAATATTGTAGCTGTGTCTTCACTCCCATCCTAGACCATAAACTCCCGGAGCAGGATCCAGGGCTGCTCCAAGGCTGGGACCTCATCACTGGGATGTTTCCCTTCCTCTTATGAAAGTCCTCAGCTCTGCTGTACAATTGCTACAGAGTGGGCACAAGGCAAATGTTGTAACTAATAGTGGAAATCAGAAAAAAAAAAACCCACACAAATCTATGCTAAGTATGTGTTTTGACCTAGAGGGGATTTTATTTTACATTGCTTTCTGCCTTATTAAAGATATTAAATGGTTTGTGATACCAAGGTCCAGGAAAGGTATCTTTCTAGTCATGTTTTCGGTTAAAAAAGACACAGATCAGCCAGTCGCAGTGGTGCACACCTATAGTTCCAGCACTTTGGGAGGCCAAGGCAGGTGGAACACCTGAGGTGAGGAGTTCAAGACCAGCCTGGGCAACATGGTAAAACCCTATCTCTACTAAAAATACAAAAGTTGGCCAGGTGTGGTGGCAGGTGCCTGTAGTCCCAGCTACTCGGGAGGCTGAGGTGGGAGAGTTGCTTGAACCTGGGAGGTGGAGGTTGCAGTGATCCAAGATTGTGCCACTGTATTCCAGCCTGGGAAACAGAGTGAGACTCTGTCTCAAAAACAAAACAAAACGAATCGATTAAGAGAGCAATTTGACACTTGATTTGAAGATTGTCAGGGACTTTGAGTCTTTGTGGAACATTGTTAATTAGTAAGTTGTGCCTTACAGGGGCTTTAGTGTATTTTGTAACAGTAATCTTGTGGTTTATAGTTTTCTTTGGTTCTTTCAGAAGTTTATCACTTTTGACAGAATTGCTTTCTTATTTGAGTTACTGAACTAAATGTATCCCTTTCAAAGGGAAAGGATTGTGTCTTATTCAATGTCATGTTTTAACACTTGGCATAGTCCCTGGCACAAAGAAGTGCTCATAGACATTTATTCACTTTATTTTGTAATTCTGGGATGCGTAGACGCTTGCTGAAATATTCCTGTTTATATTATGGTGTTAATTACATTGTATTGAAACTTTAAATGTAACACATAACCTCAGGCCATCATAAGGTTTTTTTGTCCAGGTCCTCTGGTAGCATGAGGAGCTTAAACTGGGAGCGAGTACCTTGTCCTCTATACTACACTGGACTGGGAGTTCCCCACTGAGTTCAGACTCTTGGAGAATAGAGTCTTTTCTTACTTAGCTTCATAATTATTTGACACAGTCCTGGATATAGGGTAAGCGGTCACCAAATGTTTGTTGAAGGCTGTGAATGAATGTATTACCAGAGAAGGAATTGTACTGGTTCTATAGTTGTGATTACTAGAACAGTGAGTGGTCCATTCTGTAGAGATTTGCTTCTTCCTTAGAGTCGGCTTCTAAAGCGTCTGTTCTCAGGCACTGATGATAAGACTGTCTAGAAGAATCTTCCTTGAGTATTAAATCAGCCTGTCAGAGGGGACCCTGTGGCTGTCTGGGGTTGAATTCTCTGCTGTGTCTTATATGGGGAAAAATCATGTTCTTTTGCTGGGGATGCAGTTTGAAGGGTTCCTCTCATCCTCAGCAATCTCAGGGAGCATCGACCATCTCCAGAATCTGTGGCAGAGATACAGACATCTTGTTCTGAATGCAAACATTCTTATAACCCCGGGGGAAAGCTGTATAAGGAAGGTCAGAACAAGTCCTGCCTGTAGTAGAAACTGTCAAGATGCTGTGATTAGAGTGATAAAGCAACCCCTCTACACTCCACACACACCCAAGAATGCTTCCCCTATGCCGTAGAACCTGCAATCCTTATCACTTCTCAAAGACTGAGAAGTCTAAGGAAGATGACACATTTGCTAGTTTACACAGTAGCAGGGATTATTTTAGGTAAGGTACTTATATATTTTAAAAAATCCTGTATTAGATTGCAAGAGTGTCAACAAGGAGGCAAGGCAGTGATCAGGAGGTAGAGCTTGGAATTAGGAAGGAGAGAGAGAGCGAGAGGGAGAGAGAGGGAAAAAGAAAATGAGTATATGTGGGGTGGGAAGAGAGGAAAAAGAGAAAGAAAGAGTAAGAGAGTTCATTTTATGCTAAATCCTAAAAGGAACCCATGGGAATCAGAATACTAAATTTATCTATGTCCTTATCTTATACTTGTTTTGTTGTTATTAAATCTTAAGTTAACGTGGGGAAGGGCAGAAATAAACTAAATATTCAAGTTTCAGGTATCGAAACAAAACCCTGAAAGTTGGCAAAAATGTTAGCCTTCCGAGGGTGGGAACTTATTTACTACTATATCCTTAGGGTATAGAACCTTGTACCTAGGAGGCCCTGGACAAATATTTATGAATAAGAAAATGAATGGATCACTACCAAACATTTAAAGAAGAGTTAATATCAATTCTTCACAAACTGTTCCAAAAAGTAGAATAGGAAGGAACATTTCCCAGTTCATTCTATGTCTCATATCACTGTAATACCAAGCCAAAGACATTGAAAGAAAAGAAAACCATAGACCAATATCTCTTATGAATGTAGAGGCAAACAACCTCAACAAAATTCTAGAAAAAACAGCAACTATAGAAAGAATTAAGCACATGGAGAAGTAGGATTTATCCTAAGGATGCAGGGTTGGCTTAACATTTGAAATCAATTAATGTAATACACCATATCAATATGATAAAAACCAAAAACCATGTGATCATCTCAACAGAGAAAATATTTGACAAAGTCCAACATGCTTTCTTGATAAAAACAGTCAACAAATTGGGAATAGAAAGAACTTCCTCAACCAGATAAAGGACGTCCACAAAACCCACAGGGATATATTGTTCTTATTTCTATTTAACATTGTGCTGGAGGTTCTAGCCAGGGAAATTCATCAAGAAAATGTAACAAATGGCATCCAGATAGGGAAGAAAGAAATAAAACTATCTCTGGTCACTGACAACATAATTATGTATGTAGAAAATTTTAAGAAATACTCTAAAACACTTTAAAACCTAATGCATGAGTTCATCAAGATTTCAGAATATAATATCAATATGTAAAGATTAATTATATTTCTATACATTTGCCACAAACAATATTAAATGGAAAGTAAAACAATTACATTTATAATAGCGTCAAAAGGAATAAAATACTGAACAAAGAAGTGCAAAACTTCTGTGCCCTGGAAAGTACAAAAGATTGTTGAAATAAATTGAATAAGATTTCAATAAATTGAAAGAGATTCCATATCCATAGACTGGAATATTGTTAAGATGGAAGTCCTCTCCAAATTGATCTACAGATTTAACACAATCCCAGCTAGCTTCTTTGTAGAAATTGACATACTGAGTCTAAATTTCAGAACTGCAAGGGACTCAGAATAGCTAAAATAATCTTGAAAAAGAACAAAGTAGGAAAGCTCACACTTCTGATTTCAAACTTATTATAAACTAATAGTAATCAAGAGAGTACTGCCATAAATGAGTAGAATTGAGAGACAAGAAATTAAACCAATGCATCTATAGGTAATTGATTTTCAACAAGGGTGCCAAGACCATTCAATAAGGAAAGATGCTTATGGTGCTAGGGCAATTGGATATCCACCTGCAAAACAATGAAGTTGGACACTCGCCTCACACTAGGTACAAACATTAATTCAAAATGGATCAAAGACCTAGATGTAAGAGCTAAAATTATACAACTCTTAGAAAAGAACATAGAAGTAAATCTTCAAGACCTTCAATTTGGCAATGGCCAAATAGAGCAAAAGCACAAACAATCATATAAGAAAATAGCAATTGGGTTTCATTAATATTAAACACTTTCATACTCCAAAGGACACTATCAAGAAATTGAAAAGACATCCTGGCCGGGTACAGTGGTTCACGCCTGTAATCCCAGCACTTTGGGAGGCTGAGGCAGGTGAATCATGAGGTCAGGAGTTTGAGACCAGCCTGGCCAACATGGTGAAACCCCGTTTCTACTAAAAATACAAAAATTAGCTATGTGCAGTGGCATGTGCCTGTAGTCCCAGCTACTCGGGAGGCTGAGGTGGGAGAATCACTTGAACTCGGGAGGTGGAGGTTGCAGTGAGCCGAGACCTTGCCATTGCACTCCAGCCTGGGTGACAAAGTGAGACTCCATCTCAAAAAAAAAAAAAAAAAAAAGACAACCCACGGTATGGGAGCCAATTTTTGAAAGTCACATGTCTGATAAGGGAGTTGTATCTAGCACATATAAAAACCTCATACCACTCAAGAATAAAAAGAGAACCAACTCAATTAAATAATGGGCAGAAACATGAATAGACGTTTCTCTGTTATTTATACAAATGGTCAGTAGCACATAAAGATGCTTGATACCATTAGTCATCATGGAAATACAAATCAAAACCAGAATGAATCACTTCATACACACTAGAATGGCTGTAACAAAAAAGTCAGATACAAACAAGTGTTGGCGAAGATATGGGGAAATTGGAACCCTCATATGTTGCTAGTGGAAATGGGAAATGGTGCAGCCACTTTGGAAAACAGTCTGACAGCTCCTCAGAATGTTAAACATAGAGTTGCTCAAGGACTCTGCAATTCCAGGTATATATCCAGGAGGAATAAAAACTTATGTCCACATGAAAATGTATACCTGAATGTTCACAGCAGCATTACTTATCATAGCTAAAATAGCCGAAAGTTGGAAACAACCCAAGTGCCCATCAATTGATGAATGAATAAAGCAAATGTGGTAGATCTGTACAATGGAATACTATATGGCTAAAAAAGGTCCATAAACATCACTGATATGTACTACAACATGAATAAATCTTGAAAACATGATGCTTAGTGAAAGAAGTCAGTCATGAAAGACCCCAAATTATCATTGTATTTGTATAAATGTCTAGAACAGGTACTCTATAGAGACAGAAGGTAGATTAGTGGTTGGCTACGGAAAAGGTTGATAGTAGGGTTCAGAGGTGATAGTGAAACACTATGAGGTCTCTTTCTGGAGTGATGAAAATATTCTAAAATTGTGGTAATGCTTGTACAACTCTGTGATTATACTAAAAAGCACTTAATTGTACACTTCAAATGGGTAAATTGTACACTATGTGAATTATATCTCAATAAAGCTGTTACCAAAAAAGTTTATCAATAACTTGAGAGTTTGAGAATTTAAATAGTCTATTATAAAACGAACTATATCAAGTATATCCCAAGTTCTAAAATTAATAAAATCTTTAGAAATCACAAAAGGTTTTACTTTTTCTTTTTTTAAATTAAGTTCATTAGGGTTGAGCATTCAGACTGCTTTGATTGACTCTGAAGTCCTACCCAGCTCTCAGATTCTGTGGAGCTATGTTTTAAGGAGGAAATTCTTATCAAGCAATGTTGAGACAAGTAAAACAACATGATGCATTTATATACATTTCTAGCTGGTAGAGTAGAACTGGGTGAAACTGTGACAGCCTCTCTAATTCCTATAAAGCTGAGCTCCCTCATGGCCCAGGCTTAGCACAGTGTGGCATTCGCAAGAGCAGCAACCTGACATTCAGCAGCGATTTTTGAAAAGCAATTTTAATACTATGAAAAATTCCCTAGATCATTCTCAATATGGAGCAAGCTTATTAAAATCTTTTTCCCACTTGCCTGTCTTTCTCAGCAACTCATGAACATGACAGTTACTCTTGTAGTTTTTTCCTCCTTTATCTGAACTGAGCCCTCTTTCCTGCCCCACCCTCCCAGGCTCTTTTTTTTGAGATGGAGTCTCGCCTCGTCACCCAGGCTGGAGTGCAATGGCCTTATCTCGGCTCACTGCGACTTCTGCCTCCCAGGTTCAAGCAATTCTCCTGCCTCAGCCTCCCTAGTAGCTGGGATTACAGGCACGCACCACCATGCCCAGCTAATTTTTTGTATCTTTAGTAGAGACAGGGTTTCACTTTGTTGGCCAGGCTGGTCTCAAATTCCTGACCTACAGATCCGCCCACCTTGGCCTCCCAAAGTGCTGGGATTACAGGTGGGAACCACTGCACCCAGCATTTTTCCCCTTTTGAAACTCTTTCCAATTCTGTTCTGGTGGCTCCTTTTTATTTTTAATGCCATATTATCTGTCTGTAGTCTATACTTATTGACCCAAAATTATCTGCCATTTCCCATGTAAATAAACTCAGCCCACTTTGCTGCCTTTTAACATCCCTCCTGTCACTTATTACCCCATTTTCATACATCCAAGAAAGGTCACAAACACAGAATTCACCTTAACATGCAAAAGAGGGGAAGTCGCTGTAATGTTGCTTTTCTGGTGACACCGCACAATACATCTACAAATTAGATGACAGGTCAAGACTGGAGGTGGAGGCACCTATGGGAAGAGGAAATGGCCATCACTCTGTGCTTTCTGGAATCTTCTATATACCAGGGCATCCAGAACATCAGTTGCAACTAGGAGAAAGATGGCTTAGTTCTCTGTGTACTCAGTGACTATCAACCCAGTTTGAAGAAAGGTTATTTAAAATCGTAGAAGCCATGGCTCCTCCATTCACATTCATCATCTTTGGTGGTCTGACCCCAAATCTTTAAGGTCCATGAAATTAAAAGGCATCTTAAAGATCTAGAAGAATCCAAAATGACTTATCTAAAACAGGCCTGAAGATGATGCTTCAAATGCCAACATAAAAACAGGCTGAAGGGGGATAAGAATTCATTAATTCCAGGAGCATTCAGGCAGCTCTGAAGGGGGATAAGAATGCATTAATTCCAGGAGCATTCAGGCAGCTTTTCAGGTTATTTGTCAGCCAATAGCATTTATTGAGTGATTGTCCTCTGTGTATCAAGCACCAAACTAGCCTTTAAATTGCATGTTCTGCGAAGAGAACTCTTCCTTACCCTTGGTCACGATAAGTATCTTTCTCTACAAACAAACTACTTCTGGGCTTTCTGTGGCATTTTGGATATCTCTGAACAGCAGTTAAAGAGATTGGTGCTCTAACTTCACGAAAATACAGGAGGCAGAGATTGATCTCCTTGGTTCCCCCGCTTGCTGTCCTCTACGTTGGTTAGAAAAATTTGGTCAAAGATGAAATCCACACTGGGAAGGCTCAGGTTGACTTTAGAAGATATGCTTGATTAAAAATGTTTTTTTTTTTTTTTTGGTTCCATTACATTCTATGAGGAGGCAAGGAGGCAGGTCAACAGGTAGTGATCATTCAGCAAGGTATATTAATGCCATAAACAAACAACACAGTACACAATGGTCTTGTGTTAACCTCACCTATACAAACTGAGAGAGGCATTGAGCTTATCCTGGTCAAATTTTTTAATTTAATGTGTTAAAAAAATCTTATAGCATAAACATAAATTAAGAATTTTCCTGAATAGAAGTCACTGGTCAAATTGGCCACACATGTCTCTTCTATAAACAAAACTCCAGAATATATGGCAATGTCTAAAGAATTCTTGGTAAAAAGAATTCATATGGCATGACCAAAAATTTCATACACGTAAATTTTCAAACTCATGGAAAATTAGTAGAAAGACAACTTTACATATACCAGAGCTCGGAAAGTGTATCCCATGCTACCCTGTGAAAAAAAAGTTAATATAAAAGCACATTGCAGTTGAAACAGAGTTTAACTAAAATAATGAATAAAAAGATTGGGTTATAAAAAGATGTGATTCAAAAGAATAGTTCACAAACAAAACACACACACACACACACACACTGCACATGGTTGTGTGTGCCTGTAATTCCAGCTACTGAGGAGGCTCAAATGGGAGGCCAAGCATTTGAACTCAGGAGTTCAAGCCTGCAGTGAGCTATGATGATGCCAAAGCAATCCAGTGTGGACAACAGAGTGAGACACTGTCTCAAAATTAAAAAAAAAGAAGAAAAAAATGATAACTGCCTGAAGTGAAGGATACCATGTCTATTATTTATATATTTGTTTATATTTATATTTATTTTTGAGTTGAAGTCTCGCTCTGTCACCTATGCTAGGGTGCATGGTGCAATCTCAGGTCACTTCAGACTCAGCCTACCAGGTTCAAACGATTCTCATGCCTCGGCCTCCAAAGTAACTGTAAGGTACTATAGGCGTACACCACCATGTCTGGCTAATTTTCATATTTTTCATAGAGATCAGGTTTCCTGGTGTTGGCCAGACTGGTCTTGAAGTCCTAGCCTAAAGTGATCTGAATTTCTTGGCCTCCAAAAATGCTGGATTACAAGCTTGAGCCACAGCTCCCGACCTCTGTTTATTTTGTAGAGTGGCAAATGACTTCGTGCTAAAGATTTTGCCATGAAGGCTAGTTTCTTCATCGTTTGAGAACTGGGCAATATTTACTTGTTTTATTTTGCGCTTTATATTATCTAACTGGTCTGTTTATATTAAACATGTACAAGTGTACATGTGTGTTGCTGCATGACTATCAATATAAAATCCCTACTGACAAATTTCCTTGTACATTAGGAAACTAGGAGTGCAGAAGAAAGTTATCTGAAACAATATTTAATAGCAAAATGTAAGAAATCACCTAAATGTGCACACAAAAAAGAGCCGATAGAAAAAAGAGCACCCACAGTGGATATCATTAATACTAATGTTAAATTTAAACTAGTTACATTAAATTGCATACAAATGTAGTAAAAGTATATGGACACTCACGGTAATAAAAATGACCAAATTTTACTTAGTTTTACTTTCAAATATAGAGGCTAACGTGGTAGTTTACTTTAAATTGTATATAGTATAAACAAGCAAGTTCAGCTTTGTTACTGGAAATAGCAATAATGCTGAGATAAGTAAATTCTAACAGGTTAGAAAATAAAACAAAGATGAAAAGGTTAAAATCCACCACCTCAATTCATCACGTTGAGGGGAGAACCGAAAAGCCAGCTCCCGACTTAATGGAAATAAATATTTCTGCCAAAGTCTGGGTACAGCTATAAAGGGTCACAAAAATTATCATCTCTGAATGACTTCGGCTTTCTTACTCACTGAGAAACTTTATGTTCTAAAATTATAAACAGAGTATTTGCTGTTTGAAATGTTATCGGTGAAGATAAAACTTAGCACTCTTGCCCGGCTGATTTGTCACTTTCCATAGAAGAAAAACTGTTTTCCAGCCTAGGTGCATAGCTTCAAATAACAGGCATTTGCACTCAAAATTCCACACAAATGTCAACTTGTGATCTACAAGGAATAAAGACACTGGGTTCTCTCACAGTCTAAACATGATGTTTTGACCTTTAATACATAGGCGTCCTTTACCTTGAACCTATTGAAACTCTGCTGTGTTTAAATACCTACTCACCACCTCTCCCATAAATCGTACAGTACCTCCTTTTATTACTTTAGTTGCCCCACAGGCATGGTCTACCTTACTCTACCAAGTCAATGCAATTGTATCAGACTATAGGTTTGTCCTGTGTAGTCATAGACTAGCTGGATTAAGTCACAGAATTTCTCTGTCTAGCTCTTTTTTCCCCATACCTAAATGCAACTGGAAAAAATGTCTAATATGCCTAGCATCCCCAGAAATAAATCACATTTTCTGATTTTGCAAAATTGATTCCAATATACAATACTCATTTGAGAAAAGTGCCATTTCTCAAGTGACTGATATAAAAATGGTAATGTCCATAATAATTTGTATTCTATATTTTTTAAATGTGGATTTTTTTCTGGCCAGGCACAGTGGCTCACGCCGGTAATCCCAACACTTTAGGAGGCCGAGGCGGGCAGATCACAAGGTCAGGAGATCGAGACCATCCTGGCTAACACGGTGAAACCCCGTCTCCACTAAAAATACAAAAAATTAGCTGGGCTGGTGGCAGGCACCTGTACTCCCAGCTACTCGAGCAGCTGAGGCAGGAGAATGGCATGAACCCGGGAGGCGGAGCTTGCAGTGAGCTGAGACACGCCACTGCACTCCAGGCTGAGCGACAGAGCCAGACTCCGTCTCAAAAGAAAAAAAAAAAAAAAAAGAAAAGAAAAGAAAAAAAAAATCCACATTTTTCTTTTTTTTTTTTTTTTGGTAGTTTTTTTTGTTGTTTTGTTTTTTTGTTTTTGAGACGGAGTATCACTCTGTTGCTCAGGCTGGAATGCAGTGGCATGCCTCTGCTCACTGCAAGCTCCGCCTCCCAGGTTCATGCTATTCTGCCGCCTCAGCCTCCCGACTAGCTGGGACTGCTGGCGCACGCCACTACGCCTGGCTAATTTTTTGTATTTTTTTTTTTTAAGTATAGACGGGGTTTCACCGTGTTAGCCAGGATGGTCTCGATCTCCTGACCTCGTGATCCGCCCGCCTCGGCCTCCCAAAGGACAGGGATTACAGGCATGAGCCACCGCGCCCTGCTGGATTATTATTATTATTATTTTATTTTTATCTTTATTTTATTTTTATTTTTATTTTTTTGCCAGGCAAGGTGGCTCACGCCTGTAATCCTAGCACTTTAGGAGGCTGAGGCACGTGTATCTCAAATGAGACCAGCCTGGCTAACATGGCGAAAGCCCATCTTTACTAACAATACCAAACAACTTTGGCAGGTCTGGTGGCGTATGCCTGTAGTCCCGGCTACTCGGGAGGCAGGAGGATCACCTCCAGGAGGCGGAGGTTTCAGAGAGCCAAAATTGCGCCATTGCACTCCAGCGTGGGCCAGAGATCCAGAATCTGTTTCCAAAAAAGGAAAATACAGTAAAATAAATGTGGGTTTTTTTGAAAACATAATATGCTGGTTTTTTTTGAAAACATAGTATGCCAGTTTTTATGTTCTTTCTGAAATTTGTATCCGTATGTATTCTTTCCACACAGAAAGTAGTATATAGACCAGCTTATACAAATGTTTCAACTATATTTGAATTTTATTTGCACAACTGTCTGAATAATTCTAATACCCCAGATTAAAGTTAGAATATGTATATTTTACCCGTTGGTCTGGTTTTTTTTATTCTTTTAAGTCTGAGCATAATAACTCGCTAAAAAGATTTCTGTAAGGCCTGGTTTCTGCTAACATTATTTTCTTGGCTGTATTTTATCTAAGTTCATTATGCAAACCGAATTTGCGTTGTGTCTTCAAAAATGACTTCTGAAAGCCTTCCATGGTCCTGTTACGCCCCTAACCATAATGAGGTAGCAGGGACCATATTTACCCTCCCAGGTTAAATAACCACAAAACTAGACAGAAATATGAACCAAAGATTTTTCTACATTCAATTCCAGGCAGCACCAAACAATAATTTCTCAGAAAAGATGAACAAAGACAGTGTAAGGATGAACCCTACTTATCACCAGGCCATAACTTAGGGGGTGTTACTAGATTGAGAAGACTAAAATCAGAGTTCAACTATATCAAGAAAGCTAGAATCTGTAGAACAAAATGCCAGAAAATAAAAGAGGACTTACACAAAAAGAAAACCCCAGAGAGGCAAAAGAGTTCATGCAGGCCTTCTGCTGGCTGTTAATCTGCATATCCATGTGAGAATATTATCTGAAGCTTAAAAGAAAGCACTGGAACAAAACTATTCCCTGTACATGCATCTATAATGTTGATTGGGCAGAGTACTTTGACTTTGCTTCTGGGTAAGTAGCATAGCATGGTCTTCGTATTATTTCTTTAGCTATACTCAATATCAGAAATGTATGAGGGTGCCTTAATGGCTTAGATTTTAGTTGTTTTAAGAGCCTGGGGTGAGACTTTGCTGGGGTTTGGTGTACTGAGTAGGCCTGTATTCAGGCTCCTGGGTAGCATCAGTAGACAGCAGCTGTGGCAGCTGCATTGGACAGGTAAGTCCTAGGGGTCCCAGGCAGCATGGAAGGGCCCCAGTGTGGTGCCTGTGGGCTAGGTGGGTCAGTCTTGAGTCCCTCATGTGGTACATGTGGGTGGCTATATTGGCAGTAGCAGCTTAGGATCTGGGTTGTGGGACCTGACATGACACTTACAGGTGTGTGGTTGTCTTGCTGCTGAGGGGCTGGGAGAAGTTGGTGCCTCAGTGGCAGCATCCTCAGGCAGGTATTTCCCACGTTCTATGGATCACACATTTTTGTTCCCTATGTTTTGACGCAGCCACTCAAATATGCTGGAATGCCTATTCCCTGGGGTATAGGATGCTGCATGATTTCCATCACCATGGACCCAACCACATTGCTGCATCCAGCTGACATCATGACACTGAGGCCTCTGGGTGGACAAGAGGGCATGTCAGCAAGGACCCAAGACACGGAGATGCAGGGGATATTGGACCCCTGGGCAAAAGGCTCTCTGATGTAGGTTCTAGACAGCCTTTTGCTCAATATCACCCTCAATACTGGGCCATGCACCAGCAGGGTGGGCCTCTGTGGGCACCGGGTCTTGCATGAGTTCCCTCTCTGGGACAGTGTAGTTGTGTGGACGTCAGGCAGGTCTCTGTTATTAGGCTTAGGATCTGTCCTCACAGGGCCAAGGGGATTCTCTGCATCTAGGATTGCAAATGCAGTCTTTCTTTCTCCCACAGTGGAGAATTCCTTTTGGTTTTGAGCCAATTCCAGCTGGCTGCTTTGGTCCCTCTCTATACTGCTGCCATCCCCAGTTTTCATGTCTTAGAGAGTCACTGTCACTTCCCTGCTGAATTCCAGCCTTCTCCCAAAGATGTTCGATTCAATGCATAGTTATCTATTTGCTATTTCAGACCTTCTTTGTGGACAAGGTGAGTCTTCAGTGACTCTAGCAGCCATCTTTATCCTTTCGTTATTGTTTTTTATTTTACTATCTATTTATTTATTGAGATTGAGTCTTGATCTGACACCCAGGCTGGAGTGCAGTGGAGTGATTTCAGTCCACTGCCACCTCCGCTTTCTGGGTTCAAGAGATTCTCCTTGCTCAGTCTCCCAAGTAGTTGGGATTACAGGCCCCCACCACCAAGCCTGGCTAATTTTTTTGTATTTTTATTTTTGTAAAGATGGGGTTTTGCATATTGGCCAGGCTGGTCTCAAACTCCTGACATCAGGTGATCCACCTGCCTCGGCCTCCAAAGTGCTGGGATTACAGGCATGACCCACTGTGCCCAGCCTTTTATTTATTTGTTTAAAAATATATGTCAGTTATTTTTCTCTCCTTTTATCATTATTATCTCCTTATAGTATTCCATATGTTATCATCCTGCTTCATAATGTTCCATAAGTTCCTTATGCTGTCTTCATGATTCCTTATTTTTCTCTTTCATTTTTATCCTCCAATTTGATTATTTTCAAAGACTTGGCTTAATTTTGCTTATCCTTTATTCTGCTTGATCCAGTTTACTGTTCGGTCCCTCTATTTAATTTTTGATGTAGCTTCCTGTATTTTTCACTTCTTTGATTTCTGTTTGATACCTTGAAATATTTTCTACCTCTTTGTTAAACTTCTCAGTTTTTAAATGCATTACTGTCCAGACTTCTGGTAATACCTTAGAGCTTTCTGTTTTGATTTCCCTGTCAGGGACATTACATACTTTCATTTTATCAGAGTCCAGTTCTGTTTATTTCTTTTGTTCTTTACCTCAGAACATATTTTCCTCTCCACTGCACTCCCTCACTGCCCTGCCCTCCTGTAACCACTACCACCAGCCCCATTTTTCTTGACTATGAGTTGGTTTCTGCAAGTCAGTGAAGACAACCATCTTTCTCTGTTGTCCTTAACTCATCCTACGTAGGAAATTTCATTTCCTTATCAGTGCAACCAGAGATTCCAGGTGCTTCTCAATTCTGTGATTGTCCAACTCACTGTCTTTCTTCTTATGCCCCCCTCGATTGTAGTATGTGTGAAATCATACTATTCCTTTGACACAGGCAAGATAGTAGCCAGCCCCATGATATGCAGGTAAAAGGTTTTGGGATTAGATGTATATTGCTTGTGGACAAGCTTAGATTCAGAGTTTATGTCCAACTAGTTCTGCCTTATGCCAAGAATAGTGTCCATGACTGACACCTGTACAGTCATTCGTTATGCTCACTCTGAATCTGGACAGATAGCCACTGAATATTTACAACTTTGACAATCTTGTTCTCTGTGATATAGGAGACTCAGAATACAGAGTCCCATTCACTTCCAGAAGTAGACAATTTAGGACAGTCCCTTAGATACAGGCTGTAAAATTTGTGATGCATGATGTATGCAGAAGCTACTTCCAGGGAGGTTCTACAGACATTGATTTCTCACCAGAGCAAGCCAGGGAGAAGGTAGTGCAGACTGCCTGCTTTCTCCTTCTGCATTGCCAAAGTCGCACAAGCTTCTTCCAGGAAGAACCTGCAAGGCAGATTTCTTGCTGTGGCAAGGCAGAGAAGAAAGCAAGAAGGCCTGAGAGGGGTTCACTGTCACATTTATACTTCACCAAAAATCTGTCCAGGGAGAATAGCAGGAGGGATTTATTGCTAGAACAAGCCTGTGAAGCAAGCTTGCTATGTCTGGTGACAGAAGGGGAGTGCTACCTCTTCCATTCAGGATTTCAGAGATCTAACTGCCTGATTTTCTCTGGCGAGTGATGGCAGAAATCTGCTATTAGAGCAAGCCAGGGAAGTGAGTGTGGGAAGTGCTGTTCTTCTCATTTAGGCTTGGAAGTATTCTGACTCTCTGCCTCCTTCCAGACAGAGACTGGAGGGAATTTTGCCGGAGCAAGTCAGGAAGAATGTCTTAGGGAGTGATGTCTGTCTCTGTTTGGCTCATAGAGGTCTGTCTCCAGCCTACTTTGAGAGAATAATTGCAGAAATCACTGAAGGAAGTGAAAGACGGCACAGTGATTGTCATTATTCTCATTTAGTCTTTCAGTAGTATTTTTCTAGCCTCCTTCCAGGGAGAGATTTCAGAGATATATTACTAAAGCACACTAGGGAAGAAGGGACTGGAAGTGCTGAGACCTTTCTTCTTGCTCCTGAAGACTTTAAACCTCTTTCCAGGGAGAGAAAATAGGCTTTCCCTAATCACTGAAGGAAGCCAGGGAAGAAGGCCGGGGGATTGATGTCCTTCCCTTTAGGCTCCACAAGCTGTATTCTTTGTTTGTTTGTTTCTTTAGAGTAGGGAATACAACCTTAGTTACAACTCCGCTGGGCTGTAATTCTCTTCATCCTGGCACTCTTTTTTAAGAGGGGAATGTATTTTTTCTCCCAAGCATGCAAAACGTTTCTCCCAAGCCTGGTGTGAAAGTCAGCTCTATTTAACTCTTTTTTTTTTTTTTCTTCAGTGAACATTAGTCCTTTACTCCTAATCTGGAACATTCTTCTTCATGGCTGTCTTTCTTTATAGGAAACCCATTTCCTTGCATTTAGGTTGGATATCTATTCTTCCTGACTCCCCTGCTAGTAGAAATTATTTTCTGGCTGACTGGGCTTAAGTCAGGAAATCCTGACTTCCTGATATCCCTGAGCAGGGAATTATTTTCTTACTTCATAGGATAAAAGCTTTTTGTTTTTTCTCTTGCTTTGTTTTCACAACAGGGATTATTCCCTAACTTTCTGAGCTTAAAGTGTGTGTGTGTTTTTTTTATTTTTTATTTTTCATTTTTTTTGCTATCACCTCTTGGTAGGAATTACTCCCCGACTCCTGGAGTGAAAATCTCTTCTACCTTTTCTATGCTTACCTAATAGGGATTATTCTCTGACTCTGTGCTAAACATCATATCTTTTTGTTGTTGTTGTTTTATTGGTGATTAATCCCAGACTTTACGGGATAGAAATATCTTTTTAGTGGATGTCTCATCTGAATAGAAATTATTCCCCAATTTCTGGCATAGTATTCTATTTTTCTGACTATTGTACTTCAATGGGATGTATTCCATGCCTCCTGGGGTAGAAAATTCTTCTTATTCTTCCTCTGGATTGTTTTTCTGATTGAAGACTTTTCCCTGGACTCCTGGTGTGGAAATTTCTGGCCTTATTTGCTAAGCAGGAAAAAAAAATTCCTGGGTCTATTTCCTGTGTAGAGATTTCCTCACTCCTGGAGTGAAAACCTGTTTTTCCTGGCTCTGTTTCATAAAAGAAATTATTTTCCTGATTGGACGTCATGTCTTTCCAGATCTCTTCCTTGAGTAACAATTATTCTCTCACTTTTTGATTTGAAAGACCTTCGTTCTTGCTCTCTTATGAAATGGAGTTTATTCCCTGGCACCTGAGCTGTAAGTCACTTATTAGCTCTCTTTTCTGACTCTCTGGATAGACGTCTCTTCTTTCTGTTCTCTTTGTTAATGGGTAACATTTTTTCTGACTACTAGATTGTCTCTCTCTCCTAAGTGAGAATAATTCTCATGTGATTCTGAGTTCATAGTCACTTCTTCTTGGTTCCCTGTCCTAAATTAGTATTATTCTCTGAATCCTTGGACTGAACTTCTTTTTTTTTCCCTTTGTTCTTTTCTCTGAGATAAATATTAAATGAGCTCTCTGGTGAAAGATTGTTTTTCTACTTCTTTTCATGATTGAAGATTATTTCCTGGCTCCCTGGGATAGAAGTTTGTCTTCCCTCACTCTTTTTTCTGATTTCAAATTTTTATCTGACATTTGGGCTCAATATTCTTCTTTATGACTCTATTTCCTGATAAAGATTATAACATTAGTTCATTTAAAATCCTTACTTCTCTCTCTTTAAAAAATAATAATGATTATTCTAACTTTCTTAGGTAGGAGTTCCTTCTTATTGGCTCTGTCTTTCCCGAGTGGCATTTATTCCTAATGTGCAGAAAGTATTTTCCTCCTGGTGTTTCCCTTACTAGAGATTACTGTCTGACTCCAGGAGATAGACATTTTCTTATTTTGTTTTGTTTTTCTTAACTTGTTCTTCCCTTATTACAGATTATTCCAATTTTCTGAAGATTATTTCCTGATACGTTAGTTGGAAATCTCATCTTCCTGGCTCTTTTTCTTTATTGGGTATTATTCCCTGTCTCCTAGTGTGACATTTTCTTTTCCCAGGTTATAATTTTTCTTATGTTTATTCCCTGACTCCCTGGGGTTGCAAGTCTCTCTTGCCTTGCTCTCTAATCTGACTGGAAATTGTTTCCTGATTTCCAAGTCTGCAACTCTTTTTTTGTCAGCTTTGCTTCATGTTTGAGATTATTCCTGTATGTTCTGTGTTGTGTACCCTTCTTCCTAAGAGGGGCTCATTCTCTGATATTTTTGGCTTGAATTTTCCTCCTGGATGTCTATTCTTAAGTAAGAATTTTTCCCTGATTCTCTATGCTAACCATCTTTTTTTTCTGGCTACTCCCTGAGTGGGGTTTTCCCTGACTCCATTGACTGGGTCCCCTTTTTTCTAGCCTCTTTCCTGAGTGGAGATTATTTCCTGATTCGCTATGTTGGAGACCTTTTTTTCCTTAACAGGAATTTTCCCATCTTTCTGGGCTGTCAGGAAGTTTATCTCTATCTTAATCCACCTCTATCTCTATCTAACTCTATCTCTATCTCTATCTATCTTTCTATCTCACTATCTCTGTCTCTAATATCCACTGAAACTCTTTGACACCTCTCTCTTCTTTACTTGGATTCTTGTCTCTCCCATGGAAGTCTCATTGCCAACCATAACCCACTTTCTTGAACCCTTGTAGACTTTAGGCTTTGCTTACTCTGCATAACTTGTTGTTGGTATGCATTTTTCAAGGACAATTTGGAACTTCAAAGATCTTTGAGAAACTTAACATCTCCCTATACTGGTGCCTCTTTGATGTCTTCCTTCTTATTACTCATGTTTCTTGTTTCTCCTCTCACCACCTTCAATCTTCCTTTTACCTTCCTTGAATTCTTTGACATATCCTCCTTCAAACCTCTCATCATCCATTCTTCTATCTACCCCTAAACAAACCTATTCCTTCCTATTTCAGCCTTTCAACTTCTAAAGTCAACAGAAATTTAGGCTGACTAAATCAGAAGCTCTTGAGGGACTTCAGTATCTTCTCTACCCTCCAAGAAATTATTGGCCTGAAGTTGAAATGAAAAAATGGCTAATTAGAAGAGATTGAGTATTGTATCTCCCCAGCCTTTGGAGATGTGCAGACTGGAACTAGATATATTCTGTGCCTAAAATATAGTCCTCTGGCTCCACAGATACAATATTAGGACAAAATAGTCTCATAAAAGTCTTCTTCGCCAATACAGACAAAAGGTATTAGACCTCCTATTGAATAGGCGACCTTGTCTCATTTGCCAGAAGAACAATTTAGATACAATATAAAATGGATATAAACCCAGTGAGTTTTATATTACTCTATTGCCTCATTCATGACTAAATTTTAGGTGATCTCTAAAATCTGTTTTCCTCTATCTATATTTTCATGGCTATATGCTATATGTGTGTGATATATTTCTAGCTCTGGATATTATTACCAAGTTAATTTTTAATATCACTTAAAAGGGTGCTATTCAAATTGGCTTAGAGACATATGATCACTATTGTGAATTACATACTCCTAATAATCCTAGAAATATATATTCAAGTTCACATGACTCATGGAAATATTTAGTAAATAAGACTAGTTTAAAATTGTTTAATACAAACAGCTACATATTACAATTTGTTGTTATTATTAAATATAAAAAGATATTTGTGGGCCAGGCATAGTGGCTCATGGCTTTATTTCCAGCACTTTGGCAGGTCAAGGCAGGTGAATCATCTGGGGTCAGGAGTTTGAGGCCAGCCTGGCCAACATTACGAAACCCCATCTCTACTAGAAATACAAAAATTAACCAGGAATGGTGGTACACACCTGTAATCCAAGCTACTTGGGAGGCTGATACAGAATTGCTTGAACCCAGGAGGCAGGGGTTGCAGTGAGCCAAGATCATGCCACTGCAGTCCAGCCTGGGCGAGAGGGTGAGACTCAATCTCAAAAAAAAAAAAAAAAAGAATACACTTGTCATTTGTATCCTTCTTGGATTTACTAATTTACTAGTTAAGCTGTGTTATGTTCACTGGACATTTAAGATTTTATAAACATTTATATGGCAATTGAGTCATTTCTGAAGTTCAGTAAGAATGCGTTCTCCTTTCAACAGAACCTAATTAGAACCCGTTTTTTTTTTTTTTTTTACAAAGCCTTGTCTGAAATGTCAAATATATTTAAGAATGATTTGCATAAAATCAGAGATAACTAGGCAGCTTTAAGAAGTATAATCTGAAACTAATTGTATAAAGTTCTGACAAAGTAAACTGGAAAGGACTCTGTGGCTAAGCATGGTGGCTCACACCTGTAATCCCAGCACATTTGGACACAAGGGTGGGAGAATCACTTCAGCCCAGAAGTTCAAGCCTAACCTAGGCAACAAGGTAAAACCCCATCTCCAAAATCAAACAAACAGGCAAACAAATAACATACAAAATTAGCCAAATATGGTGGTTTGCGCCTACGGTCTCAGCTACTCAGGAGGCTGAGGTTGGAGGATCACTTGAGCCCATGAGGTTGAGACTGCAGTAAGCCGGACACTGTTTCTAATTTAAAAAATTTTATATATATATATATATATATATATATATATACCTTTGTGGTCAATGACAATTCTTAGTGTACTTAGGTAAAAAATGAGGACAAATCTAGTCAGACCAGACTTATTTTGTGAACAAGAGTCAAGAGAAGTAACAGCAGAGAGAATTTTGTTTCAATGGAAAACTAAAACCACCCATGTGAGTTGTCTTACATATTTTATTAGTCTACAATTTCAATTCTTGTTTTATCCAACATATAGCTACAACTCTCCAAACTAAAATTTCAACATTGTGTCCCCCTTTCATGATTTAGCATCACTGAAAACTAAAACTGCCCAATTGTCCCCAAACCTTGTAATCTGAAGCTGGATGACTGCATTATGAACGATTTAAAAAAATCATCTTCATGCCTTTGATACCTGATGACAACACTGGAGGCATTAAAAACTGCAAACCAAAGAATTCATTAAATCATCACTGCCACCTCACACCACCATCCTTAAGCTCAACATGTGGAAGTGTCAATTGGCTGCCTTCTGAAAGGGGAAAAGGGCCTTTGATGGGAAGTAATCCGGTCAGGATGACAGCACCCTCTTAAATGTTATTAGCACCCTCCTAAAAGACTATAGAGTTCCCAAGCCACTTATACCATGTGCAGACTCAGCAAGAGGGATGTTTAAAATCCAGGAAGTGGCTGGGCATGGTGGCTCACGCCTGTAATTCCAGCACTTTGGGAGGCCGAAGTAGGTGGATCACGAGGTCAGGAGATGGAGACCATCCTGGCCAAAATGCTGAAGCCCTGTCTCTACTAAATACAAAAAATTGGCCAGGCATGGTGGTGCGTGCCTTTAGTCGCAGCTACTTGGGAGGCAGGAGAATTGCTGGAACCATGGAGGCAGAGGTTCCAGTGAGCCAAGATCATGCCACTGCACTCCAGGCTGGCGACAGAGCAAGACTCCATCTCAAAAAGAAATTAAATAAATAAATAAATACATACATACATACATACATAAATACATAAATAAATGGGCTGGGCGTGGTGGCTCACTCCTGTAATCCCAGCGATTTGGGAGGCCGAGGCAGGCAGATCATGAGGTCAGGAGATCGGGGCCATCCAGGCTAATATGGTGAAACCTTGTCTCTACTAAAAATTAGAAAATTAGCCAGGTGTGGTGGCGGGCACCTGTCGTCCCAGCTACTCGGGAGACTGAGGCAGAAGAATGGTGTGAACCCAGGAGGCGGAGCTTGCAGTGAGCAGAGATTGTGCCACTGCACTCCAGCCTGGGCAACAGAGTGAGACTCCATCTCAAGATAAATAAATAAATTAATTAAAATAAAAATAAAATCCAGGAAATGACCCCTCACCTGAACACTGTATTTGCTGATTCCTTGACCTTGGGCTTCTTAGCCTCTGGGATTACAAGAAATCTTTGTTATAAACCTCCAAGTCCAGGTATTTTCTCAAAGCAATGTCTGTGGACGAAGATGATAAAAAATTATCCTATTATTCATTCAACAGCATTATGGTCCTATGAAAAATGATGCAATAAGGATTTAACTCTTGTTTTATAAAGGCTTTTCAGAATTTATTATAACTTACTGAAACAGAATCCCTATTCCAAGGTTGATAAATTGTATCTTACAGGTTACTCTTCAGTTTCCCATACTTTTTAATCATTATGACAGAATGCCTCATGGAGATAATTTGAGTTAAAAAATCCTAGGGACAGAATATCATAGACACTTTGTCTTTTTTGTTTTTCTTTTTTCTTTTTTCTTTTTTTTTTTTTTTTGACAGTGTCTCGCTTTGTTATGCAGGCTGAAATGCAGTGGAGCAAAAAACAGGCTCACTGCAGCCTGGACCTCATGGGCTCAAACCATCTTCCTGCCTCAGCCCCCAAGGATCTGGGACTACACTGATAGACTATTACATCCAACAATGTTTTGTCTATTTTATACAGACAAGATTTCTTCATGTTGCCCAGGCTGGTCTCAAACTCCTGAGTTGAAGCGATATTCCCATCTCAGCCACCCAAAATGCTGGGATTGAAGACCTAAGCCATCACACCTACCTGGACAGACACTGTTTCTCGTGCTGCTGCTGTCAAGATACACAAGACTAGGGAGTTGTATCCTTTCATTTAATCCTTACAATCCTACATTATAGGTGAATGAAAGCACAACTTCATAACATAAATAACTCACTTGAGAATCAAAGTTGGTAACTTCTCCCTTTAAAATTATTTGGAAACTAACCCTATAAAAATTATGATCTTATCAAAATTTTCTCATAAAAATACATCCTCCTTACAGATTAGTCCATTAATTTTAAGAATTGTGGACTGTAAAACACTGGATCTTAATCTATTTCATTTCTTTAGGTTGTATGATCAGGAAAATTAATTGGTTTACTTATTTGGGTCCAAATCTTTTCATTTTTATCATTAGATGATATCTTAAACCTTTACACAATTGCCTATCAGAAATTTTATGATGTTGTTTTATGTTTTACACATTTCAGTTTCCAAAAACCATGAGGTTTAAAGCATTCCTATTCGTATCTTCACTTAAATCTGATAGTGTGAGCCTGATGGCTCATACATGTAATCCTAGCACTTTGGGAGGCAGAGGCAGGTGAATGAGGATTTTAAGACCAGACTGGCCAACATGGAGAAATGCTGTCTGTACTAAAAAAAAAAAAAAAAAAAAATAGCCAGCTGTGGTGGCACACACCTGTAAACCCAGTTACTCGGGATGCTGAGGCAGGAAAACAGCTCGAACCCAGAAGGTAGTGGTCACAGTGAGCCAAGATCCAGCCACTGCACCCCAGTTTGGGCAACAAAGCTAGACTCTGTCTAAAAAAAAATCTGATAAAATCCCAAGCCTTCTAGATAATTTCTGTTTGTAAGAACTTATTGCTAAACCATTACTTACAACAACCATTGTCAAATATTATAGGAGATAATTAACATGAGTACCTCCCACATAAAAACACTTATTTTCCACTATTTAAACTAGGAACACTTAATTTCATTAAGCTATGTATTTAGGAAACATAGCTGGTTCAGATTTTATTTAGTTGGAAAACAATGTTTTCATCACCATTATCCCCCATCAGTGACAGAAAGGCTTCAAGAAGAAGGTTCTGGATGTCTTAAACTTTAGTACCAACCATATCTAATTATTTCCTTTTATCTACATGATTCCTCTGAATGATAAACATTTTATGGTGAGGCAGAGAGTTTCATAGTCTTTCTGAATACTTCTCAAGCTTTTAAAGCTTGTAAGTGTTTAAGAGAAACACAGCCTAATTAGAAAATGTGGGCACCTTGCAAGGGAGACGTAATTTATGCCTACTTTTGCATGTATTTATATTCAAAGCTGCAAAAAAATTTTTCAACAGAAACCACACCATTTAATATCCCATTTAATTTGCTGTTAAGCACGTGTAGCCATAAAATCAGGCATTACACATTACATGTATAATTTTATTCTGAAAATTTTAATACAGCCATATCATCTAAAGAGAGAGTTTTCAAATAGCATTAACAATTATGAAATTACTTTGAAAAAACAATTCCTTTTCATCTTAAATACCTCAGAAAATTCATGGAGGAAGTTAGGATCTACCTCTCCCCCAAAATCAACATTTTGTTTTAGTGGTACTCACGAACTGATACAGAAATAACATTTTAATTTTTGATTTGCAAGCAAGGTTTGGTAAGCAATAACTATTATCTTTCTTTTTTTTATTTTTACTTTGTGAGACAGGTTTGCTTTGTTGCCCAGGCTAGAGTGCAGTGACAAGATCTGGGCTCACTGCAACCTCTGCCTTCTGGGTTCAAGCAATTCTCCTGCCTCGGCCTCCTGAGTACCACGGTAACTATTATTTTTAATATCTCCTTTAATATCTGCTTCAGCCTCCTTTTTCACCTTGTTTTCCCTCACCACTTGCTGTAGATGCCCCATAACTTGAGCTACTGTATCCTTCACCAGCAGCAGGGTGCACCCTATCCACAGAAGGTAGATTCCTTCATTCCTTTCTGCCACCGCGCTCATGACCACAGGAATATAAATCACCACTGCTTCATGAGTAACTCTCCTGACTTCTGCCATATATATCTCATGTACTGTTATAATCATAGTGACTACTTCCACCATAACTCATCCAAGGCTCTCATGCAGGTTGTTCACCAGGAGAGGTCCCTGCAAGGTTGATAAAATATAGAACTTATAATGAACTACATTTAAACATTTTTAATGGTATCACTAATGCATGTATCAGTTAAAGTACTATTTGGAAAAATCTGCTTTCCTCTGTCTTCATTGACAGCATATTAATTATGTCTGAAATAGTCAAAAGGTTGCATTTAAAAGAATATAAGAATAGTATTTTGAAGCATAAGAAAGTTTATTTTAAAGTAAACGTTAAGTCACATTTTCTGAAAATGAACTGAAGTTCTCACCTACATGTTCACCACGCATTATACTGTTAACAATTCTCAGTGTTTAAACATGTTATATTTTTCCTTTATGATTTTCCTTAAAATTGTATTAAAACAATAATCTGGTGTATTAAATATAATACTATAATTTACAAATCAAACCCTGACACTTACCATAACTCTGATATGCATTTCTGTAAGAACTTCCACTGGGATGTACTAAAGGATCTCTACCACGGCCCCCACCACAGCCATCACAGTCACTAAATTTAAAAAAGGTTTGCTAACGTCAGCAGGAACAACTTAAGAAATCCCTTTGACAAAATCAGAAAATATTATAGTACCTATATGCTCTAGAGGATTGTTCATTCCAACTAGAATGACCGTAATCATGGTATCCATAATCTCTAGATGGTGGAGCATAATCCCTGGTGTCCCGGGAACTTGTATGAATTCTGCTTGCATAAGTTAAAGCAACAAATTTTAAATTATCAACTTCTAGTATCCAAAACATAAATAACTTACAACTTGAACAAAATGAAGGGCCAAATACTTGAATACATATTTCTCCAACTAAAATATGCAAATGCTCAAAAAGCACATGGAACAAATAATCATAATTAGTTATTCAGAAATTGCATTTCAAAACCAAAATGAGATACTATACTGCACACATACTGGAATGGAAATGATTTTTAAAAAGCAGGAAATATCAAGTGTTTGAGAAGATGTAGATAATTTGGAACCCTCATACAAATGCTAGTTGGAATGGAAAATGGTGCAGCTACTATGGAGAAATGGGGTGGTTCCTCAAGAAAATAAATACAATTATCATAGGACCAAGCAATTCCACTCACTCATATATACCAAGAATTGAATAAGTGTATGCAAACAAATATGTGTATATAGAAATACTGTGGTGGAAACAACCCAAACAAAATAATGGGTTAGCAGGTTGTGTAAGGAGAGAAGTGCTGCAATGTAAATGAACATTCAGAGCATCATGCAAACGAAAGGAGACAGTTATAAAAAGTCTTGTAGGGCTGGGCGCGGTGGCTCATGCCTGTAATCCCAGCACTTTGAGGCTGAGGCAGGCGGATCTCGAGGTCAGGAGATCGAGACCATAGTGGCTAACATGGTGAAAACCCATCTCTACTAAAAATATAAAAAATTAGCTGGCCGTGGTGGCAGGCACCTGTAGCCCCAGCGACTTGGGAGGCTGAGGCAGGAGAATGGCGTGAACCCGGGAAGGAGAGTGTGCAGTGAGCCAAGAGTGTGCCACTGCACTCCAGCCTTGGAGACAGAGCAAGACTTCATATATATATAGATATATATATATATATATATATATATATAAAATATATATCTCCAGCTAAGTAACATCACTGTGTCTTAAATGGCTAAGTTTTAGTTGTTTATAAATATTTCCTAAATATGATAATCTTACAAATTTACATTTGTCTAAACTAATACAATTTAGTATTTATGTACCAAAGTAGTGCAATACAAACAATAAAAGTTGGTTTAGAAAACCCAGAAAATGGCTGGGTGCAGTGGCTCATGCCTGTAATCACAGCACTTTGGGAGTCTGAGGTGGGCGGATCACGAAGTTAAGAGATCAAGACCATCCTGGGCAACATGGTGAAACCCCATCTCTACTAAAAATACAAAAATTCACTGGGCCTCTTGGCACACAACTGTAGTCCCAGCTACACGGGAAGCTAAAGCAGGAGAATCACTTGGCTGGGAGCCAGAGGTTGCAGTGAGCTGAGATCGTGCCACTGCATTCCAGCCTGGCAACTGAAGAAAATCTAAAAAATAACACAAGAATCATTTTATATTGGTGTGAGAGAAAGATGTGGGATAAATGCAGGGTGAAGAGAGAGCAAAAATCTATCAGTTAAATATATAAATATAATCTAGATAAAGAAAAATAGGAGAAAAATAATATATTACTGTTCATATAATTATGGTATGAAGAAAGCCTCGTCAAAACGTATCATAAGGGTACAACAAATTCCATTCAAAAAAGCTAAAATATTTACAAAATCAAAAAATGACACCTCAGAAAAATACATTATCTGTAAAATTTGTATCAGAAATACAATCCTTACAAATCCATTATGAAATATTAAATTTTAGCTTAGGCTATGCTCAATTTTAATAATCTTTAAGAATTTAATATTAAATAATAAAAGATATTTTCATATAGCTACAAAAAATGTAGATATATTCTAATGCCCTCGTGGTGTCACAGGTAAGAAAATGCATATTCTCATACATGGCAGAGTAGTATTAATCTTCACCCTCAAGATCAATTGAGAAAAAAAATACCATGAAGCTATGTACCTTAAAATGGAGCAAACACTGCAATTTCAACTTGAGAAAACATATCCAGTGAATTACACATCTGGTTATTAAAACTCAGATGTTAGGTTTTTGAAGGTTGGTTAATAGATAATACAATTGAACCAATTTTTTAAAATACATGGATTTTTTTAAGTAAAAATTGACCCCTCATTCCTATTGAGTAAATCATTCATAAATACCATTTTCAGTGTCTCATCTTCCAGCAAAGAAACCACTGCTTCATATTTGTGAAGCAGTGGTTTTTAGATTTTCCTGAGTCACAGACTCTTTTGAGAAACTGAAGTTATAGATTTCTTAAATGCAAAATGCTTTATGGCAGGCCAATGTGCAAATTACGTATATCAAAATGGCAAAGGAATATATTTGTATAGATATTTCCATGTGTATACATAAATAACAAATATTATAAGATCAATCCTAAAATAATGAGTTACTTATTTCCTGTTGGAAGGTTTTCAAGATTCCATCTTATTTTGATAATACATTTTATACGAAGTTCTGGCTCCCAAAATAAGAAACTCTATAGCATAATGAATGTAAACGAGTTCTGCAGAAAACCTGTTGAGTACAGAAAATCAACATTAATAAACTCAATTTGGTTTTAAATGCGTGTTATTTCAATGCAAAGTAATTAAGATTTTAAAATAAAATTTTCATATTATTTCTATCTTTCTTATAATTTATCTTTAGTACTTACAAATAATTTTGCTCATTATCAGTAAGTTCATTTTCTGTACATAAAGTAAATAAAATTGAGAAATTTTGATATCTTCAAACTTATTGTCTTTCAGTCCTACGGTTCCATCTTTATATTTTAAAACATTACCCAGTTGTCCTTCACATGAGGGACACAACCCTCTTGTCCTCTACTACCTCCTCTTGCAGATCTCAGACTTCCTGAAGGGCTCCTGTTTCTCCAGGAAGGTGGTGATCTCCACCTACCATCACTTTGAAAAGATGTTTTCTTGACTTGTTCTACTTTTATTGCTTTTCCATCCAAAGACCAAAAGTATTAACTGTCCTATCAATAACACTGTCACATTTAACCAAACACATTTTACAAACATTTTTGCATCCACTATATTTCAGTTCTAGATGTTTTCTCCCAAAGCAAATATATTTTTTTTCTGAAATGATGATGTCTTTCACAGTGCCAAATTTGAGATGTTTACTGACCACATACCTTCCATTAAGGGATCAAACACAAATTCTGTTATTCAAATTCCTTGAAAAGTTTTCCAGTATTAAAAACATCATCTCAAAAAAAATTAGCCCATCACCCATCTATGGGATAATGTAGCACATCTCTTTTTTCCAATGTATGATCTACTTCATCTTTGTAGTCACATCACTTATTTAATTGTTTCAGTGTCCCAAGGGTATATGTAATAATGTGTCATCTAATAAAAAGATTATTTATTCCAAGTGATTAGCCATATTATTCATTCTGAATTGTTTCTTGTTTGTTCTGCTAATACTTACATAAAATGTCCCAATATGATTTACAATTCTATATTTAGTCTAGTTCTGTTTCTGTAACTGTGATCCTTCCTTGGTCTCATTCAGATTTTTTGCCTTACTCATTTATTATCTTGCCTTAGAAGAGTCCCTAATAAATGACTCTTAATATAGTACTTCATGTTATTTCTCAGAAATGCTTAAATGTTCTAATTAATTTCATAATAACTTTCTTCAGTTTAATCTTTTCTATAGGCTAAGGTAATTTTTGAAAAAAAATGTCAGCAAAAATTGTATTTAAAAATGGCATTGCTTTGTTTTTGGGGGAAGATCTTAAATCCTTTCCAAGACCTCTTGCAGTTACATAGGCAGTCGTTTCAACCTTGGGACTTCTTTTGTTATTTCTGGGCCCAAAATATGTTCCCCAGATTTGCACATGACTGCTTCCTTCCCAGTATTCGGAAGTCAGCCAAACTTTCTTAAACTGTTCATTCCCCCTGAAACCTCTAAGTACTTCCTTTATTTCCATTCTTAACTTTTGTGTGCATATTACATTTATATTTGTTCTTACACAATAAGATATGTTAGATGAAGTAATTTAGAATTTCTACAGAAATCATCTGTTCTTGTGCTTGAAAACTTTGAGGAAAAAGAAATTATTACTATACATCAGTCAAAATTATTTCCATACCTAACACCAAACCATGAGCAACTTTCAGTTTCTACCCAAATTTAAAATATGAAAGTATAAAGGTGAATAAAAATGTACTTTCTTCGATGAACCAGGAAGTGTGCTAGATGTACCAGAAATAAAAGCAACTAGGAAAACTTAAATATGCACTAAAGACAATTATCAACAGATTAATACATGGTACAGTGAGGACAAAATACCCACAATATAAAATAAAGAAGAAAATGTAAAATCTAAGCTGTCTTTGAAGCATAAGTTGCTATTTGTGAGACATATGCCAGGAAGAATAACTCTTAAGAAGTCCGAAAAAGCATATTGGTGAAAGCATGAAGAGTAACGGGAACTAAAAAGAGACTGAGATGATGTTATAAAACAAAACAGCTCCAACGTACCCAGAATGCAATGATTTTGATGGTAATACAAAGGAATTCAGTAGGTAATAGAATTATAAAAAGGTTTACAGCTGTAATAAACACACAATCCCTAGAATTTAAGATTCAGTAAGACAGAGACAATTGGTTGGATCAAAATAAGTCCTCAAACACACTGGTAAAATGAGTCATTAGGTATTCATGTTACATAAATCACTCTGGTGACAGGATAAAAATGATTTTAGGAGAAAAAGAGCAAGGATGGGGCAGAAATGCCAGTTAGTAGTTCTGTTACCCAACTTCAATGTACTCATATTATTTTCTACTTTCAAGTACTTAACATTTCCTTAAATGTAAAGGTCTTGTTTAAATACACTTGCTTAAGAATGTACTTTCAGAAAATGAGAAAGAATCTTTCCTTCTTGTGAGTCGGTCTAGATGTCTCTCTGTATAAGATTTCCATCTTGTAAGTCCGTCTACCTGTCTATCCATAGTTTGTCTATGCTATAGAAGTATTTCCATGAATTGGAAGTAATTCCATTAATAGAATTTAATAAATGCTGATTTATTTATCTCACTTTTGTGAGGGTTCCTTCTAAGTTTTAAAGCTGCTTGAAAGCTTTGAAAATCTATTTATACTTGTATTTAAATACTAACATACAAATAAGATTACCATATATTGATTTATGTAACATTTATTCCAATATCCTTCCAACTACCGTTGCACTTAGATGACCAAAAGAAGAGGATGGCTAAAGCATTTCAGATCATATGACATTATGCTATCTTCAAAAGTTTAGTAATATGAAAAAGACCTTGAAATTCTGTTAAGTGAGGAACAGTTAGGATATTATTAATAAGGGACTCTTACGTTTCCCTTCATATCTTTGACAGCATTCTTAGCATCTGCAGGTTTTCAAAATAAGTACAAAGCATCTGAAGTTGCTGGTTTCCCAATCATTTATCAAAAGAACTAAAATATATGAAAACATTTTACATTTATATAATGGACTCACCATAGTACTAACAAACCAAAAAAATTGCATTTCACATCATTACTATGATTTTTAATACTAAGTCACCTCTGTATTCAGCCTATTTTATTCCAATTTGCTCCCTACCTCCACAACATATGTACTTTTGCTCAGTTTCCTTTCTCAGTAGTAGGTAACCTTTACCAAAGAACCTTCGCCTGCTGCCATAAGAATTTTCCCAGTATCGAAAAGAAACTTGAAAATAACACTTTAAAACAAATATATATTTTAATTTATGTATTCAGTAAATATACTGAGTATATATTTACTTTGGAAAATATATATATAACCAACACACACACACACACACACACACACACACACACATATATATATATATAACAGTTGCCTTCCAGTATGGGACCATATTTCCCAAATACTGCTTTAAGCATCTTTTCATTGGTTTCTAAACGGAGGCCACCAATGAAAAGCTTGCCAGGCTGATCTGATTCCACCATTTTGCTGTAAATGGTAAAAAATAAAAAATAAAAAAATAAAAAACTCTAGATAACAATAAATAAGCCAAAAGATAAAATTTTATTACATACTGTGTTGAAAACTCTAGGGAAATTCCCTTACGGAGGCTGACATCTTTCTACTATTTCTTAATTTAAGTAGTTAAAATTTGTAACATGCAGAGCGAAAGGGGCAGTGACTTCATGGACAAATGCTGCATTTTAATACGTACCTGACAAAAACTTGTTTGTAAAAATGAGATGAGAAAAGCTATTGTAATTTTCTTAAGCTGTAATACGCAGAATGCCCCATTTAAATAATTCTATTTGAAAACTATATATTTATACAGTACAATGTGATGTTTTGTGTTTTTTTTTTCTTGAGATGTCAATTTCCTATTGCCAATGTGCACTGCTCACTGCAGCCTCCTCTACCGAGCCTCAAGTGATCCTCCCACGTTTCAGCTTCCCAAATAGCTAGGACTACAGGAGATCACTATCACAGCTTGTAGGCATTTTTTTTGTGTGTTTCTTTAACAGACACGGTTTCCCCATGGTACCCAAGCTGGTCTCGAACTCCTGGGCTCAAGCGATCTTCTGGCCTGGTGCCACCAAGGTGATGAGACTTGAAGGGTGAATGTCCACGCCCAGCTTGATATTTTAATAAATGATTAAATCAAGTTAAATAAAATACATGCTTTCTTCGGGGAGAATATTTTAAATTGTTTGCAATATTTTAGTGATTTGAAATATACAATAGATCAGGGATCCCCAAACCCTGGTCTCCAACCGGTATCTGTCTGTGGCCTGTTAGGAACCTGGCTGCAGAACAGGTGGTGAACCTCTGGCACTGCCTGAGCCCCGCCTCCTGTCAGATCAGCGAAGACATTGGGTTCTCACAGGAGTAAGAGCCCTACTGTGAACTGCGCATACGAGGATCTAGGTGGCGCTCTCCCTAGAAGATTGTAATGCCTGAGTGTGACCTGAGGTGGAACAGTTTCATCCAGAATCCATCCTCCCTATTCCCCGCTGGCCTGCCCTGTCCCCCTCGCAGCCCCGCTGTCCCACCACTGCCCCCCGTCACACTGCTCTGGCCTGAAACCCCTTCCTACACTGTACTCCTCCTGGAACGGCCGCCCCCAACCTCCCCAAGGTGTCCACCTCACCACCTTCTCCCCCTGCTCTCCTCTTGTCTGTGGAAAAATGCCTTCCACTAAACCTGTCCCTGGTGCCAAAATGGCAATAAATTAAAGGAGCTCATTATATTATGCAGGATGGTCTCCAACTCGTGATTCCAAGCCATCCTCACACCTCCTCTTCCCAAAATAGTAGGATTACAAGAGTAAGTCAGTGTGCCAAGTTAGTAGAATAACTTAAACGCATTTATTTTTTCTCCGTTTTAGGATATCACCATTTATCTCGATTACACCCACTTATTCGGTTTAAATTACTTACGGTGCCAGAGATAAATGAAACATGTTTCAAATACTGTCATACAATGAAGGAGACAAAGGCTTTTCGGAGACAAATTTAAACTGAGATTATTTGTGGCCCCAGATTTCCTCATAACACTAAAGTAACGCAATTTGTCAAAAGTTCATAATTCCTCTCAAGCAAATCACAAATTTGACATGTGATGAGTAAAAGTACCAGTTTTTAATCAAATGGTTAAGTATATTGTCGATTTATTTGAATTATGACCACATTCACAGAGAAAAAACGCTTTAACAAAAAGTGCACATGAAAAAAATGGCGCCCTAGCTCCGTCTCCCACAGCTTGCTGGCATGTCGGAAATTTACGACGGTAAAGGGAAGAATCCTCAAGAAAAATCAGTGAGTTTAACAAAAGTGAGTTTCTTAATAGCACTAAGGAGTTCTCTCCCTACTGTTTCTTCCCATAATTCAACACCCACACATTGAAAACCCATCCTCCTGAATAGACAAAATCCAAAAACTTCAGGGTCTTTGTATTCATGCCAAGAAACGAATCTGTGCAAAGAAACATAAAATAAAGCTGCTTTTTGGTAGCACAAACTGATATCCAACACTTTCAGATATACAGTTGTACTCATAAACATAAGTCCACACCCAATAACAATTATAACATTTCTTAACATTTGCCAAAAAAAAAGCCTGAGAGAAATGGTCTTTACCACATTTCATCTATTTGCAGGAGATGACTTAGACATTAACTCTTTCTCCTGAGATAAAAACATGTCCACTCTGCTTAAATTTATGAATTTTTTACCTCATTTTCCTGATTTTCTGAGAACACCCGTACGCGACCCCCTGTCACCAGGGGCTGAAGGAACAGTAGAGGCTAGAGGCATACCCAGCTAAAAAGCTTAGAAACTCGGATGTACCACCCGCCGCGAGAGCCGCAGAGGAAGCAGGGAAAGAGGAGCATAACATAAATCAAAGGAAGGGTGGCCCAAGAAACTTCTGTATTTAAAAAAAATAAGGAAAGAAAATTAAAATGCCAAAATACGTTATACATTGTTTTCATTTTTTACTGTCTTCAACTGTGGTAGTCTGATCAACCTTAAAAGAAGTATTTTTATTATGAAATAGTCATCCATGTTTCATCCCCCTCTCAAATATTAGCAATAAGCTCACTCTACATGGTGTCTGCTTATTTTGTAAAATAATGCATAAAGGGGAAAAATAATAATTAAATTTAAAGAAGTTTACAAGAAGCAAGCAATAATGAGTAAAATAACATTAAAAGAAAGCGAGAAAAATAAATCAATTAGGAATGTAAAGTTTCCAAATCTTAATCTTGTATCTTCTCTTTTTGGTTGTCATATATATTTGGAGACCTTATTTTATTTGCTTAGTAGATAAATGCAGTGATTTGACCCAAACTACCAAAATTAAAAATATATATATACACACATAGGCAATTTCTCTGTCCTCAATTTGTGTATAATAAATAGCATTCTTCATTAACAGAGCTCTAGTAAAATAAATATTTTATTTATGTTCCTGAAAAAAATATTTTATTAGCTGAACGACTGTATTTTCCATGGTAAAATTATTTCATTCTATGAATTGTGTTGCAAAATAAAAGGTAACTTAAGAAAATACTTTTAAATATCTATGCAATGCAAACCAAACTTATTTTTCTGAGTTTGTCTATAAATTGTGCGTACCAGAATTTAAAAGAACATTTCTTTAAAAAGTGCTTACTTATAAGCCACATTTTAAGTGCTTTATATTAATTTAACAAATTAAAACCTATACATTGTATACTCACACTTATGAACTACTTAGTTCACAAAGTATACCATAACAATATAGAGCTGACTGTGTCTGCATAAATATTTTAATTTATCTTTTCAATATTTTCTTTTCTGATGAATAACCTAACAGCAAAAGCATGCTCTGAAGGTAAAGATATTCTTACATGTTTACGTATATTTTAGAAAAATGTTTCTTAAATTATGGCTACAAATCTATTGGCATTATTAGTTTCTTTCTTTTTTTATTACACTTTAAGTTTTAGGCTACATGTGCACAACGTGCACGTTTGTTACATATGTATACATGTGCCATGTTGGTGTGCTGCACCCATTAACTCATCATTTACGTTAGGTGTATCTCCTAATGCTATCCCTCCCCCCTCCCCCAACCCTCCACCCCACAACAGGCCCTGGTGTGTGATGTTCCCCTTCCTGTGTCCAAGTGTTCTCATTGTTCAGTTCCCATCTATGAGTGAGAACATGTGGTGTTTGGTTTCTGTCCTTGTGGTAGTTTGCTGAGAATGATGATTTCCAGCTTCATCCATGTCCCTGCAAAGGACAAGAACTCATCCATGTCCCTGCAAAGACATGAACTCATCCTTTTTTATGGCTGCACAGTATTCCATAGTGTATATGTGCCACATTTTCTTAATCCAGTCTATCATTGTTGGACATTTGGGTTGGTTCCAAGTCTGCTATTGTGAATGATGCCGCAATAAACATACGTGTGCATGTGTCTTTATAGCAACATGATTTATAATCTTTTGGGTGTATACCCAGTAATGGGATGGCTGGGTCGAATGGTATTTCTAGTTCCAGATCCCTGAGGAATCACCACACTGACTTCCACAATGGTTGAGCTAGTTTACAGTCCCACCAACAGTGTAAAAGTGTTCCTATTTCTCCACATCCTCTCCAGCACCTGTTGTTTCCTGACTTTTTAATGAACTCCATTCTAACTGGTGTGAGATGGTATCTCATTGTGGTTTTGATTTGCATTTCTCTGATGGCCCGTGATGATGAGCATTTTTTCATGTGTCTTTTGGCTGCATACATGTCTTCTTCTGAGAAGTGTCTGTTCATATCCTTCGCCCGCTTTTTGAAGGGGTTGTTTGTTTTTTTCTTGTAAATTTGTTTGAGTTCTTTGTAGATTCTGGATATTAACCCTTTGTCAGATGAGTAGATTGCAAACATTTTCTCCCATTCTGTAGGTTGCCCGTTTGCTCTTTTGGTAGTTTCTTTTGCTGTGCAGAAGCGCTTTAGTTTCATTAGGTCCCATTTGTGAATTTTGGCTTGTGTTGTCATTGCTTCTTGTGTTTTAGACATGAAGTCCTTACACATGACTATGTCCTGAATGGTATTGCCTAGGTTTTCTTCTAGGATTTTTCTGGTTTTAGGTCTAACATTTAGGTCTTTAACCCATCTTGAATTAATTTTTGTGTAAGGTGTAAGGAAGGGATCCAGTTTCCGCTTTCTATATATGGCTAGTTAGTTTTCCTAGCACCATTTATTAAATAGGGAATCCTTTTCCCATTTCTTTTTCTTTCTCAGGTTTGTCAAAGGTCAGATAGTTGTAGATGTGTGGCATTATTTCTGAGGTCTCTGTTCTGTTCCATTGGTCTATATCTCTGGTTTGGTACCAGTACCATGCTGTTTTGGTTACTGTAGCCTTGTAGTGTAGTTTGAAGTCAGGTAGCATGATGCCACCAGCTTTGTTCTTTTGGCTTAGGATTGGCTTGGCAGTGCGGGCTCTTTTTTGGTTCCATATGAACTTTAAAGTAGTTTTTTTCCAATTCTGTGCGGAAAGTCATTGGTAGCTTGATGGGCATGGCACTGAATCTGTAAATTACCTTGGGCAGTATGGCCATTTTCACGATATTGATTCTTCCTACCCATGAGCATGGAATGTTCTTCCATTTGTTTGTATCCTCTTTTATTTAATTGAGCAGTGGTTTGTAGTTCTCCTTGAAGTGGTCCTTCACATCCCTTGTAAGTTGGATTCCTAGGTATTTTATTCTCTTTGAAGCAATTGTGAATGGGAGTTCACTCATGATTTGGCTCTCTTTGTCTGTTATTGGTGTATAAGAATGCTTGTGATTTTTGCACATTGATTTTGTATCCCGAGGTTTTGCTGAGGTTGCTTATCAGCTTAAGAAGATTTTGGGCTGAGACAATAGGGTTTTCTAGATATACAATCCTGTCATCTGCAAACAGGGACAATTTGACTTCCTGATTTCCTAATTGAATACCTTTTATTTCCTTCTCCTGCCTGACTGCCCTGGCCAGAAATTCCTACACTATGTTGAATAGGAGTGGTGAGAGAGGGAATCCCTGTCTTGTGCCCGTTCTCAAAGGGAATGCTTCCAGTTTTTGCCCATTCGGTATGATATTGGCTGTGGGTTTGTCATAAATAGCTCTTATATTTCGAGATACATCTCATCACTACTGAATTTATTGAGAGTTTTTAGCATGAAGGGCTGTTGAATTTTGTCGGAGGCCTTTTCTGCATCTATTGGTATAGTCATGCGTTTTTTGTTTTTGGTTTGGTTTATATGCTGGATTACATTTATTGATTTGCATATGTTGAACCAGATTTGCATCCCAGGGATGAAGCCCACTTGATCATGGTGGATAAGCTTTTTGATGTGTTGCTGGATTCAGTTTGCCAGTATTTTATTAAGGATTTTTGCATCTGTGTTCATCAGGGATATTGGTCTAAAATTCTCTTTTTTGTTTGTGTCTCTGCCAGGCTTTGGTATCAGGATGATGTTGGTCTCATACAATGAGTTAGGGAGGATTTCCTCTTTTCCTGTTGATTGGAATAACTTCAGAAGGAATGGTACCAGCTCCTCCTTGAGCCTCTGGTAGAATTAGGCTGTGAATCCATCTGTTCCTGTATTTTTTCGCTTGGTAAGCTATTAATTGTCGCTCAATTTCAGAGCCTGTTATTGGTCTATTCAGAGATTCAGCTTCATCATTTTTCAGTCTTGGGAGGTGTATGTGTTGAGGAATTTATACATTTCGTCTTGATTTTCTAGTTTATTTGCCTAGAGGTGTTTATAGTATTGTGTGATTGTAGTTTGTATTTCTGTGGGATCGGTCGTGATATCCCCTTTATCACTTTTTATTGCGTCTATCGATTCTTCTCTCTTTTCTTCTTTATTAGTCTTGTTAGCAGTCTATCAGTTTCATTGATCTTTTCAAAAAAAAAACAGCTCCTGGATTCATTGATTTTTTTGAAAGGTTTTTTGTGTCTCTGTCTCCTTCAATTCTGCTCTGATCTTAGTTTTTTCTTGCCTTCTGCTAGCTTTTGAATGTGTTTACTATTGCTTCTCTAGTTCTTTTAATTGTGATGTTAGGGCGTCAATTCTAGATCTTTCCTACTTTCTCTTGTGGGCATTTAGTGCTATAAGTTTCTGTGTACAAAATGCTTTAACTGTGTCCCTGAGATTCTGGTATGTTGTGTCTTTGTTCCCATTGGTTTCAAAGAACATCTTTATTTCTGCCTTCATTTTGTTATGTACCCAGTAGTCATTCAGGAACAGGTTGTTCAGTTTCCGTGCAGTTGAGCAGTTTTGAGTGAATTTCTTAATCCTGAGATCTAGTTTGATTGCACTGTGGTCTGAGAGACAGTTTGTTATAATTTCTGTTCTTCTACATTTGCTGAGGAGTGCTTTACTTCCAACTATGTGGTCAATTTTGGAATAGGTGTGGTGTGGTGCTGAGAAGAATGCATAGTCTGTTGATATGGGGTGGAGAGTTCTGCAGATGTCTATTAGGTCTGCTTGGTGCAGAGCCAAATTCAATTCCTGGATATCCTTGTTAACCTTCTGTCTCATTGATCTGTCTAATGTTGACAGTGGGGTGTTAAGATCTCCCATTATTATTGTGTGAGGGTCTAAGTCTCTTTGTAGGTGTCTAAGGACTTGCTTTATGAATCTGGGTGCTCCTGTATTGGGTGCATATATATTTAGGATAGTTAGCTCTTCTTGTTGAATTCATCCCTTTACCATTATGTCATGGCTTTATTTGTCTCTTTTGTTCTATGTTGGTTTACGGTCTGTTTTATCAGACTAGGATTACAACCCCTGCCATTTTTTGTTTTCCCTTTTCTTGATAGATATTCCACCATCCCTTTATTTTGAGCCTATGTGTGTCTCTGCACGTGAGATGGGTTTCCTAAATACAGCACACTGATGGTTCTTGACTCTTTATCCAATTTGCCAGTCTGTGTCTGTTAATTGGAGCATTTAGCCCATTTACATATAAGGTTAATATTGTTATGTGTGAATTTGATCCTGTCATTATGGTGTTAACTGATTATTTTGCTCATTAGATGATGCAGTTTCTTTGTAGCATTGATGGTCTTCACAATCTGGCATATTTTTGCAGTGGTAGGTCCCAATTTTTCCTTACCATGTTGAGTGCTTCCTTCAGGAGCTCTTGTAGGGCAGGTCTAGTGCTGACAAAATCTCAAAGCATTTTCTTCTTTGTAAAGTATTTTATTTCTCCTTCACTTATGAAACTTAGTTTAGCTGGATATGAAATTCTGGGTTGAAAATTCTTTCCTTTAAGAATGTTGAATATTGGCCCCCATTCTCTTCTGGCTTGTAGAGTTTCTGCTGAGAGATCAGCTGTTAGTCTGATGGGCTTCCCCATGTGGGTAACCCGACCTTTCTCTCTGGTTGACCTTAACATTTTTTCCTTCATTTCAACTTTGGTGAATCTGACAATTATATATCTTGGAGTTGCTCTTCTCGAGGATTATCTTTGTGGCATTTTCTGTATTTCCTGAATTTGAATGTTGGCCTGCCTTGCTAGATTGGGGAAGTTCTCTGGGATAATATCCTGCAGAGTGTTGTCCAACTTGGTACCATTCTCCCCATCACTTTCAGGTACACCAATCAGACATAGATTTGGTCTTTTCACATAGTCCCATATTTCTTGGAGGCTTTGTTCATTTCTTTTTTTTTTTCATTATTATTATACTTTAAGTATTAGGGTACATGTGCACAATGTGCAGGTTAGTTACATATGTGTACATGTGCCATGCTGGTGTGCTGCGCGCATATACTCGTCATTTAGCATTAGGTGCTCCCCCTCCCCCCTCCCCCAACCCCACAAAAAGTCACCAGAGTGTGATGTTCCCCTTCCTGTGTCCATGTGTTCACATTGTTCAATTCCCACCTATGAGTGAGAATATACGGTGTTTGGTTTTTTGTTCTTGCAATAGTTTACAGAGAATGGTGATTTCCAATTTCATCCATGTCCCTAAAAAGGACATGAACTCATCATTTTTTATGGCTGCATAGTATTCCATGGTGTATAAGTGCCACATTTTCTTAATCCAGTCTATCATTGTTGGACATTTGGGTTGGTTCCAAGTCTTTGCTATTGTGAAGAGTGCCACAATAAACATATGTGTTCATGTGTCTTTAAAGCAGTATGATTTATAGTCCTTTCGGTATATACCCAGTAATGGGATGGCTGGGTTGCATGGTATTTCTAGTTCTAGATCCCTGAGGAATCACCACACTGACTTCCACAATGGTTCAACTAGTTTACAGTCCCACTAACAGTGTAAAAGTGTTCCTATTTCTGCACATCTTCTCCAGCACCTGTTGTTTCCTGACTTTTTAATGATCTCCATTCTAACTGGTGTGAGATGGTATCTCATTGTGGTTTTGATTTGCATTTCTCCAGTGGGCTTCATCCCTGGGATGCAAGGCTGGTTCAATATATGCAAATCAATAAATGTAATCCAGCATATAAACAGAACCAAAGACAAAAACCACATGATTATCTCAATAGATGCAGAAAAGGCCTTTGACAAAATTCAACAATGCTTCATGCTAAAAACTCCCAATAAATTAGGAATTGATGGGATGCATCTGAAAATAATAAGAGTTATCTATAACAAGACCACAGCCAATATCATACTGAATTGGCAAAAACTGGAAGCATTCTCTTTGAAAACTGGCAAAAGACAGGGATGCCCTCTCTCACCACTCCTATTCAACATAGTGTTGGAAGTTCTGGCCAGGGTAATTAGGCAGGAGAAGGAAATAAAGGGTATTCAATTAGGAAAAGAGGAATTCAAATTGTCCCTGTTTATGGATGACATGATTGTATATCTAGAAAACCCCATCATCTCAGCCCAAAATCTCCTTAACCTGATAAGCAACTTCAGCAAAGTCTCAGGATACAAAATCAATGTACAAACATCAGAAGCATTCTTATACACCAATAACAGTCAAACAGAGAGCCAAATTATGAGTGAATACTTATTCACAATTGCTTCAAAGAGAATAAAATACCTAGGAATCCAACTTACAAGAGACGTGAAGGACCTCTTGAAGGAGAACTACAAACCACTGTTCAATGAAATAAAAGAGGATACAAAGAAATGGAAGAACATTCCATGCTCATGGGTAGGAAGAATCAATATCGTGAAAATGGCCATACTGCCCAAAGTAATGTCTAGATTCAATGCCATCCCCATCAGGCTACCAATGACTTTCTTCACAGAATTGGAAAAAACTACTTTAAAGTTCATATGGAACCAAAAAAGAGCCCACATCGCCAAGTCAATCCTAAGCCAAAAGAACAAAGCTGGAGGCATCACGCTTTCTGACTTCAAACTATACTACAAGGCTACAGTAACCAAAACAGCATGGTACTGGTACCAAAACAGAGACGTAGATCGATGGAACACAACAGAGCCCTTAGAAATAATGCCACTTATCTATAACTATCTGATCTTTGACAAACCTGAGAAAAACAAGCAATGGGGAAAGGATTCCATATTTAATAAATGGTGCTGGGAAAACTGGCTAGCCATATGTAGAAAGCTGAAACTGGATCCCTTCCTTACACCTTATACAAAAATTAATTCAAGATGGATCAAAGACTTAAATGTTAGACCTAAAACCATAAAAAACCCTAAAAGAAAACCTAGGCATTACCATTCAGGACATAGGCATGGGCAAGGACTTCATGCATAAAACACAAAAAGCAATGGCAACAAAAGCCAAAATTGACAAATGGGATCTAATTAAACTAAAGAGCTTCTGCACAGCAAAAGAAACTACCATCAGAGTAAACAGGCAGCCTACAAAATGGGAGAAAATTTTCGCAACCTACTCATCTGACAAAGGGCTAATATCCAGAATCTACAATGAACTCAAACAAATTTTCAAGAAAAAAACAAACAACCCCATCAACAAGTGGGCGAAGGACATGAACAGACACTTCTCAAAAGAAGACATTTATGCAGCCAAAAAACACATGAAAAAATGCTCACCATCACTGGCCATCAGAGAAATGTTCATTTCTTTTCATACTTTTTTCTCTAAACTTCTCTTCTTGCTTCATTTCATTCATTTGAACTTCCATCACTGATACCCTTTCTTCCATTTGATTGACTCGACTACTGAAGCTTGTGCATTCATCACGTAGTTCTTGTGCCATGGCTTTCAGCTCCATCAGTTCCTTTAAGGACTTCTGTGCCTTGGTTATTCTAGTTAGCCATTTGTCTAATCTTTTTTCAAGGTTTCTAACTCCTTTGCCATGGGTTTGAACTTCCTCCTTTAGCTCAGAGAAGTTTGATCATCTGAAGCCTTCTTCTCTCTACTTGTCATGTCATTCTCCATCCAGCTTTGTTCCATTGCTGGTGAGGTGTTGCATTCCTTTGGAGGAGGAGAGGCACTCTGATTTTAGAATTTTCAGTTTTTCTGCTCTGTTTTTTCCCCATCTTTGTGGTTTTATCTACCTTTGGTCTTTGATGATGATAACGTACAGATGGGGTTTTGGTGTTGATGTCCTTTCTGTTTGTTAGTTTTCCTTCTAACAATCACCACCCTCAGCTGCAGGTTGGTGGAAGTTTGCGGAGGTCCACTCCAGACTCTGTGTGTGTGGGTATCAGCAGCGGAGACTGCAGAACAGTGGGTATTGGTGAACAGCAAATGTTGCTGCCTGATTGTTCCTCTGGAAGTTTTGTCTCAGAGGGGTACCTGACCACATGAGGGGTCAGTCTGCCCCTACTGGGGGGTGCCTCCCAGTTAGGCTACTCGAGGGTCAGGGACCCAGTTGCGGAGGCAGTCTGTCCGTTCTCAGATCTCAAGCTGCATTCTGGGAGAAGAACTACTGTCTTCCAAGCTGTCAGACAGGGACATTTAAGTCTGCAGGGGTTTCAGCTGCCTTTTGTTGGGCTATGCCCTGCCCCCAGAGGTGGAGTCTACAGAGGCAGGCAGGCCTCCTTGAACTGTGGTGGGCTCCATCCAGTTTGAGCTTCCCAGCCACTTTGTTTACCTGCTCAAGCCTCAGCAATGGTGGGAACCCCTTCCCCAGCCTCGCTGCTGCCTTGCAGTTTGATCTCAGACTGCTGTGCTAGCAATGAGTGAGGCTCCATTGGTGTAGGACCCTCTGAGCCAGGCACAGGTTATAATCTCCTGGTGTGCCATTTGCTAAGACCATTGGAAAAGTGCAGTATTAGGGTGGGAGTGACCTTGTTTTCCAGGTGCCCTCTGTCACCCCTTTCCTTGGCTAGGAAAGGGAATTCCCTGACCCCTTGAGCTTCCTGGGTGAAGCAATGCCTCACCCTGCTTTGGCTCCTGCTCAGTGCACTGCACCCACTGTCCTGCACCCACTCTCTGACAATCACCAGTGAGATGAACCTGGTACCTCAGTTGGAAATGCAGAAATCATCCACGTTCTGCATCACTCACGCTGGGTGCTGTAGACCAGAGCTGCTCCTATTTGGCCATCTTGTAACCACCCCCTGTTAGTTTCTTTCTTACCAAAACCCACTGTAGCATTTTCTTCTCATATTCTTTTTGTCACATTCTTAGCAGAAGAACATTGATTTGACTATGGCTCTCTCTACATTATTGTTACCCTTTTTCCATTTTGAACAGATAATTGTTCCCTTTGTATTCATTGATATTTACTTGATGGAATGCATTTATTAATGTTATATGTAACTGAGTAGTATATACTTAATTGTTAACTAATACAAATAATTAGTAAGTTAGCTAGTGAGACTACAGCACAGGAAAAATAGATATGTAAATTATACATTATGGTTGATGCCATAAGATGTATGAGAAAATGTCTCAGTATTTTTTTAAAAGAGGATACACATAATGTCATTTTCTAAATAATGATAAGGATCAACCTCTTTGATAAAATATCTACATATATTTTACACCAAGTTCATTTTTAGAAGTCCCATAACATTCGTATAATTTTTGTTAGGCCTAATTTGCAAAACAGGAAACTTAAGTTACAAGCCTTTAAAAGGTACACAGTTTTAGGAATCTATTACTAAAAAAATTGATTTAAACCAACAAACCTTCCCTCTATAAATATTTTCTTCTTAAAGAAAACTGTCTCTTATAAAGACATTGTAAAAAACAAGATTGAAAATGATTTTTAATCTATTACATATACTTCCAAGAAACATTTTCTAGGCAGAGATAAAACATGTGAAGATGAATGGAGTCATTATAATCCATGTGGTGGAAGGAAAAGCAAAAACACAAATACAGAATTATATTTACTGGGAGGATATGCAGAAACATGCAATGTTACAAGTAAAAATCTACTCGGTGGAATAACCTGCCTTTTTTTGTGATCAGTGAAATAGGACTAAATACACAAAGATCAAGGAATGTCACTAAATACACAAAGATCAAGTGGACACAGGGAGAGAGTGCAAGATCACGAAACATCTTGCTTGCCATGCAAATAGGCTACTTTTTTTAGGGCAGCGGTTAAAAATCATTTGACCAAAAGCTTGGTGTCTACCAGATGGTATAATGCATGTGGTGATTTGTACAATATAAAGTTTGGCAAACCAAGAAAAATCTAACCTTCACCACTTAATAGCTGTGTGAAGTTAGACTGCTTAATCTTTGAAATTTACCCAATCAGCAAAGAGAATATAATAACGGTATCTACTGGATATTAGTATCATAAGATTAAAATTTACTGAGCTCACTATGTGCAACATAGTTTAGGGCTAAAAAATCTATAGAATTGTAATTACATTTATATTCAGTGAGACCTAGAGGTTTACTTGCAATCCTGCTTTCCTTAGTGACTGGTCAAAGCTACACAAAATATATTTAAAAAATTGTGTTGCTTCTGATGTTTCACATCAAGTAAAACACCCAATTGTTTAATTATATTATTATATACTTACACTTAGACATGCCTAAACAAGGAAGACAAGGAAATGAAGAAACACACATGCATGAGTACACACACACATACACACACACACACACACACACACACACACATTGAAAGAATAACAAGAGAATAATTTAACAAGAGAAAGAAACATGAAAGAATTATAAGAAATCTTTGCACTATTATAGTGATGTGGAAAATAAGATGACAGATAATTTCAGAAAACACATGATTTATCAAGAATTGTTTGGAAAGAAAAACCCTATCTGTAGGCCCAGGTTGTTGGCTTAAGCCTGTAATTCCAGCACATTGGGAGGCCAAGGGGAGCCAGATGACTTGAGGCCAGGTGTTCCAGGCCAGCCTGGGCAAAAAGGTGAAACTCTGTCTCTACCAAAAACACATACAATTAGCTGGGAGTAGTGGCATGAGACTGTGGTCCCCCCTACAGGTGGTGAGCTGGGAGAATCCTTTACACCCAGGAGGTGGAGTTTGTACTAAGCGAAGATCATGCCACTGCACTCTGGACTGGGTGATACAGCATGACCCAGTCTCAAAAACAAAACAAAACAAGTAAACACACTAAATACCAAACTCATATATAATGAATCCTAGGGAATAAACCTGAAAAACCTGCTTAGGCATCACTATTTTGCTGACAAATTATTCCTTCTTCATTTCCCTTTTTTCTTTTTCTTTTTTCCTTCCCTTCCCTTGTCTACTCTTTCTTTTCCTTTCTCCCTTCCTTCCTTCTTTTCTTCTTTTGTTTGCTCTTTTTTTTTTTTTTTTTTTTTGAGACAGGGTCTCTGTCCCCGGGCTGTAGTGCAGTGGTTCCATCATAGCTCACTGCAGCCTCCCAATTCCAAGTCTCACGTATCCTTTTCCTTTGCCTCCCCAATAGTTAAGACTAAGGGAATGAGCATATGAAAGGATGATAACCATCATATATTATTGGGTAGTTGTGAATGTGATAATAAATTAAACATTAAATAGCAAAAATTCTAAAAACTGATAACAGCAAATTTAGAAGAATGTCTGGTAGGCTTTGTTTTGTTTTAACAAAACTAAACACTCTCTCAATCTCATCCAGCGGTCTTGCTTCTTGGAATTTTTCCAACTAAACTAAAAACATGTTTACATCAAAATTTGCATATGGACATGTTGTATAGTAGTTAAGTGGATAAACTGTGGTTTATGGACTATTTATCTAACACTGTTCAGCACTGAAAAAAATGAGCTTTCAAGTCATGAAAAGACATGGAAGGAAATTAAATGTATATTTACAAGTGAAATAAGCAAATCAGAAAATGCTACACATATTATTTCAAATATATGGCAATCTAGAAAAAAATTATTGAAGAAGTAAAAAGATTAGTGGTCACAATGATTTACAAGGGAGAGTACAATAAATAGGCACAACTCAGGTAATTATTAGAGTATACAATACTGAAACTATTCTACATAATACTATAATTTTGGATATATTTTATTACATGTTTGTCAAAACTCATAGAATGTGCAACAGTAAAAATGAGTCCTAATGTAAATTGCAGATATTGAATGATAAAGTGTTGATGTAGGTTTATGAATTGTAACAAACATACCAGTCTCATTAGAGATATTGATAGTGGGGAAGGTTGTACATGTGGGCACAGGGTGTAAGGGAGCTTTCTTTACTTGCTTCTCAATTTTGTTATAAGGCTAAAACTACTCTACTAAGATTTATTGATTTAAAAGCCTCAGTAATTAAGATCTGTATTTCAGAGCAATCGTCATAAATAATTATTAATAAAAATTAAATGTTGGACAAAATATTTTATGGAAAGATAAGATCAGTATCAATATGAATGCTATGCTAAGGAATACTGAAGCATTAAGCAAAATAAAGAATCAATAATGTGCCATCTTTAAAAATATTATAATACTTTTTTATGATTATGCATTATTTTGGATTATGAAAACATTGCATTAAAAAGTATTCTTAGTGTTGATTGTTGAATTTTTTGGTGACCTTTAACTTTTGCATTTAAAGTAATTGTATTCACTTCATCTGCTTAATTTGTAGTTTACTAAATCTTGGAATGGAATAGTAGACACAATGCAGGAGAGGCAAGCCGCAAACAGAGCTAAGCCTCCTGGTTTCTTGGCTTTGTTCAGGAAAGAATTCAATGTCAAACCAGAAGTAGAAAAAAAAAATAGCTTAGCTGATGATGAGAGGTGATAATGTGCTAGCAGCCCTCGCTTGCTCTTGGTGCCTCCTCGGCCTCGGAGTCTGCTCTGGCTGTGCTCCAGGAGCCCTTCAGCCTGCCACTGCACTGTGGGGGCCCCTCTCTGTGGCTGGCTGAGGGTGGAACCAGCTCCCTCTGCTCACGGGGAGGTGTGGAGGGACAGGTGCCAGTGGGAGCCAGGACTGTGCATGGCACTCCTGGGCTGACATTGGTTCCATGTGGGTGCAGGCTGGGTGGGCCCCACACTCAGCGAAGCTGGCCAGCACCTGCTGGGCTTGATCAGAGGATGAGCTCCCTCTGGGCTGCTGGAGTGCCTGGGCTAGATGCCACAAAGTCCCCAGTGAGTTCCATTGAGAGGTGAAGCCAGCTGGGCTTCTGGGTCAGATGGGGACTTGGAGAACTTTTCTGCCTAGCTTAAGGATTGTAAATGTGCCAATCAGCACTCTGTGTCTAGCTAAAGGTTTGTAAATGCACCAATTAGAGCTCTGTGTCTAGCTAATCTGGTGGCAACTTGGAGAACTTTTGTATCTAGCTAAAGGATTGTAAATGCACCAATCAGCACTCTGTCTAGCTAAGTTATTGTAAATGCACCAATAAGCACTCTGAGAAAACCGACCAATCAGCTCTCTGTGAAATGGACGAGTGAGCTCTATGTGAAATGAACCAATCATTAGGATGTAGGTGGGGCCAGATAAGGGAATAAAAGCAGGTCACCCGAGCCAGCAGTGGCAATCCACTCAGGTCCCCTTCCATGCTGTGGAAGCTTTGTTCTTTCGCTCTTTGCAATGAATCTTGCTGCTGCTCCTTACTTGGGCCCACATCACCTTTATTAGCTCACCGTGAAGGTCTGCAGCATCACTCCTGAGGCCAGTGAGATCATGAACCCACCACGAGGAATTAACAACTCCAGACAAGCTGCCTTTAAGAGCTGTAACAGTCTCCGCGAAGGTCTGCATCTTCACTCCGGAAGTCAGTGAGACCACCAGAAGCAAGAAACTCTGGACACATCTGAACATCTGAAGGAACAAACTCTAGACACACCATCTTTTAGAACGGTAACACTCACCACTAGGGTTGGCAGCTTCATTCTTGAAGTCAGTGAGACCAACAACCCATCAATTCCAGACGCATTTTGGCAATCACAAAGGTACTATCGCCTATCACCAAGCAGTGAGACTATCAGCAAGTGGTAAGACCATCGCCTATTGGTGAGATCATCACCTACTGCCAAGTGGTGAGTACCATCAGACCCCTTTCTCTTGCTATTATGTGCTATTTTTCCCTAGAATTCTGGGGCTAAATATTGGGCACCTTTCGGCCAGTTAAAAGCAACTAGCGTGGCTGCTGGACTAAAGACACGGGTGTCAGCCTTTCTGAAAAGGGCTCTCTAACAACCCCCGACTCTTTGGAGTTGGGAGCGTTGGTTTGCCTCAAACCAGCTTCCACTTTTCCTGTAATTCTGGGCCAAGCCAAGGGTTGACAGAGAGGAAAGCCATTCGGCTCCAGGGTCCTGACAACAAGTTGGTTGACCCTGCAGCCATGAGCAGAACTCTCAAAGGCATGTTGCCCAAGAGAGACTCGTCCATCTATCCTATCTATCTTGACACTTGCCCCTGGGTCCTAATGCCTGCCAGACAAACTTCCTCTTGCCACTTTTCTCTGAGGCTAGCCCCACTTCTAAAAACCATTCCCTGTCTCTGGTGCTTCCTTAGTTTCTGCTATAATATGATTTCTAGTGTAAGCTTCAGGACTCTGTTACCTTCCTCAGGCACCTGGGCTCACCAATCAGAAAAACATATTTTTTGCCCAAAGCCCCATTGCAGGGGGAAATATCTGGAATTTTAGGATCCCACCTCAGACTAGCAGGCCTAACAAAAGCTATTGCTGAAGCTAGGATATGGGGAGCCTCAGAAATTGTATCCTTCTTATTCACATAAGTGAGGACAAAAGGTGTCACACTTCCAAACCTGGAGATCATTTCCTTCCCTCAGGTTATGGACCTCCACTTCTTTTTTGGGGCATAATATCTTTATAGGACACAGATAAGGTCCCAGTACTAAGAGGAGAATGCTTAGGACTCTAACAGGTTTTTGAGAATGCATCAGTAAGGGCCACTAAATCCAATTTTTTCTGGTCCTCCTTGTGGTCTAGGAGGACAGGCAAGGGTGCAGCTTTCCCAAAATGCATCAGAAAGGGCCACTAAATCTGACCTTCTTCACTCCTCCTTGTGGTCTTGGAGGAAAACTAGTGTTTCTGCTGCTGCATTGGTGAGTGCAACTATTCTGATCAGCAGGGTCCAGGGACTGTTGTGGGATCTTGAGCAGGCATTGTCCCTCCTGCTGCATCAGTGAGCACAACTATTCTGATCAGCAGTGTCCAGGGACCATTGTGGGTTCTTGGGCAGGGGGAGAAACAAAACAGAACAAAACCATAGGCAGTTTTGCCTTTCAGATGGAAAACACTCCGGCATCAAGAGGTTCACCCTTGAAATGCATCCTAAGCCAATGGTACCAATTTGACACACCAATCCTGAAAAGTAGGTGGCTCATTTTTTTCTGCACTTTGGCTTGCCCCAATATTCTCCCTCTGATGGGGAAAAATGGCCACCTGAGGGAAGTACAAATGACAATACTATCCTACAGCTTGACCTCTTTTGTAAGAGGGAAGGCAAATGGAGTGAAATGCCTTATGTCCAAGCTTTCTTTTCATTGAAGGAGAATACACAACTATGCAAAGTTTGCAATTTACACCCCACAGGAGGACATTTCAGCTTACCCCCATATCCTAGCCTCCCTACAGCTCCCCTTCTTATTAATGATAAGCCTCCTCTTATCTCCCCTGCCCAGAAGGAAATAAGCAAAGAAATCTCCAAAGGACCCCAAACCCTCCAGACTATCAGTTATGCCCCCTACAAGCTCTAGGGGAAGGGGAATTTGGTCCAACTCAGATACATGTACCCTTCTCCCTCTCTGACTTAAAGCAGACCAAGGCAGACCTGGGGAAGTTTTCAGATGATCCCGATAAGTACATAGATGTCCTACAGAGTCTAGGGCAAACCTTTGACCTCGCTTGGAGAGATGTTATGCTACTGTTAGGCAAAAGCCTGGCCTTTAATGAAAAGAATGTGTCTTTAGCAGCAGCCCGAGTTTGGAGATACCTGGTATCTTAGCCAAGTAAGTGATAGAATGACAGCTGAAGAAAGGGAAAAAATCCCTACCAGTCAGCAAGCCATCCCCAGTATGGATCCCCACTGGTATCTTGACTCAGATCAGGGGGACTGGAGTCGTAAACATCTGTTGACCTGTGTTCTAGAAGGACTAAGGAGAATTAGGAAAAATCTCATGAATTATTCAATGATGTCCACCATAACTCAGGGAAAGGAAGAAAATCCTTCTGCCTTCCTTGAGTGGCTATGGGAGGCCTTATGAAAATATACTCCCCTGTCACCCGAATCACTTGAGGGTCAATTGATTCTAAAAGATAAGTTTATTACCCAATCAGCCACAGATATCAGGAGAAGGCTGCAAAAGCAAGCCCTTGGCCCTGAACAAAATCTAGAGGCATTATTAAACCTGGCAACCTCCATGTTCTATAATAACGACTAAGAGGAACAGGCCCAAAAGGAAAAGCAGGATCAGAGAAAGGCCGCAGCCTTAGTCATGGACCTCAGACAGACAAACCTTGCTGGTTCAGAGAGGACAGAAAATGGAGCAGGCCAATCACCTGGTAGCGGTTGTTATCAGTGTGGTTTACAAGGACACTTTAAAAAAGATTGTCCAATGAGGAACAAGCCACCCCGTAATCCATGTCCGCTATGCTGAGACAATCACTGGAAGGTGCACTGCCCCAGAGGACAAAGGTTCTTTAGGTCAGAGGCCCCCAACCAGATAATCCAACAACAGGAATGAGGGTGCCCTGGGCAAGTGTCAGCTCACGTTGCGACCCTCACTGAGCCCTGGATATGCTTAACCATTGGTGGCCAGGAAATTGACTTCCTTCTGGACACTGGTGCAGCCTTCTCAGTGGTAATCTGCTGTCCTGGATGACTGTGCTCAAGGTCCGTTACCATCCAAGGAATCCTGGGACATCCTGTAACCAGGTATTTCTCCCACCTCCTTAATTGTAATTGGGAGGCTGCTCTTTTCACATGCCTTTCTTGTTATGCCTGAAAGTTCTGCACCCTTACTAGGGAGGGATATATTAGCCAAAGCTGGAGCCATTATCTACATGAATATGGGGAGTAAATTACTCATTTGTTGTCCCCTACTTGAGGAGGGAATCAACCCTGAAGTCTGGGCATTGGAAGGACAATTTCGAAGGGCAAAATATGTTCACCCAGTCCAAATCAGGCTAAAAGATCCCACCACTTTTCCTTGTCAAAGGCAATATCCCTTAAGGCCTGAAGCTCATAAAGGATTACAGGATATTGTTAAACATTTAGAAGCTGAAGGCTTAGTAAGGAAATGCAGCAGTCCCTACAACACCCCAGTTCTAGGAATACAAAAACCAAATGGTCAGTGAAGATTAGTGCAAGATCTTAAACTCATCAATGAGGCACTAATTCCTCTATATCCGGTTGTACCCAAACCCTATACCCTGCTCTGTCAAATACCAGAAGAAGCAGAATGGTTCATTGTTCTGGACCTCAAGGATGCCTTCTTCTGTATTCCCCTGCACTCTGACTCGCAGTTTCTCTTTGCCTTTGAGGATCCTGCAAGATCACACATTCCAACTTACATGGACAGTCTAGACCCAAGGATTTAAAGATAGCCCTCATCTGTTTGATCAGGCACTGGCCCAAGATCTAGGCCACTTCTCAAGTCCAGGCACTCTGGTCCTTCAGTATGTGGATGATTTATTTTTGGCTACCATTTCAGAAGCCTCATACCAGCAGGCTACTCTAGATCTCTTGAAATTTCTAGCTAATCAAGGATACAAAGTGTCTAGGTCAAAGGCCCAGCTTTGCCTACAGCAGGTCAAATATCTAGGCCTAGTCTTAGCCAGAGGGACCAGGGCCCTCAGCAAGGAATGAAGACAGCCTATACTGGCTCATCCTCACCCTAAGACCTTAGAACTGTTATGAGGGTTCCTTAGAGTCACTGGCTTTTGCTGACTATGGATCCCCAGAAACGGCAAGTTAGCCTGGCCCCTCTATACTCTAGTCAAGGAGACCCAGAGAGCAAATGCTCATCTAGTAGAATGGGAAGAAGAGGCAGAAATAGTCTTCAAAACCTTAAAGCAGGCCCTAGTACAAGCTCCAGCTTTAAGCCTTTCCAAAGGATAAAACTGCTCTTTATACATCACTGAGAGCAGGGATCACTCTTGGAGTCCTTACTCAGACTCGTGGGACAACCCCACAACCAGTGGCATATCTAAGTAAGGTAATTGATGAAGTAGCAAAAGGCTGGCCTCACTGTTTATGAGTAGTTGCAGTGGTGGTGGTCTTAGTGTCAGAGGCTATCAAAATAATACAAGGAAAGAATCTCACTGTCTGTACTGCTTATGATGTAAATGGCATACTAGGTACCAAAGGAAGTGTATGGCTATAAGGAAACTGCCTACTTAGACATCAGGTGCTACTCTTTGAGGGACCAGTTCTTCAAATACATATGTGTGTGGCCCTCAACCCTGCCACTTTTATCCCAGAGGATGGGGACTCCATCGAGTATGACTGCCAACAAATTATAGTCCAGACTTATGCCACCTGAGATGATCTCTTAGAAGTCCCCTTAGCTAATCCTGACCTTAACCTATGTACCGATCGAAGTTCATTAGTGAAGAACAGGATATGAAGGGCAGGTTATGCTATAGTTAGTGAACTAACCTTACTTGAAAGTAAGCCTGTTTCTGCAGGGTCCAGTGCCCAGTTAGCAGAACTAATGACACTTACCCGAGCCTTAGAACTGGGAAAAAGAAAAAGAGTAAATGTGTACACAGATAGCAAGTACGGTTATCTAATCCTACATGCCCATGCTGCAATATGGAAAGAAAGGGAGTTCCTAACCTCTGTGAGGACCCCCATTAAATACCACAAGGAAATTATACAGTTATTGCATGCAGTGGAAAAACCCAAAGAGGTGGCAGTCTTACACTGCCAAAACCATCAGAAAGGTGAAGGAGAAAAGTCAGAAGGAAACTGTTGGTTTGATTCTGAGGCCAAAATTCCTGCCAGGCAGAATCCCCCTTTAGAAATACCTATGGAAGGACCCTTAGTATGGAACAAACCCCCACCAAGAGATTAAGCCTCAGTATTCCCCACCTGAAGCAGAGTGGGGAATTTCATGGGGGCATAGTTTTCTCCCCTCAGGTTGGCTACAGAAGAAGGAAAGGTACTTATACCCAAAGCCAGCCAGTGGAAAATACGTAAAACCCTCCACCAAACTTTACATATGGGTATTGAAAACACTCATCAAATGGCCAAATCCCTATTTACAGGGCCAAATCTTCTCCAAACCATCCAACAGGTAGTCAAAGCCTGTTAGGTGTGCCAAAGGAATAATCCCTTCATCCATAGTAAGACCCCTTTGGGAGAGCAAAGAATAGGTCACTATTCTGGAAAGGACTGGCAGTTAGATTTCACCCATATGCCTAAGTCAAAGGGATTTCAATACTTGTTGGTCTGTGTTGATGCCTTTACAGATTGGATAGAAGCTTTCCCCTGCAAGACAGAGAAGGTTTAGGAAGTGATTAAACTCCTAATTCATGAAATAATTTCTATATTTGGGCTTCCCCAAAGCTTACAGAGTGAAAATTGTCTGGCTTTTAAGGCTGCGATAACTCAAGGAATTTCCAGGGTGCTAGCGATACAATATCACCTTCACTGTGCCTGGAGGCCACAATCCTCAGGGAAGGTCAAGAAGGCAAATGAAACACTTAAGAGACACTTAAGGAAACTAACACAAGAAACACATCTCCCATGGCCTAGCTATTTTGACCATTGCCTTGTTGAGAATCCGAAATTCTCCTCACAAAATGGGGCTCAGTCCATATGAAATGCTGTATGGACGATCTTTTCTCACAAAAGACCCCCTACTGGATCAGGAAATGGCCTACTTGGTCAAAGATATAACTTCTTTGTCAAAATATCAACAAAACCTTAAAAACCTACCTGAAGGATGTCACAGAGAAAAGGGAACAGAGTTGTTTCAACTCTTTGTGGGAAGGACCATACTCGGTAATCCTCTCTACTCTCACTGCGATTAAGGTGGCAGGAATGGAAACTTGGATTACCACACCTGAGTTAAACTTTGGACGTCCCCTGAGGAACCTGTGGAACCGTCAGCTCAGGAGTCCCAAGATCAGCCAGACCAGCCTCGATACACCTGTGAACCATTGGAGGACTTGCATCTTCTATTTCAGAAGGAAACATCCCACACTAAAAAGGCTCCTACCACTGATCCTGAGGAAAAACTCCTTCCTGCTTAAAAAAGATAAGTGAAAACAACACACTAACCATACTCTTTGTGATAGGATTATATACTCTAGCTCCTGCCAGTACGAAAATGCTAATCACATCAACCTTCCATCTTTCTTCTTTTAACAGCAATTTACTCCTACCTTTAACTCAGACTCGAGAAAATGATCTCTTCTTCCAGAGCATCCTCTTTACCTTCCTATTTGCTCTTTGCCTATGCATCCCTCCTGCTTCCTTGGATACCTCATATAATCACCCCTCCCCTTCCACTTTTTCCTAATTTCCTCTACAAGACTCTCAACTTAACCCAGTCTCTGTTAAACCAGTCCAGTCCTTCCCTGGCAAATGACTGTTGGCTTTGTGTCTCCCTATCAACCTCTTCTTATGTTGCCACTCCCATTCCTGCCAAAAATTGCATCTTTACCAACTTAACCTACCACCCTTGTTATGAAGGAAAAGACCCTTTCTGACTTCTAAATATGCAATCGTTAGCCAACTTCCCCATCTCTGATAGGATCAAGAATACCCTAACAGGATGTGCAATCCAACTTTTACGTTCTTAGATTTCCAACCACACCTATTATGCAAGCAATGAAAAGCCCATACATGGCCCTGTAGCTATGAATACTATCTTAACTTTCCAAGCTCCTTTATGCAGCCAATGCAACCTCTTATGAGCCTGCCCCTGGGGCACCTACTACCCCATCAGTGTAATTACACCCTACAACTTCAAGCCCCAACTGATCATAGTAACCCAAACAGCTCCATTCAGACAGCTTGTCTGCTTCTCAGGGCCCCAAAATCATCACTGCCTCCCTGCTTAACAAACGGTCCAGGTCTTGTAATGGCAAACATACTCCCTGCATGATCATTCACCCCTGGGCCCCCTGCAGCAGTGCCCCCACCACTAGTGAATGCCTTCTCATCCCCTCTTTCAATCACTCTCTCAAATTGTTCCTAGTGGATACAAAACGTTTTTTTCTCCAATGGGAAAATAGAACACAGGGAGCCATTCAGTTTTCTCCCAACACCCCTTGCCAGCCAGTCACTGGAGCTACCTTGGCAAGTACTCTAGGAGTATGGGAAAAAGAAAACAACAAATTCACACACCTTTTTAACATACACAACCAGTTCTGTCTACCCAGCCAAGGTATATTCTTCTTATGTGGAACATCGACCTATATCTGCCTCCCCACTAAGTGGACAGACAGCTGCACTTAGTCTTTCTAACTTCCAACATTAACATTGCCCCAGGAAATCAAAACTTATCAGTACCCCTCAAAGCTCAAGTCCATCAGCACAGGGCCATACAACAAATACCACCTACTTATAGGGTTAGGAATGGCTACTGCTACAGGAACCAGAAGAGCCAGTATATCTACTTCATTATCCTACTACCACATACTCTCAAAGGATTTCTCAGGCGGTTTGTAAGAAATAACGAACCTATCCTTACTCTGCAATCCCAAATAGACTCTTTAGCTGCAGTGACTCTCCAAAACCGCTGAAGCCTAGACCTCCTCACTGCTGAGAAAGGAGGACTCTGCACCTTCTTAGGGGAAGAGTGTTGTTTTTACACTAAGCCATCAGGGATAGTACGAGATGCCACCCAGCATTTATAGGAAATGGTTTCTGAAATCAGACAATGCCTTTCAAACTCATACCAACCTCTCTAGTTGGGCAACATGGCTTCTCCGCTTTCTAGGTCCTGTGGCAGCCATCTTGCTTTTACTCGCCTTTGGACCCTGTATTTTTAACCTGCTTCTCAAATTTGTTTCCTTGGAATTGAGGCCAAGAAGCTACAGATGGTCTTACAAATGGAAACCCAAATGAGCTCAACTAACAACTTCTACTGAGGACCCCTGGACCAACACGCTGGCCCTTCCACTGGCCTAAAGCGTTCCCCTCTGGAGGACACTACAACTGAAGGGCCCTTTCTTCACCTCTATCCAGCAGTGAGTAGCTAGAGTGGTCATTGGCCAAATTCCCAACAGCAGTTGGGGTGTCCTGTTTAGAGGGGGGATTGAGAAGTGACAACATACTAGCAGCCCTCGCTCGCTCTTGGTGCTTCCTTCACCTCAGCATCCGCTCTGGCTCTGCTTGAGGAGCCTTTCAACTGGCCACTGCCCTGTGGGGGCCCCTCTCTGGGGCTGGTTGAGGCTGGGACTGGCTCCTTCTGCTGGCCTCCTGTCTAGCTAAAGGATTGTAAATGCACCAATCAGTGCTCTGTATCTAGCTAAAGGTTTGTAAACACATCAATCAGCGCTCTGTGTCTAGCTAATCTGGTGGGGACTTGGAGAACTTTTCTGTCTAGCTAAAGGATTGTAAACACACCAATCAGCACTCTGTGTCTAGCTAAAGGATTGTAAACGCACCAATCAGCAGGCTGTCAAAATGGACCAATCAGCTCTCTGTAAAATGGACCAACCAGATGTCTGTAAAATGGACCAATCAGTAGGATGTGGGTGGGTCCAGATAAGGGAATAAAAGCAGGCCACCTGAGCCAGCAGTGGAAGCCTGCTCGGGTCCCCTTCCATTCTGTGGGAGCTTTGTTTTTTCACTCTTCACAATAAGTCTTGCTGTTGCTCACTCTTAGTGTCTGTGCCACTTGTATGAGCACCACGAAGGTCTGCAGCTTCACTCCTGAGGCCAGTGAGACCATGAACCCACCAGAAGGAAGAAACTCCAGACACATCTGAACATCTGAAGGAAAAAACTCCAGACACACCATCTTTAAGAACCGTAACACTCATCGTGAGGGTTCGCGGCTTCATTCTTGAAGTCAGCAAGACCAAGAACCTACCAATTCCGGACACAATGAGACAGAATTACAGCTCTTGCAGTGTTACAGCTCTGTGACTCGTCTTTCAGAACAGGGTTACACCATAGCAAGAGAGGAACAGGTCAGGGATATTTTGCAGTCATATTTATATTTGCTTTTAAATGCATGGATTATTGCAGAAGTGCAGAAATTTATAGGGAAGGGGTGGTAATCATTGGATCATTGCCATAGAAGGGTGGTACCTCCTGTGTGTTGTAGCGGCAATGGTAAAATGACACGGCAGACTGGTGGGCATGTCTGGTTGAAAACTCCTTCTGCCTAGTCCCTGTTTTAGTTAGTCCTCAATCTGGATCCTATGTGAGCCCTACCCCTGGAGTTGAGTCCCACCTTCAACCTCATTCTCCACTCAGACATTAACTACTTTCCCTTAATCTTAAGGGGGCTGCAGGAGGGAGGAGGTCCATGCACTGTAACTGCTTCCTGCTGAGTCATGAGCATTGGCCTTGCCTAGCACTAGAGAAGTAAATTTCTCTGGATGCATGAGCTAAAGGGGAGAAACAACATTATAATTCTCCAGGTCAGTACATAAGATAACTCAAAAGCCTTAAGCCAGCGTTGTTTTCACCTGGAAATATAGTAATCTACAAGATACAAACCTTACTATGAGGCTAAACAAACAAGTAAATAAATTAGTAACAATACAGCTGTCAAGGGTCCTAAGATAGATTTTAAAAAGGTGGAAAAAGAGAGAAATACCCTTCTTCACAGAAAATTGTGAAACTGACAATGATACCCTTCCTCTTCTAGAAAATTCAGGAGCTCAATTGTGTTTTTCTCAGTCTTCCCTAGTAGGAAGACCCTCTATTCCCACTGGCAGCATTATGTTGCCAATTCTGGATGAATGACTGTTGATACTTTTAAGTAGGTAGTGGCGATCTTCCAAAAATTTAGATTTAGGTTACAGTGTCCTCCATTTGTGCCTGCAACTTATAAGAAACAGGTTTAATCCTGGACAATTGTATCCAACTAGGTATGCCCTAAAGTTTAAAAGGACTGGGATAGTCAACAACACCTGATAGGGGCCCTTCTGTTTTGGTTGTAATTGATTCTCAGGGGATGCTTCTTTCAAAATGTTTACAAAGTTTCATGATTGAATAGGAGGCCAGTTAATTGTGTTGTGAGAGGGGACAATACTTTTTGTCCATAGGCTTGGAGGAGTTTTCTAACCTGGCTTAAGTTGACAATATGTGTCAACTTATGAGTTAACTATGTATCTCTTTATTAAGCAGGAGACCCCAAGCTAAACATGGCCTCACATAACTCGCCTCAAGTGGATTTTTTGGGAAGTATTTTAAGGGTCATTCCTATGTGTATAAAGACTATGGCTAAGAGAGGAACCTGGGTCTCTGAGGTCTCCTGACATGACTTAGCTAATGTCTTTTCAAAACATGATTAGATTTTTCTATTTTACCTGAGGATTGAGTACTCCATGGGGAGTGAAGGTGATAGGTAACGTCTAAAGCTGAATGCAATCTATTGGGTCACTCTAACTGTGAAGGTAGTTCCATTATCGCTCTGCAGACTTTCAGGTAATTGAAACTTTACAGTTGATCTTATTAAGTAAAAATTTGGACACTCATAATGCCTTCTCTGTCCTTGTGGGAAAAGCCTCAATTCACTTGGTGAAGGTGTCTATAAAAACAGGCAAATGTTTCCTTCACCTGTATGGTTGTATCTGATAAAACCCTATTTGCTGACTGGGCTTGGTGGCTCACACCTGTAATCCCAGCACTTTGAGAGGCCAAGGTGGGTGGATAACGAGGTCAGGAGATTGAGGTCATCCTGGCCAACACAGCAAAAGCCCATCTCTACTAAAAATACAAAATTAGCTGGGCACGATGGCACGTGCTTGTAATACCAGCTACTTGGGAGAGTGAGGCAGGAGAATCTCCTGAACCTGTGAAGTGGAGGTTGCAGTGTACAGAGATCGTGCCCCTGTACTCCAGCTTAGCGACAGAGTGAGACTCCTTGTCAAAAACAAACAAACAAACAAAAAATTCTATTTGACAGGCTTTCCAGTGTATGCCCCTCAATGTTGTAAAGGTTTGAGTAGAGGAAGGAGTGTGGAGTAGCTTCCTGGATTGTTACGGTCACAAAGATCATAGGCCCTGGCCGTCCTCTTTATAGTCTGGAATAGATTCTTTCCTTAAATGATTTGAGAAAATAACTTGTATATTGAGACCTGTCCCAAAAGTGAGGAGTCATATAAAAGATTAACTCTTTTTCATTGCATTGCCTCAGGGAGAAAGAGTTTTGTTGCATTCTAGCAACCATCCTGAGGGATTCTTTTGTAAGCCTTTCTGTTCTGCCGATTGAATTTTTTCGTGGGTACAGTGTGGTGTTCCCAACATGGGTGCAGTATCTGACATTAGCCAGTGGCCTGTAACAATGTTACCTCTTTAGATGTGGCCTCAGCCGTTTTCTTTCCCAGAGAATTTCCTTTGATAATAGAAGGGCCTTCTTTTTAGTGCCTACTGCAGTGAATCATGGCTACCTTCTTTAAGAGCTAGACAGTTAGTTATATGCAAATACTACATTATCTAATGCCAAGAAATTGAGAATCTGCAGATTTTGGTATCCATGGATGTCCTGAAACAATCCCTCACTGATACTGAGGGACCATTATGTATACTTTAATATCACACATCTCACAATGGAAGTAAAGCCTCCATTATCACTCAAGTAATTGGCCATCCTGTGGCTTTCTCTTATAGGTAGGTAGTTTCAACTTTGACATCTTAATACTACATCTAGAAAAATTTCTAAGTTTTCTTATTAGTATATATGATTTGTATGTTCTTTGAAGTTTTCCATGTAGGTAATCATGTCATCTACAGATGAGGAATATTTTACTTCTTTCTTTCCAATTCTTATATATTAAAGTATTTTTATTAGTATTATTTGTCTCATATTACAAGTTAAAAATCTGCAGGACAATGTTGAAGAGAAATGGTAATAGCGAGCCTTCTAGTCTTTCTTCTGATTTTGAAGGTAGTATTTTCTGATAAGGAACACTTTCTTTATTTGTACTTTAATCTCTTATTATAAATAGCTATTCTGTTTTATTTGATGTTTATTCTGTATTCATTGATGTAATTATACTTTTTCCTACTTTAATATATACGTATGATGCATTAAATAAATAGATTTCCTTAAGTTGAGCCCCTCCTTTCTCTTTGAAATAAATTTAGTGTAGATATGTGGTTATGATGTATAACCTTACATTTGTTTGCTCATTGATATGGTTTGGCTCTGTTTTAACCCAATCTCATGCTGAATTTTAACCCTCGTGTTTTGGAGGGGGGCCTGGTTGGAGGTGATTGGATCATGGGAGCAGAATTTCTCTTTAGGTTCTCATGATAGCAAATGAGTTCTCATGAGATGGAATTTTTTGAAAATGTGCAGCACTTCACCCTTTACACTCTCTTCCCTGCCACCATGTGAAGACACACTTGCTTTCCCTTGGCCCTCTCACATAATCTTAAGTTTTCTGAGACCTCCTAGCCATGCCTCCTGCACAGCCTGAGAAACTATAAGCCAATTAGGTCTCCTTTCTTTATAAATTACCCAGTATCAGGTGTTTCTTTACAACTGTGTGAAAACAAAATAATACGCTTATATTTTGCTCATGTTTTCACATTGTTGTGAAGTAAAATTAATCTTTTTTGTTTTTAATTCTTATGCTGTTTGTTTGAAAGTAGTAACAAGACATTATTCATTTGAAAATTAATTAGGATTGTTTTTCTTCTCTTTTTCACTTCTCAGAAATATTTATTTCCTTGAATGTGTAGTAGAATCCAACTATAAAAGCAGTTGATTCTAATACTTTTTTATAGGGATAATTTAAATGTGGACACATTTTTTTTCAAAATGCTACAGTAAGTGCAGTTTCTTAGTTCTTCCTAGTTCCTAGTTTGGGTAACTGACTTTTTTGTAGAGACTTTTCTGTTTCACTGAAGAATTAAAATTTGTTTGTGTAAAGATGTTTCTAATACTGCTGTATTTCTAAATTTCTGCTGCCTAGCTGAGCATACCCTTTCTTTATGTCTTAATATTATGTGTTCTTTCTTTCCCCAGTGAATCTGGTCAGAGATCTGTAAGCTTCGTTATCTTCTCAAAGAACTAATTCTTTTTCTATTTGATTAACTTCTGCTCTTCGTTCATTATTTTCTTATTTATGCCTTTTTTCTTTTGGTGTACATGTTTCTTCCTTTCCTAACTATAACAAATGATTCACATATTAGTGCCACCTTTTTTATTTCTTCATGAAACACCAAACGTTAACCTTTTTTTTATGACTAACTTTTCTTTTATCAGGATTCCAAAAGTACTGATACTTAATATTTTAAACTATTATTTAGTTCTGTATTTCAAATTTTGTTTTTTATATGTTATTAACAAGTCTGTATTATGTATTTCCAATTTACATGATTAAAAATATGTATATTTTTATAATTGTTTGTATTGGAATCAGAATGTGTTCTTGATAATACATGGACCTTTGAAATGTATTGAGACTTGCCTTAAGGCATAGTATGTCTTTAAATGTTTCTGAGTTTTTAGAACAATGTGCATTGCTAGATACTATATCCTGTAACTGCCTATTGGATAAAGTTTTTTAAATAGCTTCTTACATAGTTTAACCTCTGCTGAACCAATAATCTTGGAGTGTTGTATTAAAATGTTTCATTATAATGTAATTCATTGATATAATTAATTGAATCAACTAATTATTTCAATTAATTTAAAGTTAATTAAAATAATTGAATTGTTTAAATTATTTAATTAATTTTTAAATTTCTTGGAATATTATGATTTAAACAATTTTTGCTGTCTATATTTTAGAAGTGTAGATTAAAACTGTATTATCCTCCTAGTCTACTGAAAGTTTTGTTATCTAGGTTACCATAATTTTTCCTTTAGTATCAATTGTTGCTTTAAATCTGAAAACATGCAGTGTTTGCTAGGGCATGGAATTTACCCAGTATATCCATTTACATAATTTATTAACTGTTTCTTGCCTTGTGTTTGATGTAAGTTTCATAAGCAGCACAGAGCTCCAGTTTTTAGAAAGATATATATTTTTAGTACGCATGTTTATTTAAACTTTTTATTCAAATATTTAGATATATGTTTATAATTTTAAGTTTTATTTATATTTGCTCTAGTCCTTAGGTTTCACTTTCATCTCCTGTTTAAAATTTGTTGTATTAAACTGTTGTATTTTTTCCTCATTTTATATATTGTCATGACTTGAAGAAATATATCTTAATTATGTTTAAATCTAATCAAGATCTTTACCAGCTTTAAGAAAAATTCAAGACCTTATCATCTTTTATTTTGATTTTTTTATTTTGGATGTTTTAATATAATATTTTAAACTCTATCTTATTTCATTAAATTATATGAAATGTATTATTATTATCCACTGTTTTTGATAACTACATGCCATTGTTTTACTAGGTTTCTTCAAGAATGACCTCTCTTTCTTTCCCAGAAATTTCTTATAGAGAAAGTCTCTGTTCTAGAAAATCTTTCAGCATTTTTAAGTCATTTTATTGGTTATGAATTTTTCTTTCTTTTCTGAGAATAAAATTCTCTTCTTGATTTTAAGTTTACTCATTCAAGCCTTTCAAGGAATTAAACTGTTTCTGACTTTTGTTCTCTAAATGCTCTATTGAGTTTTTACTTTCCAAGTATTGTATTTATTGCATCTAAAATTTCTATTTTCTCTCCAGATTTTCAGACCTATCTTAACCTTTAAGATAATCTTTTAATACTTGACCACACTTTTAATATTAATGTTTCATTTTTTAAAATTCATTAAGCTAGTTATGTTATATTCAATGTCTGCTTATTAAAGGATCTGCAGTATTTCTCAAATGGTTCTTGTTGTTTCTCCTTATATTTTTCGTGTTGGTTTCTTTCATGACTTTTCAATATTTTTATATTTATGTGAATCATCTAAACTTTAGGAAAATTCTTTAAGGCCTGAGTTTAAGGTTTTTAAAGGGATATTTGTTGTACTGCAGTCAGGAGCTCTACAAAAGATTTTTTCCAGCCAATTCTTACACTGAGTTTTTGGAAAGTGACAGAAAGGGTATACATTCTGCTGTCAAACCTACATAATAACAGATTTTGGCTATAAAATTAAAGAGTAAGAATCACATCTATGCTCTTTATAACTGAAAACCAAGGTTAAGATGAATGTCTTTCTCTCTGTTTGTGGGGAGAGTTTGAATGGCTGTATTCATCAAACATTTCATAATAAGTCATCTGCAAGCTGAGGAGCAAGGAGAGCTGATCCAGGTCCCCAAAACTAAAGGACTTGGATCCTGATGTTTGAGGACAGAAAGCATCCAGCATGGAAGAAAGATGTAGGCAAGGAGACTAGGCCAGTCTCATCTTTTCATATTTTTCTAGCCAGCAGCTAGTTATGCTGGCAGCTAGTAAGATGGTGCCCACTCGGATTAAGGGAGGGTCTGTCTTTTGCAGCTGACTTACTCAAACGTTAATCTCCTTTGGCAGCACCCTCACAGAGACACCAAGGATTAATTCTTTGCATTCTTCAATCTAACCACATTGACACTTAGTATTAACTATCACAAGTCCACCCCTTGTCAACTTGAACCCACACATATCTCCTGAGATCATACACAATCTTTGAATAAGGAAAATAATAAGGTCACAAGTATGCCTAATATAATACAACTATTCTTCACACAACTGGAAATGCAGAAATCCCCAACCCAAATACCATAACGTAAAGTTAATAATACTTAAGTGCTAATGCAAAGTCAATAAATCTTATAACACATAATGAAGGAAAAAGGAAATAAAGATATTTTCTTAGTATGAGTGTATAAACACAAAAAAATTTTTTTAACAAAAGAAGAAGGAAATACAGTTACAGCCCTCGCTTTTGCAGCTGATCAAGTGGTTGTACCTGGTATTGATGACTACCTTCTTCTACTACCCTTTCTATATTCCCTTTGGTTTCAGCAAGCACCTGAGCATATTTTGAGATTGGCCAGAGTGAGACAGTATCACTAAGCATGTTAATTAATTAATTAATTAGGTTAAATCAATCTTTTAACCAAATGACTTAGAAATGTAAAAAGCAAAAACCTTCTATAATTCTTTACAAATTTTGCTAAAGAACAGATTTGTGCCCTAAGAGTACTTTGTTGTATTTTTATTGCAAGCCTCAATTTACAAAAAACCCATATAATAACTTTTTAAATTTAATTAATGTTCACAAAAGAATTCCTTTGGCAAGATTAATTTTAACAATCCTTCCACAGCTTGTTTGAACTGTTAGCTTTATCTTATCTAATTGAGAACAAATGTTTTACCCTAGGCAAGAATTTATATATTCATGCCTTCTTATAATTTTTTATTAAAAACACATTTTACTGTATGTAAATCATTTACTCATATATAACTCTACTTCCAGTGCTTTTAATTACATCTTATAATGGTAACTTCTAGCAATTTTAACTTTAATGTAAAACCAGGTAAATTGTTTTAATTATGTGCTAGGTGCAGTCAAGGGTTTGACTCCTTTCAGCATAATTAAGGGTATGGTTAATTCTATTTGTCCTCAGGCCTTACCAACAGTGAAGCAAAGTTGAACTGCTCTCAAAAACCAAAAATGCTGTTTATAACCTTAAAACATTTAGCAAATCTAGTATTTCACCTGCATAATTTCGTCCACCCACTGATACATTGATATTTGTGTTCTACTGATAATCTTTAAGGCTGTTTTTATTTCTCAAAGATTAAAAGTCATGTGAACAAAAAGGTACATGTCTTTTTTCTTCCCTTCAATAAATATTTGATCCAAGTTCTTATCATTCTTTAAGTAAATTTATTAGACCTCTTTATATAGACATCATACACACAACATATATATATAACTACAGAAACAGGCTGAAGAAAACCTAGTAATTATAAGGTTTTTGTTGTTGTTGTTGTTGTTGTTTTGAGACAGAGTCTCGCTCTGTCACCCAGGCGGGAGTGCAGTGGCGCGATCTTGGCTCTCTGCAACCTCTGCCTCTGCAACCTCAACCTCACGCCATTCACCTGGCTCAGCCTCCTGAGTAGCTGGGACTACAGGCGTCCACCTGGTTAATTTTTTGTATTTTTAGTAGAGATGGGGTTTCAACATGTTAGCCTGGATGGCCTCTATCTCCTGACCTCGTGGTCCTCCTGCCTCAGCCTCCCAAAGTGCTGAGATTACAGGCATAAGCCACCACACCCAGCTGTCATAAGGTTTTTTATTTGCCAATTTCCAGATTGAATTACTGTCCTCTCATGCATGCATTAGAGTGGCCAGACAAAATGAAGAAAAAGGATTCAGTTGACTGAGAAAAAAACTTCTACCAGCAAAACAAGATCCAGGAAAAGAAAAATATAAAGGTCTTTTAAATATACCTATAATTTGGATATCCACTTTTAATTAAGTTGAGGACTCTTTAAGAATATCCTTTTAATTTTTTTATTACCTGACTCTAGTAGCACCAAGCAGCCAGTGTTTCTGGCTTTCAAATTTTAACAAAAGTAACTTACCAGGTGCTCAGAGGAAAAAAAAAAAAAAAGTAAGGCAGTTTGTTAAGTGGAAGAGAATCAGCAAAGGGCAAAAGTTACATGCTGATATAAAACCAGAAGAGACTCTTTCCTTAAGCCAGGATTAAACCTGGGCCACCATTGTAAAATGGCAGAGGCCAAAACAAAACAGAGCCACATTGGTTCAGGTCATGTTCCTGAAAACATAAAACAAGATGGATGCCTGCGCAAAATTTTCTGACAGCTATAGAGAAGGACATACAAAGCACACCAGATTGGCCACAGCTCTAGACCAACCTGAGAAACATCTATTCACAATCAAAACTCTACAAAGAATATAAGCAGTGATCATTGGGGCATTGTCCGGCAAAACATTTCATATGAAGAAAACAAAAAAACCTTCTGCTTAAAAGTAAATTGCAGACAGGATGAAGAAAAGAAAAAAAAAGTCTTAAGTGTAGAGCAGGAAAGACAATTTTCTTTCTTATGCAAATGAGTTCCTTCAACAAGGAGAAAAACTTAATGCTGTTGGGTGAGGTTGGATCCCTTGGTCGGTGAACATGAAGACACCATGAATGCCTGGCATTTTTCAGCCCAGAGGAGATGGGAATGAAGAGCTGCCATTCAACTACCATCCCACATGTGCCTGGGGCTGTTTGGGTAGGGTGTTGAAGAGTTTCCTCTATCCTCAGGAGAAGTCCAAGAATGAAAACACTTACAAACAAAATAGAAAAAGATTTTTTAGTTTACATCTTACTTACCTCAAGCCCCACATCTAGACACCGAAATGTTATAGAACTTTCTCCTTAGTTAAGCTAAAACAAGGATCTTCTCACATGATTATGAAGGAAGAGTCTAATGAATACACTGAAGGGTTAGGAGTAAAGTTTATTGGGCCAAAAGGAAAAAGAAAACAACAACAACAACATCAACAACAAAGTGTCAGCAGAGTGGGAAGCACTCGTGTTATCTGGCCCTGACCTCACAGATTGAGGAACACCAGGTCACAACATAGCAACTTAAGAATCCAGGTTCCTCTCCTGCCAAAAGGTGTGAATTTCAGTGGCTCCACCTCCTTTTCCCATTGCACAGGTAGGCATTATTCAGAAAGAAGCCGTCAGAAAATGGCTGGCTTCATTTGAAACCAGCAGTCCAATTTTTCAGCCATCAGGCTGAAATGAAGTAAGACACTTTATAGTTGTTGTAAATTTTTTTCTTGAATTTCTTTTTCAGATGGCTTTTTCTTGGCATGAAAATATGCTCCTACTAAGTTTTTAAAGTGAATTTGGTATTCTGCTACTTAACTGAATTTCTTTATCAATTCTCAAGATTTTTAGTGTAGTATTTAAGTTTTGCTATACAAACAGTTAAGAGATCTGCAAACAGATAATTTGACTTTCTTCCTTTTTATTTGGATGTCTTTTATTTCTTTCTCTTGCATAAATAATCTTGCTAAGACCTCCAGTACTCTGTTGAATAAAAGTGGTAAAAGTAGACATCACTGTCTTCTTCTAGGTCTTAAGTAAAAAGCCTTCACCTTTTAATGTTCAGTGTCTTATCAGGTATTGATTTGTCATATTTTGCCTTAACTGTGTTGTGTTACATACCATCTGTACCTAACTTGTTCACTTGTTTTAATCACAAAACATGCTAAATTTTTCAAAATAATTTTTCTGCATCTAAAATAAAAAATAAAGTGCCTAGCAGTAAACTTAATTAAAAAGATAAACACTGTCTACACTATAAATTATAAAACATTAATTAAAAAACTAAAAAATATGAAAAACATGAGAAATATTTTTTGTTCATGAGTTATAAAAAATATTGCTAAAATGACTATGCTACTCAAGGTAATCAACAGATTCAATGCAAACTCAATAAAAATACCAATGACATTTTTTCACAGAAATGGAAAAAAACAGGCCTAAAATCTATAGTGAACAAAAGAAACTCCCCAAATAGCCAAAGTCATCTAGCAAAAAAGAACAAAGCTGAAAGCATCAAATTACCCGACTTCTAAATATACTGCAAAGCTATAACAAGCAAACAGAGTGATACCGGCATATGAAACAGACAGATAGAACAAAGTATCCATTGATTCTAGTAATAAATTAATAAGCCTAGAGCCAAATAATTTTTAAGGTATTTAAGAGACATATTTAAGAAAAGTCAACCTCATCAATAAATGGTGCTGTAAAATTAATTTCTTAAATACAAAGTAATACAACTAGATGCCTACCTGTTACCATATTTTAAAAACTTAATTAAAAATAAATAGAAGATTAAAATGTAAAACTCAAACTTATAAAACAATTTCCATAAAACATATAGAAATTCTTAATCAGATAGGACAGAAAAAATTTTTAAATAAGACCCCAGAAGCACAGGCAACAAAAGCAAAAGCAGACAAGTAAAATTACCAGAATCTAAAAAAAAAAAAAAAAAAATAGTAAAAATAAATTTACAGAGTGAAGAGACAGCTTACACTGTGGGAGACTATATCTGCAAAATATACATATGACAAGAGATAAACATACGAATACATAACAATTTTAAGAGCAATAATAACACACTATTTAGTAATAGGCAAGATACCTTAACTGACATTTCCTCAAAGAAGACATACGAATGGCCAATTACATACAATGATGCTCAGCATTATTAATTATTAGAAAACTGCAAATCAAAGCCAAAATAAGACACCAAATCACTGCAGTAAAAATGAGTATAATTGGAAATGATACATTTCTGACCCTTTCAACAGGAGGCATTGTGACATATCTCAGGGCCTATCATTTAGGTGATACAACTTCCTCTACTGCCTGAACACTGCCCACGAGGGGCATTATGCCATAGAGTTTGCTGTAGCCTCGCAGTTATGCAACTTTTCTGCCAGAAACTTGTCTAGAAGGAGAATATTGGAAAACTTCTGGCTCAGCATTTAGGTGACAAGTCTGTCATGTCTGTTTCATTACCACAGAGTAAATTTTGACATATACCTAGGCACAGCTCACAGGCATGATACTGACTCTCACATGTGGATCCTACAGATAAGAATAATTTTGACTCTTGTAACTTGCTTTAGAAACATGAGTCATTTCTTAGATCTCTTTCTGGTAAAGAGGTCACTGAAGATTATAACAGGCTCAGATATTTTATAAAGCCCATGACTTGCACAGAGTGTCATAAGAGAACCCAACAGAAAGGTGAAATTGTGAGTCTCATATGCACACCCAGCTGACAGTAAGGACTGTCACATCTCACATACATGAAGCCAACTGTCACTCATGAAAACAGGACATGTATGGTATTGTAAGTCTCATCTCTGGAATATTCTGCCATTGTGATTGTGATAAAAATATTTGCTGAGCATCTGTGATTTGACTCTCCAGACTGGTTCCAGCTCATATATGGGATTGTGATCTCTACCTGGACCAACATATAAATGATGTGACTCTCCTGCCTTGGCACTTGTCTCATTAAGGATTGTGACATATCACTGGATCAAAAACCCAGGTGACGTTACATTCTTGCCTGAGCCTTGGCCACAGACATTGCTGTGATATATGACTGTCTCCACCAATTAGGTGATGTAACTCTCCTCTCTAGAATAGGTCCTGAACAGAAGGGTTGGTGGTGACATATTTCTAGGCCAAGCAAACAGGTGATGGTTCTTTTTCACCAGGGCTATGTGTCAAGGAGGGCATTGTAACATATCTCCGTGACTGTCACCTAGATTATGTGACTTGAGGCTTGGGCCTCACCCACACAGAGCATTGTGACATAAAAGTTAAACCTGCAGCAAGTTGATTTAACTCTTTTGCCTTGGTGTTTTCCTAAGGAAGCTTTGTAACATATCTCAGGACCCAGGTGATGTGGCTCTTCTTCCTGGTATCTTCCCACGTGTTAGATTGTGACATATACCTATAAAAGCACATAGGTGATATGACTCTCCCTTTCTCCCTGAGTCCTGCCTACTGAGGACATTGGGACATATCTCTGAGCACATGACCTAAGTGATATGATTCTCTTCCCCTGCCTGGGCCTTTAAAATGGTGGGATTGTGGCATATTGCTGAGCCTAGAGTTTAACTGATGTGACTCTACTCTTTTTTTCTGAACCATGCCCGCAAAGGGAAATTTTGACATATTGCACCCAGATGATGTTACAGTTTTGTCAGAGTTCTGAATAAAGAGGAAATTATTACATATGAGTGGGCCCAGCACCCTGAAGATGCTACTGTCCTACCTGCATGCCAGTAGCCTCAGAGAGTATTTCGACATACCTTTGACTCATTGTACACGTGTTTTGGCTCTCATCCCATGGCTAAACTTTTCCACATGTGGAATTGTGTCACATTGCTGGGTCCAGGTAATGTGACCCTTCTTCCTAGATTCTGCCTAAAAAGGGCATTGTGGCATTTGTTGCCGTATCATCTAAGTGATATTATTCTTTTTCCTAATTGTTGACAAATAAATGAGATTATGACATAAATCTTGCTTCAGTTCACAGGCATGATGGTCAAACTTATATTAGGGCTCAGTCAATAGAAGATATTTTTCCACTCATTGCTAGGCTTATGGAAATAGGTAAAATGGGTTTTCTGTTTGTACAATGCTCACAGAGGTTTACAACACTAATTCATATTGTATAAACTCCTTTGGTGGTACAGAGAGTTTTATAACAAGAAACATAAAAAAATTAAGATTGTGACTCTAAATTACACAGCCAGGTGGAAGTAAATATTGTCACAAGCACACATTTACAAAGCCCACTGTTAAGGTACTAAGTCTAACAAAGAAAAACAGTACAAAGTGGGAATCATGACACTCACATGTGGGTCTAGCCAATGGTGCGATTATGACTCATTTTTGGTCCCAGCTCATAGAAATAAAAATAGGTCTCATTCCTGAACTCAGCCTAAATGAGAGATGTTGACTATCATACCTGGGTTTAGGGCAATACATAACACTGGGAGTCCATATGAGCATGTGGGCCTCAGAGAAGTTTGCAACTCTCATACATGCCATATACATCCCTCGGATGTTGCAGAGGGTTCTATATAATGGCCCAGCACACACATGACATTGTGACTCATATACACACCAAGCTTACACTTAAAGGTACCATCCTCAAAGATGAGCAGCATCCAGGTGATGTGAGTCTTCTTCGAGTGTCCTGCCAACGAGTGTCCTGTGTCATATCACTGGGCCTAGTAACCAGGTGTTAAAACTTTTGCTTAAATTGTTTCTCGTGTATGTGTTGTGACATATTGTGTCAGAATCATAATAATGTGACACCTTTTGCCCTGGCCCTGCAACAAGACATATCATCACATATTTGTGAGCCTAAATGTTAAGGGATTTGTCTTTTTTTCTTGTGCTTTGCCCCAAAGAAACATTGTGACATTGTTGAACGTAGCAGCTAGGAAATACGTCTCTTCTCTCCTGTCTAGGTCCTTCCTACTAAAGGAATTGTGACATGCCACTGAGTGCAAAACCTAGGTAATGCAACTTTCCTCTTTATTTTCTGGAGTTTGTCAAAAGAGGGGATTATTACATATTGCTGAGCCTAACACCTAGGTGTTGTGAGTCTCCTGTTTTGTTTTTTTCAACCCTGTCTACAGTGGACATGGTGCCATATTACTTGAGGCTGTACCCAGGTGATGTGACTCTTCTGACTTGGACCTGCAAGCAAAAGAGTAGATAATGTATCATGGGCTTGCATCAATGTTGTGAGACTTCTTCCTTGTTTCTGCCCACAGGTGAAATTGTGACATATACCTGGAATCATCTCACATGCACAATTATAATCATCATACCTGGACCCAGAAAGGAGAGAGATTTTGACTCTCATAGCCAGTCTTATTTCCATAAGTAAAATAATGGGTCTCCTATTTGTTCACAGAGGATATGACCCTCGGGCATATCATATAAAGCCTCAGTGGTACAAAGAGTGTCATAACAGGGAACAGCAACCAGGTGTGATTGTGAATCATGGATGCACACCCAGCTAACTTGATTGTCACTTTCATACAAGAACGTGGCCTACAAATAAGGTACTAAGTTTCACACAACAGAGTAGTCGAAGGTTGAAATTGTTCCTCTCGTACATGGTTTAACCCCGTGGGTGGTTTGGTGATGCAGTATTCAGCCCAACTGTGAGGCTGTGACTTTCATACTGGAACACAATCTTCGAGTAGAACTGGGCAATTTATGCATGGATCCTGCCCATTGTTGAGTCTGTAACTCCTCTGCTTTGACCCCTTGCACAGGAGGTGTTGACCCATGTGCACAAAGCCAGGACTTGTGAAGGGCTGTGAAACTTATTTCTGAATATTTCCCAGCGTGTGATTAGGACATAAAAATTAGCCCGGCTCCTGAATAATTTGACTCTCCTTTTTAGGCCATGACGGCAGATAAAATTGTGACGTAGGTGGACCATACACCTAAGCAGAGGTGCCTGGGCCTGCCTACCAAGGGTAATTAAACATATCACGGGGACCAGCATCAAGGTGATGTCAATTCTTTGTCTTTTTCCTGCCTATAAAAGTCATTGTGACTTAGATTTAGGTCCATCATATAAGTGATGAGACTCCCTTCTACTGCCTTGGCCCTGCTGTTACAGGGCATTGTGACACATAACTGGGTACTGCACCCAGGTGATGTGACTCTCTGTTTTGGGTTCTGCCAACAGGAAGCTTCATAACATATCACTTGGTTCACACCTAGATAATGTTTTTCTCTTTTGTCTTGCCGTGACCAGAGGGGAGATTGTGACATATTACTAAACCCAGCGCCGAAGTGAGGTCACTTTCATACCGTGGTTCTGCAGATAGTGAACATTGTGACATATATCTAGGCCAATTGCTTAGGTAAAGGGAGTGTCCTCACACTCCTAAGATTTCCTCACAGGGGGACTTTTGATATATCACTAAAACCAGCCTCCAGGTGATGTGAGTCTTCTTCCAGTGTCCTGCCCACAAGGAAGATTGTGGCATCTCACTGGACCAGCACCCATCCAGATGATGTGACCTTTCTGCTTGCTCTCTGCCCACAGGTGATATTGTGTCATATACCTAAGACTACTTAAGAGGACTAATCATGACTGTTAAACCTGGATCCAGGTCATATGCAAGACAGAGACTCCCATTCCTGGAATGTTCCACCAGTGTTATTGTGACATATACCTTTGCCCAGCTCCTGAGTGATTTAATACTCCTGCCTAGTTGTAGCCCGCAAATGAGATTTGGATGTGTACTTCAACTTATCACCATGATGATTTGACTCTCCTGTTTTAACAATATCTTCCAGAAGGATTGTAACATATTTCTGGACCCATGATCTAGTTACCTGACACTCCTCTCTTACCTGGACCCTGCTTCCACTAGAGATTGTAGCATTTCTTTCTTTTTTTTTTTCTTTTTTTTGATGGAGGCTTGCTCTGTTGCCCAGGTTGGAGTGCAGTTGTGCGATCTCAGCTCCCTGCAAGCTCTGCCTCCTGGGTTCACGCCCTTCTCCTGCCTCAGCCTCCCAAGCAGCTGGGCCTACAGGCACCAGCCACCAGGCCTGGCTAATTTTTTATTTTTTTTATTTTTTTAGTACAGATGGGGTTTCACCATGCTAGCCAGGATGGTCTCTATGTCCTGACTTCATGATCCACCCACCTCGGCCCCTCAAAGCGCTGGGATTACAAGCATGAGCCACCACGCCCCGCCGGGACTATAGCATTTCTAAGCACTACATCCAAATTACGTGACTCTCTTGCCTGATCCTTGCAAAAGGAGACTTTGTAAGATATCTCTGGGCCTATTGTTTAGGTGATACAAGTCTCCTCTTCTACCTGGACACAGCCCATAAGGTGTATTGTGTTATACATCTTGATGTAACCCCCAAGTTATGCAACTTTTCTGCCTGGAGCATGCCTGTAAGGAGAATATTGGAAATTTTCTGGCTCAGTATTTAGGTGCCTTGGCTGTCATGCCTGTTTCATTAACACAGACTAAGTTGTGATATATACCCAAGCACAGCTCATAGGCATGATAATGACTGTCTTATGTGGATCCCACAAATAGAATTTTAACTCTCATAAATTTCTTTAGAGACACGAGTAATTAAATCCCTATCTGGTAAAAAAACAAGGTCAAAGAAAATTATAACAGCCTCACATATTTTTTAAAGCCTTTGGCTTGTACCGAGTGTGTCATAACAGAAACCAGCAGAAAGATGAAACTGTGAGTCTCAAATGCACACCCAGCTGACAGTAAGTACTATCAACATCTCACATATATGAAGCTAACTGTCACTCATGAAAATGGGACATGTGCAATATTGTAAATCTCATCCTGGGAATTTTCTGCTAGTGTTATTGTGATACAAATCTTCACCAAACATCTGTGTGATTTAATCCACCATAATGGTTCTAGCCCGCATATCTTATTGCGGTATCTACCTGGGCCTACCTCTACATGATACTGATACAAGTGATATGTTACTGCCTGGGTCCTGCTCTCAGTAACAATCGTGACATATTACTAGATCCAGCACCTTGGTCATGTTAAATTTTTGCCTTAGCCATGCCCACAGAGATTATTGTGACATATCACTGTGTCAACTACTTAGGTGATGTAACTCTCCTTGTTAGAATGGGCCCTGCACACAATTGGGGATTGTGACATATGGTTGGGCCAGGCACACTGGTGACAGTACTCTTTTGTTAGAGCCATGTCCTAAAGAATGCATTGTGACAAATCTCTGGGCTGATCACTTAGGTGATGTTGCTCTCCTGCTTGGGTCCTGCTTTCCTGAATAGTGACATATTACTACACTAGGCATATAAGTGATGGTACTCTTTTGCCAGGGTCATGTCTCAAGGAGAACATTGCAACATATCTCTGTGCCTATCGCCTGGGTAACGCAACTCCCTGCTTCAGCATGGCCCACAAAGAGCATTGTGACATAAAGGTAGAACCTACACCTATTTTTTGTAAATCTCTTGTCTGAGTCTTGTCCTAAGTGAAACTTGTGACATATCTCAGGAATCAGGATCAAGGCGGTGTGACTCTTCTGCCTGGCTTCACCTCACATGTTAGATTTTTTTCATATACCTAGGGAAGCACCTAGGTGATATGACTTTTCTCTTCTGCCTTAGCCTTGCTTATTTTGGACATTGGGTCATATATTTGAGCCAGTATCCTAACTGACGTAATTCTTTTCTTCTGTCTGAGCCTTTACAATGGGGTGATGTGACATATTGCTAAGCCAAATACTCAGGTTATATGGCTTTTCTTTTTTTTTTTCTCCCAAAAAGTGTCCAGGAAAAGGAATTTTGATTTACTGCAGGGCCCAGCACCCAGATGATGTTCCTCTTCATCCTGAGTCCTGCATAAAGAGAGAATTATGGCATATGGCTCCGCCCCCAACCCTGATGCTGTAACTCTCTTGCCTGTGCCAGAGCAACAGAAAGTATTTTTACAATTCTTGGGCACACCCAGTAGGAGTTTTTATTCTCATCATTTGTCTGTTTTTTTTTTCTTTTGGGGAGGTGGATTGTGTCATATTGCTAGGTCCAGCACCCAGTTAATGTAACCCTCATTTCTAGAACCCTACCTAGAGAAGGCATTGTGACATATTGCCTGGCAAAGCACCTACGTTGTGCTACTCTCCTGGCTAGTTTTTTCTTTTTTCCTACAAATGGGATTATGAAATTTACATGATTCAATTCAGAGGCATGATGATCAAAGTTATATTTGTTTTCCACCAATAGTAACATTTGCCTATCACCTCTCCACGCAGGGCAATACTTAAAGTTGTGAGTTGCATAGTGGCAGAAAGCTCACAGCAGCTTACAACGCTAACTCATATTCTAAAAACTGCTTGGGCCCAGCCAGAGATTAAGATCATGACTCTTGATTACACATACAGGTGAGTGCAAAACTTTTCAGCATCCCATATTTACAAAGTCAGCTGTTAAAGTCCTGAGTATAAGTAAATAAAGTACAAAGTTGAAATTTTGACTGTCATATGTGGATCTTGCTATAGGTGAGATGGTGACTATTTTCTGGACCCAGATCACAGGCATAATAATGGGTCTCCTGTCTGAACCCAGCCTATTAGAGAGGTGTTGGCAATCATAACTGGGTTTAAGGCAATATGTAAGATTGTGAGTGAATATAAGCATGTAGGCCTCAGAGTGGTTTGTAACTCTCATGCATGTTGCATAAAGCCTCTGGATGTTGTAGAGTGTGTCATATAATGATGTAGAACACGTGTAAGGTTGTGACTGTAATATACATATCAAGCTAAAAGTTAAAGGTGTCACCTAAAAGATGAGGAGATTGTGTCATATTACCAGACCTAGTACCCTGGTGTTGAGATTTCTGTCTTAAATTCTTTACCACGGGTGCGTTGTGAAATATTACTCTGTGTGTATGTGTTTATGTGTGTTTGTGTATATATATATAATGTGTGTGTGTGTGTGTGTGTGTGTGTGTGTGTATTATGCTCTCATAGTGCCAGGTAGACAGCCCTACTGTTGAACATGGACAAGTCACCAGGACATTCCAAAATAATAGTATGGGTGGTTTTTTTGATGTTTGAAGAATGACTCAGCAGACATGTAGTCCTTTGACTCTCCTACTGGAATACAATCTTCAAGTGGGAATGGGGCTTTTATACACGGACCTTGCCCACTGATGACATTGTGACTCCTATGCTTCCACCCAACACATGGGAGATGTTCACTCTTATATCCAAAGGCACGACTAGTACGGGACTGTGAAAATTTTTCTGAACATTTTTGAGTGTGTGATTGAGAAATGTGACTTTACCCAGCATCTGAGTGTTTGACTCTCCTTTCTAGGTGCAGAGCACAGTGGAAATTGTGACATACATGCAACAAGCACCTGAGCAATATGTAACACCTTGTTTACCAATGCAATACAGGAAAATTTACAAATCACAGAGACCAGCACCCAAGTTTTGTGACATTTCTGTTATATCCTGCCTACAAAGAGAATATTGGAATATTTCTGGCTGAAGAGTTATGTGATGTGGTTGTCCTGCTGGTCTAATAACCACAGAGGGGATGGTGACATATACCTAGACACAGCTAACAGGAATGATACTGACTCTCATATGCAGACTCAGCCAATAGGAGAAATTTTGACCCTTATAACTAGGTTGAGGTACATGAGTGATGTCCAGGGTCTAACTCTGGTAAAAATGTCACAGAAAATTACAACACTCACACATATTTTATAAGACCCTTGGATTGTATAGAGAGTGTCATAACAGGGCCTAGCACAGAGAGGAAATTCTGAATCTTGTATGGACAGCCAGTTGGCAGTAAAGACTTTCACCATCACAGATGGATGAAGGCAACTGTCCTACATGCAAACATGATATGTGTGGCATTGTAAGTCTAATCCATAGACTTTTATTTCATTGTGACTGTGATATAAATCTTTGCCAAGCACCTGTGTGATTTCACTCTTCAGACTGGTTCCAGTCTACATGAGATTTGGATATCTACCTGGGCAAAACTTGAAGGGATGAGATTTTTCCGCCCAGCCACCCCTTCTCTCAGTAAGAATTGTGACATCACTGGATCCACCATCAAACTGTCTTTACATTTTGCCTGCACCATGCCTGAAGACATCATTGTTACATATCACTTTGTACATCAGTTAGAAGATGTAACTCTCCTCTCTGGAATGAGTCCTGCACACGGGGCAAAATAGTGACATATTTCTAGGGCAGGAACACAGGTGTTGATACTATTTTGCCAGGGCCTTGCACCGAAGAGGGCATTTTGGCATATCACAGGTCCTATCATGTAGGTGATATGGCTCTTCTACTCAGGAACTGCCTACTTGAATAGTGACATATTGCCAGGCCAGGTACAAAGGTGGTGGTGTTCTTTGGTCAGGGCCATGCTTTTGTGACATATCTCTCAGCCTATCACTTAGGTGATGGGCTTGGCCCTGGTCCTTGGTCCTGCTTGTTCCTGCCCACATGGAGAACTGTGAAAGAACCGTGGAACATGAACCTAGGCGATGTAACTAACTGGAGTCGGTTCTTTTCTAAGGGGGACTGAGTTGTGAGTATCTCAGGACACTGGAACAGAAGATGTGGCTCTTCACCAGGGTTTCTGCCCACATATTAAATTGTGACATATACTTTTTAAAAACATCCAGGTGATATGACTTTTTCTGCCTGAGCCTTGTCTACTGGTGACATTGGGCCATATCTCTGAACCCGTGACGTAAATGATGTGACTCTCTTCTTCTGTCTGGGCCTTAACAATAGGAACATTTTGACATATTGATGAGCCCAGCACTTAGGTAATGTGACTCTCGTCTTCTTGCTGAACAACGCCCATGAACAGGGCTTTTGCAATATTTCAGGGCCCAGCACCTGGATGATGCTACTTTTCTGCGTAAGTCATGCATAAGCAGGGAATTGTGGCATATTGCTTGGTCCAGCACCCTAATGACATGGCTCTCCTGCTTGTGACTAAGTTACAGAAAGTATTTTAGAATATCTCTGGCAAATTCTCTAGGTGCTTTGGCTCTCATCACTTTGCTTGGTTTCTTCCATCTGTGGTTGCATTAAACTGCTGGCTCCAACCCCTGGTAAATGTGACCCTTTTCCTTAGGCCCTGCCTAGAGAGGGCATTGTGACATATAGCTTGGCCCAGCAGCTAAGTGATGTTAACCTTCTGCCTTGTTATTAGCCCAGAAATAAGATTATGACATATACCTTCCTCCAGTTGAAAGCCATGATAATCAAGCTTATATTGGGATTCTGCCAATAGGAGATATTTTGCCACTCACCACTAGGTTTTCTTCAATAATTAAGGTCCTTTATTGCATATTTGTACAAATATCACAGAAGTTTACAATACCAACTCATATCATAAAAACTTCTTGGTTGGTAGAGAGAGTTTTATAACAGGGCCCAGCAAAAAATTAAGATTGTGACTCTTGACTGCACAGACGAAAGTAAAAGTTGTTACCATCCTGCATTTGCAAAGGGTATTGTTGATGTCCTGAGTCTAATGAGTGAATAAAGCACAAAGTTGGAATTGTGACTTTCATAAGTCAATCTGGCCACAGTTGGAATCATGACTCATTTCTGGATTCAGCTCGCAGCAATAATAGTGGCCTCATTCTTTAAGCCAACCTATGGGAGAGATATAGACTGTCATGCATAGTGTATACAGTTCTCAGATATTGTAGACAGTGTCATACAGTGGCCAGCACATACATGAGATCGTGACTGTCATATACACAACTAGTTAATGCTGTCACCTTTAAAGATGAGATTGAGTCATATCCCTAGTCCTAGTATCCTGGTGTTGAGACTTTTGGTTTGCATTCTTTTCCATAAGAGCATTGTTACATATCACTGGGTCAGAATCATGACAATATGACGCTTCTGCATGGGTCCTGCAAACAGCGTATATTTTCATGTATCTCTGGGCCTCTTGGTTAGTTGATATGGCTCTCCTGACAGTACCCTGCCCACAGGTGACATTGTGACATATTGCTAGATATAGCGTCTAGGAAATGTACTGTCCTCTGCTGATTGGATCCTGCCCACCGAAGAAAGTCTGATCACTGAGTCCAAAACCTAGGAGACATGAGTCTCCTCTTTATCCTGGATTCTGCCAAGAGTGGGGATTATTACATATTGCTAAGCTCGCCACTCAGGAGTTGTGATTCTCCCTTTTGTTTCCTTCAAACCTGTCCTTATGGGGATGGTGACATATTGCTTGATGTTGTACCCAGGTGATGCGGCTCTTCTGCTTGGTGTCTGCCCACATGTTAGAATGTGATATATAACCAAGAAAGTCCCTAGGTGATATGACTCACCTTTTCTGTCTGGGCTTTACCTGCTGGGGACAGTGGGATATATCTCTCTGCCCTTTGACCTAAGTGAAGTGACTCTCTTTTTCTCCCTGGTTTTTACAATGGGGAGATTGTGGCATATTGCTGAGTTCATCACTCAGGTTATTTGTCTCTACTTTTTTTCTAGAGCCATGCACACAAACAGAATTTTTGACCTATTGCAGGGCCCAGCCTCGAGATAATGTTACTCCTTTTTCTGGGCCCAGCAAATGGACAGAATTATGGCATATCACTGAGGCCAGCACGTTGACAATGTCCTTTCACAGCAGGGCATTATTTCATCTATCATGCCTGTCCCATAGCCACGAAGGTTTTAACATATTCTGGGCATATTATGTAGGTGTTTTGACTCTCATTCCTTGGCTGGGATTTTGCACATGTGGGATGGTTTCAGATTGCTGAGCCCAGCACCCAGTTAATGTGGCTCTAATTCTATATCCTGCCTAGAGAGGACATTGTGACATGCTACTTGGCACTGCAGCTAAACAATATTACCTGCCAACCAAGTTTTTTGCCCACAAATGGGACTATGACATACACTTCGCTTCAGCTTATAGGCATGATCTGGCCACAGGTGGCATGGTGACTCATTTCTGGGTCCAGCTCACAGGCATCCCTAATCCCAGCCTACAGAGATGATGACCATTATACCTGGGTTAGGGCAGTATATATGATCGTGAATCCATATGAGCCTATAGGCCTCAGAGTGTTTTGCAACTCTCATGCATGCTGTATAAAGCCTTCAGATGTTGTAGAGTGTCATACAACAGCCCGGGAAATGTGAGACTGTGACTCTCATACACACACCCAGGTCGCAGTTAATGGTGTCACCCTCAAAGACCAAAGGTTTTGGCATGTTTTTAGGCCTGGTACCCAGGTGTTGAGACTTTTTGCTGAAATAACTTAACATGGGTGCATTGTGACATATTGCTGTGTTAGAATAATAATAATATGACTCTTCTGCCTGGACCCTGCCAACCTGGGATATTGTCACAGATCTCTGGGCCTATAAGCTGGGTAACATATCTCTCCTGCCTGTGCCCTGCCCCTAGAGAACATTGTGAAATATTCTTTGGCAAAATATTTATGTCATGTGACTCTCCTCCTGGCCAGGGTCCTGCTCACCAAAAAACTTGTGACATACTGCTGATTGCAAAACCTAGGTGATATGGCTGTCTTTCATATTCCAGACTCTGCCAATAGACACATTATTACATATTGCAGAGCCCAGCACCTACGTGGAGTAACTCTCCTCTTATGCTTCTTCCCTGTCTATAGCAGGCTTGGTGACATACTATTTCAGGGTGTATCCAGGTTGTGTGATTTTCCAAATAGGCCCAGCCTACAAATGAGATTATAATGTATCACTGGCTCAGCACCCAGATGATGTGACTCTTCTGCCTTGTCCCTGCTCACAGGTGAAACTATGACATATGTGTGGGTTAAGCACACATACACAATAATAACTCTCATAACTGGACCAACTCAGTAGAAATATGTTAACACTCTGGGTTAAGCACACACGCACAATAACTTTCATACCTGGACCCAGCCAGTAGAAATATTATGACTCTCATAGCAGTCTCAGGTCCATGTGTAAATTCCTGTGATTTTTACTTGTATAAAGTTCACAAATAATTACAAGACTCAGTTATATCATATAAACACTTAATGGTACAAAGAGTGTCATAAAAGAGATCAGCAACGAGGTAAGAATGTGACTCTTTTATGCACGCCTAAAAAGCAGTCGAAGGTTGAAATAATTACTCTTATACCTGCATGTTAATCACAAGTGGTTTGGTAATATTTGAACCATGATTCAGCACATTGCAGTGTTGTGAGTCCCCGACTGAAACACAATCTTCAAGTGGGATTCAGGCTGTTATACATGGATCCGTCTCATTGTTGAAATTATGACTCCTCTGTGTTGACTCAACTTTCATACAGAAAACCAGGACTTGTGTAGGACATGAAACTTATTTCTAAGCATTTCTGAGAGTGTGATTGGGACAGGTAAATTTCCCCAGCACATGAATAATTTGAATTTCTTTTCTAGGCCCACACCACAGATGAAATTGTGCCATATATGGAAGAAGCACCTAAGCAATATGTAACACCTTCGTTGGCTCTGCCTACAAAGGGCACTTTTGTATATCACTGGGACCACCACCCTGGTGAGGTGAATTATCTGCCTAAAGCCTGTCTACAATGAGTATTGTGTTTTATATCAAGGTCCATCACGTAAGTGATGTGACTCCTTTCTACTGCCTTGGCCCTGCACGTACAGTGCATTGTAACACACAACTTGGTACCGCACCCGGGAGATGTGATTCTCTCTTTTGGGTTCTGCCAACAGGAAGCAGTGTAACATATCATTTGGCTAAGCACCTAGATGATGTTTCTTTGCTTTTGTCTGTGCCCTGACCACAGGGAGATTGCGCATATTCCTGATTTCAGCAATAATGTGAGGTCACTCTCCAGCTTTGGTACTGAACGTTACAGACATTTTGACATATAGCAAGGCCAGTTGTTAGGTGAACTGTGTCTCCTCTCTGGCTAAATTTGTGCCCAAAGAAGGAGTTTTGATATGTCACTGAAATGATCATTCCAGTGATGTGACTCTTCTGCCAGGATCTTGCCCACAAGATGGATTGTGACATCTCACTAGACCCATACCCACATAAGTGATGTGACTTTCCTGCCTTCTCTCTTGCCACAAATAATATTGTGCCATATATCTGAGACCACAAGAAAAGCCTAATAGCAACTCATATGTCTGAAGTCAGAACTTGTGCAGGATGGTGGGTCATATTCGTAAACCTTTTCTCAAGTGTAATGTGACGTATATTTTTGCCCAACTCTTGAATGATTTAGTAATTCTGCCTTGATATAGTCCACGAATGAGATTTTGACAAACACTTGGGCCAAGAACCTTGGCGAATAGATTGTGCTGTCTTAACAATGTCCTCAGGGGAAATGGTCACATATTTCTTGACCCATCATCTAGGTTACATTGCTCTCCTCTTTGGCCTGTACCCTGCTTCCTTTAGTAATTTTAGCATTTCTAAACACAGCATCCTAATGACATGATTCTCTTTCGTGGGCCCTGCCAACGTGAGACATTGTGACGCAGTTTTGGGCTCTGCTGTTACGTGACACGAATCTCCTATCCTTCCTGGACACTTCCCACGAGGAACAGTGTGCAGAAAGCTGAAATTAGCACACAAGTTATGTGACATTTCTGACTGGAACCTACCCACAATCAAGATATTGGAATATTTCTGGCCCAGCATTTAGGTGATGTGGCTCTTCTGCCTGCTTCATAACCACAGAGGGAATTGTAACATATACCTAAGCATGGATCACAGGCATGATAATGACTCTCTTATGTGGACTTATCCAATAAAGGATACATTGAGTCTTATAACTAGGTTTAGGGACATGTGTGATGTCCCGGATCACCTTCTCGTTCAAAGTTCACAAAAGACTGTAACACTCACACATATTTACAAAGTCTTTGGGTTACACACACAGAATCTAAGCAGGGCACAGCACACAGGTGAAATTGTGAGCCTTGTATGCACACCTAGCTCATCGTAATGACTGTCATCATCTAACATGTATGAAGCCAACTGTCACCCATGAAAACAGGACATGGGTGCTACTGTAAATCTCATCTTTGGAATTTTCTGACAGTGAGCTTGTGGTGTAAATCTTTGCCAAGCACCTGTGTAATTTGACTCACCAGAATTGTTTCAGCCTGTATATGAGATTGTGATATCTACCTAGGCCAACCTGGAGTTGATGTGACTCTCCTGCCTGGGACCTTTTCTCAGTAAGGATTGTGACATATCACTGGATCTAGCATCCAGGCGATGCTACATTCTTGCCTGCCCCATGCCCACCAAAATTGCTGTTACATACCATTGTGTCCACCTCTTAGGGGATGTAACTCTTCTCTCTGTAATGGGCCCTGCACAAAGGAAGAATAGTGATATATTGCTAGGCCAGGCACACAGGTGAGGGTACACTTAGGCCAGAGCCATGCCCAAAGGAGGGCATTGTGACATATCTCTGGGCTTATCACAGATTTCATGTGGCTCTGCTGCTTGGGTCTTGCCAACCTGGAGAGTGATATATTTCCAGGCCAGGCACACAGGTGATGATATTCTTTTGCCAGGACTATGCTTCATAGAGAACATTGTGACATATATGTGGGCCTATCACCATTGTGAAGTGACTCCCTGCTTTGGCCCTACCTACACGGTGCATTGTGGCATAAGCAGAGAATCTGCACCTAGGTGATGTAACTCTGTTTGCTGAGTGCTGTGTTAAGAGTCTTGTTAAATATCTCAGGACCCAGCACCCAAGTGATGTGCTCTTTTGCCTGCTTTCTGCCCACAGGTTACATTGTGACACATTCCTATGAAATCACCTAGGGGATGTGACTCTCCTCATCTCCCTGAGCCACGCCTGCTGTGGACATTGGGATGCAGGGGTTCAGTCAGCCTGGTGGGAAAAACTTTAAGATAAAGTTATAAAATGTAAACACAGAATCTCTTGGAAGGCCTGCAGGTTTCCATAATGTGTTTGGTTGAAGGCAGCCTTATTCTTTTTGAGCTATAGCAAGGGTATTTAACAAAGCAATGTAGAGAAGACTATTTAAATAGCTTATTTACTCATGTGGTTCTGAAACTAACCTTTGACCATTTGCGAGTGAATGAGTGTTCTGTACTGAGGGGGTCGGCAATGGTAATTACCTTCTAGTGGTGTTTACTTGAGATTTTTTGTCATTTAGTGTGTGCTGAATAAATTCCAGAAGAGCCAGAGACTTGAGGCCACAGCTGACAGCACTCTACTTGAAGCATGTAAGTGGCCTGGTCTCTCAGCCAGACTGATAATCATAATATGTGCATCAGTGTATGTTATTCATTTGTCACTGAGTCAGGGTTTCCCGGATGGACCTCGCATTGGGACGTATCTCTGAGCCCATGACCTAAGTGATGTGACTCTCTTTTTCTGCCTGGGCCTTCACAACAGGAGGATTTTGACACATTGCTGAGGCCAGCACTCAAGATACATAACTCTCCTCCTTTTTCAGAAAATGACTACAAAAAGGGAATTTTGACATATTGCAGGATGCATCACCAGGTGATGTTACTCTTCTGCCTGGGTTCAGCCTAAAGAGGAAATTATGACATATTGCATATTGCTGGGCCCAGCACCCTCGTGATGTGACTCCTGCCTGTGCTGGAGCCACTGAAGGTATATTGACATATCTTGGGCCTATTATTAGGTGTTTTGTCTCATTACCTGGCTGGATTTTTTCCACATGTGAGATGGTGTCATATTGCTAGGTCCAGCACCCAGTTTATGTGACCCAATTTTCTATACCCTGCCTAGAGAAGGCATTGTGGCATATTGGTTTGCACAGTACCTAAGTGATGTTACCCTCCTGCCTAGTTTTTTGTCCACAGATGGAATTATGACAGATACCTTGCTTCAGTTCAAAGGCATGATGATCAAACTTACATTGGGATTGACCTAATAGGGGATATTTTGCCTCTCATACTTAGGTTTAGGGCAATAGGGAAGCCCCAGGTTGCATATTTGTACCATGCTCACAGAAGCTTACACCACTATCTTATATTGTATAAACACATTCGTGGTAGAGAGTTTATTAACAGGAGCCAGCAAAAAGTTCAGATTGGGACTCTCAATTACACAACAAGGAGAAATTAAAAGTTGTCATTATCCCACACTTACAAATCCCACTGTTGAGATTCTCAGTGTAACCAGCGAATATAGTACAAAGTTGGAATTGTTATTTTATATATGCGTCTGGCCAAAGGTTGGATGGTGACTCATTTCTGCACCCAGCCCACAGGCATAATAGGTCTTCCTCCTTAACCCTGCCTGTAGGAGAGATGTTAACTAAAAAACCTGGATTTAGGGCAATATATAAGATTGTGAGTCCATACAAGCATGCAGACCTCAGAGAGGTTTGCATCCCTCATGAAGGTTTTGTAAGTTCCTCAGATGTTGTGGAGAGAGTCATACATTGGTCCAGCACACGCATGAGACTGTGACACTAATATACATGCTCAGCTAAAAGTTAGCTGTCACCCTCAAAGATGAGGAGATTGTGTCATATCATTGGGCCTAGTACCCAGGTTTTGAGACTTTGGGGCTCATATGCCTTTCCATGGGGTCATTGTTACATGTTGCTGGGTCAAAATCATAATAATGTGACTCTTTTGCCCGGGCCCTGTCAACAGGGGATATTATCACATATTTCTGAGCCTATTAGCTAGGTGATGTTTCTCCCCTGACAGTGCCCTGCCCACAGGAAACATTGTGACTTATTGCTAGATATAGAATCTATGTAATGTGACTCTCCTCTCCTGCCTGGATCCTGCCCACAGAAGAAATTGTGACATGCCGCTGGAAGCAAAATCTAGCTGAGTCATATCTCCAAACATTTAGGTGATGTGACTCTCCTCTTCTGCCTGAACATGGCCCGCAAGCGACATTGCGACACAGAGCTGGATCTGGCACACAATTTATGTCACATTTCACAAAGTATTCTACCTACAAAGAAAATATTGGAATATTTCTGGCTTGACATTCAGGTTATTTGGCTGTCGTGATGGTTTCATTACCACAAAGTAAACTTTGACATAAAACTGTGCTCTGTCCACAGGCATGGTAATGACTCTCATATGTGGACCCCCAAAACAGGAGTACTTTTGACGCTCATAGCTTTTTTTTTTTTTTAGAAACAGGAGTGATTATGTCTCGCTAAGGACAAAGTCACAGGTTATAACAACCTCAGATATTTTATAAAGCCTTTGGCTTGTACACAGAGTGTCATAAGAGAACCCAGCAGAAAGGTAAAATTGTAGTGTTACATGCACACCCAGCAGTCAGTAACGACTATCACTGTCTCACATATATGAAGCCAACAGTCACTCATGAAAATAGGACATGCATGGAATTGTAAATCTCATCTCAAGAAATTTCTGCCAGTGTGACTGTGATGTAAATTTTCCTGAGAACCTGTGTGATCTGACTCTGCATACTGGCTCCCACCCCCATATGTTGTTGTGTTATCTACCTGGGCCATCCTCTAGGTGATGTGACTCTCCTGCCTGGGCTTTGCTCTCAGTAAGAATTGTGACTTATCACTAGATCCCACAACCAGGTCATGTTACATTTATTTCTGAGCCATACCCACATAAATCATTGTGACATATCACTGTGTCAACCACTTGGGTGACATAACTCTTCTCATTAGAATGCACACAGTGGAAGATAGTGACATATGGCTGGATGAGGCACACAAGTGATGGTCGTCTTTTGCTAGAGCCTTGTCCTAAAGAGGACATTGTGACAAATCTCTGGGCCTATCATTTAGGTGATGTTGATCTCCAGCATGGTTCCTACTTTCCTGGATAGTGACATATTGCTAGGCTAGGCATGCAGGTGATGGTACACTTTCTACAGGGCCAGACTTCAAGGAGGACTTTGTGACATATCTCTGGGTCTATCATCTAGGTGATGTGACTCCTGGCTTGCATGCTGACCACATAGAATATTGTGACATAAGGGTAGAACCTGCACCTATTTGTTGTAACTCTCTTGTCTGGGTCCTGTCTTAAGGGAGCCATGTGACATATTTCAGGACCCAGCATCAAGGTGATGTGGCTATTCTGCTTGGCTTCACCTCATATACTAGATCGTGTCATATACCTAGGGAATCACCTAGGTGACGTGACTCTACTCTTCTACCTGACCCCTGCCTACTTTTGATATTTGGCCAATTATCTGAGCCTGGGTCCCAAGTGATATGACCCTTTTCTTCTGCTTGCTCCTTTAAAGTGTGGTGATGTGACATATTGCTGAGCCCAATACTTAGCAATATGATTCTACTTTTTATCCCAAGCTATGCACATGAAAAGGAATTTGGACAGATTGCCGGGCCCTGTCCAAATTTTATTCCACTTTTTATCCAAAACTATGCACGTGAAAAGGAATTTGGACGGATTCAGGGGCTCAGCTCCCAGATGATGTTCCTCTTCTGTCTGGGTCCTGCATAAAGAAAGAATTATGGTATATTGCTGGGACCCCCATCCTGATGATGTAACCTTCCTGCTTGTGCCAGAGCAACAGAAAGTATTTTTATTTATCTTGGAGCTATTCTCTAGGTGTTTTTGTTTCCGTTATTTTTCATTTTTGTTTTTTCGCATTTGGGATTGTGTTATATTGCTGGGTCTAGCATCCAGTTAATGTAACCCTCATTTCTAGACCATGCCTAAAAATGTCATTGTGACATATTGCTTGGCACAGCGACATATTGCTTGGCACAGCATCTTCGTTGTGCTATCCTCCTGCCAAGTTTTTTTCCTACAAATGGGATTATGAAATTTACCTTGCTTCATTTCACAGGCAAGATGATCAAACAAATTGAGATTCCACTAATAGTGATATTTTGCTTTTCATCACTACATTTCAAGCAATAAGTAAGGTTATGAGTTGCATATTTTTACAAAACTCACATAAGTTTTCAACACCAACTCATATTCTATAAGCTCCTTGGGTGATACACAGAGTTTTATAACAGGGCCCAGCAAAAGGGTAAGATCGTGACTCTTGATTACATGTGTAGGTGAGAGCAAATGTTGTCACCACACCACATTACAAAGCCCAGTGTGGAAGTCCTGATTTTAAAAAGTAAATAAAGTACAAAGATGGAGTTGTGAGTTTCATATGTGGATCTTGCTATAGGTGAGATGGTGAATCATTTCTGGACCCAGATTACAGGCATAATAATGGGTCTCTTGTCTGAACCCAGACGGGGTTTAGGGCAATATATAAGATTCTGAGTCAATACGAGTATGTAGCCCTCAGAGACATTTGCAACTCTCATGCATATTGCATAAAGCCTCCAGATGTTGCAGAGTGTGTCATGCAATGAACCAAAACACGTGAGAGATTGTGACCCTTATATACACACCAAGCTAACTGTTAAAGGTGTTATATCAAATGATGAGAAGATTGTGTCATATCACTAGGCCTAGTACCCTGGTGTTGAAAGTTTTTGACTTAAATTCTTTACCATGGGTGCATTGTAAAATATGGCTGAGTTAGAGTCGTAATAATGTGGCCAGGTGTGGTGGCTCACGCCTATAATCCTAACGCTTTGGGAGGCTGAGGTGGGCAGATTAGGAGGTCTGGAGATCAAGACCATCCTGGCTAACATGGGGAAATCCTGTCTCTACTAAAAATACAAAAAAAGTTAGCCGGGCCTGGTGGCAGGCACCTCTGTTCCCAGCTACTCAGGAGGCTGAGGTAGGAGAATGGCGTCCACATGGGAGGCAAAACTTGCAGTGAGCCTGGTAAGCCTAGATCATGTCACTGAACTCCAGCCTGTGTGACGGGGGAGACTCTGTCTTAAAAACAAAAACAAAAAAAATTATAGCAATGTAACTTTTCAGCTTGGACCCAACCAACAGGGGACACTGTCAAACACTGTCACATATTTTTGGGCTAATCAGCTAGGTGATGGGTTTCTCCTCCTGGTTTTCTGACCACAGAAGACACTCTGACATATTGCTAAATATAGCATATAGGTAACGTAACTCTCCTCTCTTCCCTGGATCCTGCCCACTGAAGAAATTGTGACATACCACTGAGTGCAAAACCTGGGTGATGTGACTCTCCTCTTTCTCCTGGACTCTGCCAAGAGAGGGAGTTATCAGATATTACTGCACACAGCATTTAGGGAATGTGACTATTCACTATTTTTTCAACCCCGTATACACTGAGCATGATGACATATTTGAGATTGTACCCAGGTGATATGACTCTTCTGACGTTGTCCTGCCTACAAAGGAGATTATAATATATCCCTGGCTCGACACCCTGATTACATAACACTTCTCTCTTGTCTCTGTCCAAAGTTGAAACGGTGACATATACCTGGATTCAGCTCATATGCACAATAATAACCCTCATACCTAGACCTAGCCAGGAGAGATATTTCAACTCTCATAGCCAGTCATTGTGATTCTCAGATCCACACCCAGCTGACGTAATTGTCATTCTCACACATTAACAGAGCCTACAAATGAGGTGCTAAATCTCTCACACCTGAGTAGTTGATATTGTTACTCTCATACATGAATCTGCTCCACAGGTGATTTGATGACGTTTGAACCATTATTCAGTAGAACTGTGGTGCTTTGACTCTCTTACTGGAACACAATTATTAACTGGGATTGGGGCTTTTATACATGGATCTGTCCCCTTGTTGAGACTGTAATGCCTGTACTTCATAGGGGGTGCTGACTCTCATACCTGAAGCCAGGAATTTTGTGGGACTGTGAAACTTATTTCTGAACATTTTCAAGTTTGTGATTGAGAAGTATGACTTTGTTCAGCATCTGAGTGTTTTGACCCTCCTTTCTGGTCCCAGAGCACAGTTGAAATTGTAAAATACATGCACCAAGCACCTTTGGCAATGTGACAAAGGGCACTTTTTCATATCCCTGGGACCAGCACCAAGTTGATATGAACTCTTGGCCTGAACTCTGCCTGTGAAGAGCATTGTGGCTTTTATCTAGGCCTGTCACATAAGTTATGTGATTTTCTTCTACTGCCTTGGCCCTGCACTTACAGTGCATTGTGACACATCACTGTGTACTGCACTCAGGTGTTGTGACTCTTTTTTGGGGAGAGGTTTGCCAATAGGAAACTTTGGAACATATCACTTGTCTCAGTATCTAGGTGAGGTTTCTACTCTTTTGCCTGGGCCCTGACCACCAGAAAGATTGTGAAATATTGCTGAACCCAGCACCAAGTCAGGTCCCTCTCCTGCATGGTCCTGCACACGGGGGAAATTATGACAAATATCCAGGCTAATTTCCTAGGTGAAGTTTGTCTCCTATACTGCCTAAGCCCCGGCAGGCCCTGCCCATGGTGAGGAGAGGGGTTCAGATATCTCACTGAAACCAGCATTTATGTGATGTGACTCTTCTTCCAGAATCCTGCCCACAAGGAGGATTGTGACATTTCAGTGGAGCAGATCCCACTCAGGTGGTGTGACTTTCCTTTCTTCTCCCTGTCCACAGGTGATGTTGTGGAATATACCTGAGACTAGATGAAAGGTCTATCAGTGACTTTTGTACCTGGAGCCAGGACATGTGCAGGATGGTGACTCGTATCCCTAAACTTTTCCACCAGTGTTATTGTGACATATTCCTTTGCCCAGCCCCTGAGTGATTTAATAATCTTGCCTGGTTATAGCTCACTGATGACATTTTGACATATACCTGAGACACGAACCTTGGTGATTTATCAGGGGAACCAACCCCCAATATTTTAACATAGGTTCTTTTCTATTTTCCCTAAGTGTCAGTGGGTCTGAGAAATAAAGAGAAAGAGTACAAAAGAGATAAATTTTAAAGCTGAGTGTCTTGTTGGTCATGTCAGCAGGTTCTGTGATGCCCCCTGAGCTGCAAAACCAGCAAGATTTAATTAGCAATTTTCAAAGGGGAGGGAATGTACAAATAGGGTGTCGGTCACAGAGATCACATGCTTCCCATTTTAAGGGAAAGAAAAAGCTGAACCTCTTATTCAAAGTAGAATGATGATTCTCATTCTCCTGATAAGAAACAAAATAAGTAGCCTCCAGGCATTCCCTTCCACCAGAGGAGCAGTTGTTTTTTAAATAGCCCTTTGGTGCCCAGTCTATTACTAAACCATATGAGCCTTTTTTTCATATTACTGCATGTGAGTTAACACAATCATCCCAAACTAAAGTTTTAGATGGGCCCTCAAAATTTTTAGGGCATGCTTTTCCTGCAGGTTTATATTGAAAGTATGAGGCATCTCCCATTACTCCCCCTTTCATTTGTTTTAAAGGAGAAAGGGAGAGGCCAGAGACCAAATGCCCCGGTTCCTCTGTAGCTGATCTCTCCAGAAGATAAGCAGCCCAGACTAGAGTTTCTAGATGTATACAACCAGCTGCCTGTCTGAGGCACAGAGATGGGCATCTATAACTACAACCCATAGTAACATTAAATGCAGTGGCTTCTTCTCCTGGTTGAGTGGGGCAACAGTCATCTGTAGGTCCAGGCATCCATGCACTGTCATTAGTGTAGATTTCCACAGGAGCATCCATCCAGGTGAGAGGTCAAATAAGTGGAGGAAAAGACACATAAGCCCACTAAGAATAATTTTGTGTAGCAGGTAAATCAGTGTGAGAGGAAACTGGTGAGACAGAATGTATAAGGAGGAGAATCATTAAACAAAACCTATTGTAAGTAAGATTCAGTGCTGAGATTCAGGGAGGAAGAGAAGAACAGAGGGATGTTATTTTCAGGTTAATATGAACGGTGAGATTTTTAGGTCTGTAAGGGGAAAAAGAAAGGTAATTAGGTGAAGTGGGATTGGTTAGATGGGTCTCCATTGCCATCAAGGACGATTGAACCAGACCCATCTTGATTTGGTGGGCCAGCTTCTGAGGAGTTGGCACAGATCTCACCATGGCTGAGGTCCGTCTCTGATGCGGACCTCTGTTCCCTGTGGTTTTTGTCATCAATATTCACATGAAGCTTGATTCTCCTAGTGGATATTCAGAGAGGGGATTGATGATCTCCTGGTGAAATGCAAGCATATCCTCATTTCCACATTAAGTAGAATCAGAGACAATATTTAAAGGTTTAGGGAAATCCTGTAAGACAGTAATTACAGCAATTAAATCTGCCTTTTGAGCAGAGGTATAAAGGGTAGAAATAAGCTTGTCTGTAGGACCCACATAGCCAGCATTTCCATTACTGGAGCCATCAGTGAACACTGTAATGGCCTCAGGAATGGGCTGGTCTTTGGTTAAGCAAGAGACCACCGAAGATGTCATTTTTATAAAATTAAACAATTTGTTTTTTGGATAATGATTGTCAATAACGCCAATAAAATCAGCCAAGTGAATTTGCCACAGTACAGAATGTTGAAAGGTGGCTTGAATTTTGAGCCAATTTAAAGGAACTACAATTAAATTTGGATCAAATCCAGAAATTTCAAGTATTTTACACCAAGCTTGTTCAATTAAGATGGCCAGTTGGGCCAGATAAACAGACAAAGCTTTTGACACAGAATGGGGAAGAAAACACCACTCTATTAAATCATTATGTTGAACTATTAGCCCAGTAGAGGAGTGCAAGGAAGCAAAAACTAGAAGCTGAAAAGGCTGAAATGGCTGTACTCTAGATAGCTGGGCAGTCTGGATTCTTCCCTCTATGAATTCCAGTCCTGGTGAAGCCTCATGTGTCAAACTCCTGGAACTGCAGAGATTGGAATCTCCCCACAGTGTAGAAAACAAGTTAGACAGTGCATAGGTCAGAATGCCTAAAGTAGGTCTTAAATAATTAATGTTACCCAAAGGTTTCAGAAGTCTTTAAAGTTTTCAAAGAATCTCTCCTAATTTGAACTTTTTGAGGTTGAATACGTTGTTTATCAACCACCATTCCTAAATATCAAACAGGAGTGGTCTGCTGAATTTTATTCTGAGTGATGTGCAATCCAGCCTCTGTAACACAATGGCTCAAAATTTGATAACAGTCAATTAATTCTTTATGAAGGGGGGTGGCAACTAAAATATCATCAATATAATGAAGAATATAGGCCTGGGGAATTGGGCTCAAACTGGTGAAAGCACTTGTCTAACATAAAGCTGGCAGATTGTAGGGCTATTCAGCATTCCCTGAGGAAGTGCTTTCATTGATAACGAGCTGCAGGCTCCTGATTATTGATAGATGGTAAAGTACAAGCAAATTTTTCACAATTCAATTCATGTAAAGCAATATAAAAAATGATCTTTAAGATCAAATGAGAGGTCAAAACTTAGATATTAAAGCAGGGGCAGGCATGCCAGGTTGGATGACTCCCATAGGTTTAATTACAGTATTAGTGGCCCTTAAATGAGTTACCATCTGCAACTTTCCTGATTTCTTTTTTTACTAGAAACACAGTAGAATTCCAGGGGAAAAGGGAAAATTCTGCATTACCAAGTTGTAACTGTTCAGAAACTAATTGAGTTAAACCCTCCAGTTTTCTTTAGAAGCCACTGCAGGTGTTTAATCCTCACAGGTGTGTCAGATTAAACTTTAATGTATGCAGGCAACATCTCGTGATCCAGTAAATTTTGTCATTGGATGGAATGCATGGCCATCTTACACTCATGGTTCACATTTTCAAAAGCTAACATACAAAGGAGAACACCTTGAACATGATAATTAGAGACAGATTTTTCAACAGCATCTTGTAATTTAGCTAAAAAATCAGGGTATAATTCAGTGTGACCTTGTTTAACAGTAGTAAAAGAAGCAGGAGCTTGGCCTAGGGTGCGTAATTTATCCCAAGCTCTCATACACACCTTTGCTACTTGTTCTGTGGTAAGAGCATCAAAGTTTAATTGGGCATAAGTATCAGAGAAATTATCAGACCCTGTGAGCTGAGCCTGAGTAGTTAGAATGCCATTAGTCAAATTTAGCTGAGCCTGCAAATAGGCCTTCTCTGACCACCAGGTACAAAACTGTAAATGCTGAGATGGGTTAGAACAGCTATTGCCAAAAGGTCCCAGTCTAAAGGAAGGAAAATGACCTCTGTACAAAAGTTTGTAATACCATTTTAACATAAGGAGAAGTAGGGTCATACTGAGTACAAGCATCCTTAAATTCTTTTAAAAAGGTAAGATTGAGAGGTACACAATGATGCAGACCGGTTGAGGAACTGAAATGACAGGAGGGTGCGGGGATGCGATGGATGGGGGAGTGCTTGGAGAATTAAAGGTAAATTGTAGTTTGGTTCCAGAGCCATTAGCTGACACCAGAGGTTTGAAGAGAGAAGAATTACCACATATATGGAAATGGGCTGTAGGAGTTGGGGCCACGGGAGTTACAAGTACTGGCTTTTCATGAAAAGAAATAAGGTCAGCAGGGGGTAACATTAAGCCAAAGTTACTGGAGTTAGACACTGAATTTTCAGCATCGTTAGGTGGGGGGAGGAGTAGGTGAAGGGAGAGGCTGAGCAGATAACAAAGGCGGTATGGGAAAGGAAAGTTGAGGAGGTATTAGGACAGCATGTACCAAGGCCCAATCACCCCACACAGCGATGGGAACATAATTCCCTGTCGAGACAAGTTCCCAGAATATTGAACCAACATGATCCCATAATTTTACATATAAGTTTCCTTTTTCAGGAAACCAAGGACAGTATTTTTCCACTGCCCTGAATACAGTCACCATATTTTCCATGGTTACTTAGACCCTTCCCCGTTTTAACAGGTCTACATCTAAGTTTCCTTTTTCAGGAAACCAAGGACAGTATTTTCCCACTCTCTTGAATAGAGTGATCATATTTTTCCATGGGCACTCAAACCCTTTCCTCTTTTAACTGGAGTTTAATATAGAAGAGATAAGTATAATTTTTAGACTCTGTATGACCCATAGTTAACCCAGACAAATTCACAGACTACTCACAAATCATCAGGGAGTTGAACAAGTGTTTCTGTGGACCAAACCGATGATGTTTCTCCACACCTACCTACCAAAGGGAATTGGATTCCCACATGCACTTAGGAAAAAGAAAAAAACACATTGGTGCACCAGATATCAGGGGAACCAGCCCCCAATATTTCAATATAGACTCTTTTCTATTTTCCCTAAGTGCAGGCATGTCTGAGAAATAAAGGGAAAGAGTACAAAAGAGAGAAATTTTAAAGCTGGTTGTCTGGGGAAGACATCACATGTCAGCAGGTTCCATGATGCCCCCTGAGCTGCAAAACCAGAAAGTTTTTAATTAGCAAATTTCAAAGGGGTGGGAGTGTACACATTGGGTGTGGGTCACAGAGATCACATGCTTCAAAGGCAATAAAACATCACAAGGCGAATGGGTGGGGCAGGGTCACAAGGCCAGGGTGAAACTAGAATTGCTGATGGAGTTTCATGTCCCACTGTGCATGCATTGTCATTGACAAATGTCTTAACAGAAACAGGGTTCAAGAGCAGAGAACCAGTCTGACTAGAATTCACCAGGCTGGAATTTCCTAATCCTAGCAAGCCTGTGGACACTGCCAGAGACTAGGGCATGTTTCATCCCTATCTACAACTGCATAAGGCAGACACTCCCAGAGTGGCCGTTTTAGAGGCTCCCCTCCCCCGAGGAGTGTATTCTTTTCCCAGGGCTGTTAATTATTAGTATTCCTTACTGAGGAAAGAATTCAGCAATATTTCTCTTACCCATTTTCAGTAATAAGAGAAATATGACTCTGTCCTGCCTGGTTCCCAGGCAGTCAGACCTAATGATTATCTCCATTGTTCCCTGAACATTGGTGTTATCCTGTTCTTTTTTCAAGGTGCCAAGATTTCGTATTGTTCAAACACACATGCTTTATGAACAAGTTTTTCAGTTAACACAATCATCACAGGGTCCTGGGGTGACACACATCCTCAGCTTATGAAGATACTGGGATTAAGAGATTAAGGTAAAGACAGGTATAGGAAATTATAAGAGTATTGATTGGGGAAGTGATAAATGTCCATGAAATCTTCACAATTTATGTTCTTCTGCCATGGCTTCAGCCAGCCCCTCTGTTCGGGTTCCCTGACTTCCCACAACAGTGATTTGAATTTTGTGTCTTAACACTATCCTCAGAAGAAATCATAACATATTTCTAGACTTATCGTCTAGCTTATGTGACTCTCCTCTCCTGTCTGAACCCTGCTTCCTGTGAAGAGTGTAGCATTTTTAAGCACTGCATCCAAATGACATAACCCTCTTGCCTAACCTTTTCAATAGTAGGTATTGTGACATATTTCTGTGCCATCATTTAGGTGGTATGACTCTCCTTTCCTGCCTGGACAATCTCCATAGGAGGCATTATGCCATAGAGTTGGGTTAACACCCCATATTTGTGAGATTTCTGTTCGTGTTTTGCCTACAAAGAGAATATTGGAATATTTCTGGCTTAGGATTTAGGTGACATGGTTTTCCTGCCTGTTTAATAACCACAAAGGGGATGGTGACATATACTTAGGCACAGCTAAAAGGCATAATAATGACTCTCATAGGTGGACCAAGCCAATAGGAGAAATTTTGACTCTTCTAGGTTCATGTACCTGAGTGATTTCCAGGATCTTCTTCTGTAAAATGTCACAGAAGATTACAAAACTCACGCATATCTTATAACACCCTTGGGTTGTATAGAGAGTGTCATAACAGGGCCTAGCACACAAAAGGGATTCTGGGTCTCCAATGCTGAGACCCAGCTGACAGTAAGGACTTTCACTATTACAGATGGATGGAGGCAACTGTCCTACATGAAAACAGCACATGTGTGGTATTTTATTCCATCATAATTGTGATATAAATCTTTGTCAGGTATCTGTGTGATTTTACTCTTCTGACTCGTTCCAGCCAACATATGGGATTTTGACATCTACCTAAGCCAATTTTAAAGTGCTGTGACTCTTCTGCCTGGATCATGCTCAGTAAGAATGGTGACATCGCTGGATCCAGCTCCCAGGTTACTTTACATTAGTGTCTGCACCATGCCCAGAAACATCTTAACAACATCACTGTGTCCATCACTTAGGAGATGTAACTCTCCTCTCTGGAATGAGCCCTGCACACAGGGATGGATGATGACACATTCCTAGGCCAGGCACATCACTGATGATACTATTTTTCCAGGGCCATTCCTCAAAGAGGACATTTTGCCATATCACAGGGCCTATCATGTAGGTTATAGGACCTGCCCACTTGAAGAGTGACATACTGCTAGGCCAGGCACAAAGGTGATGATGCTCTTTTGCCAGAGCCATGCTTTAGGGAAGACTTTTTGACATATCTCTGTGGCTATCACCTAATTAATGTGACTTCCTGCTTGGTCCTGCCCACATGGGGCATTGTGACATAAGGGTGGAATCTGGACCTAGGTGATGTATCTCCCTTGCCTGGGTCCTTTTCTAAGGGTGACAAGTGATGTGAATACATCAGGACCAAGAATCAGGTGATGTGTTTCCTCAGCCTGGTTTCTGCCCACATATTAAATTATGACATATACCTAAGGAAACAACTGGGTTATATGACTCTCTTTTTCTGCTTGAGCCCAGCTTACTGGTGACACTGAGACACATCTCTGAGCCCATGACCTAAGTCATTTGACTCTTCCTCTGTCTGTGCTTCTCTGATGGGAATATTCTGACATATTAATGAGTCCAGCACTTAGGTAATGTGTCTTTTGTTTTCTTGCTGAACAATGCCCACAAACAGGACTTTTCCTGTGCTTCAGGGCCCAGCACCCAGATTATGTCACTCTTCTGCCTAGGTCATGCATAAATGGAAACATTATAGCATATTGCTCAGCCCAGTACTCCAATGATGTAACTCTCCTCCTTCTGCCAGAGCTCCAGAAGGTATTTTGACATATTATTGGCCCATTCTTTAGGTGTTTTGACCTCATCACTTTTCTGGGTTTCTTCAACATGAGTTTGTATCATATTGGTGGCTCCAGCCCCCAGTTCATGTGACCCTCTTTTCTAGGCCCTGCCTAGAGATGACACTGTGACATGTTGTGTGGCACATCAGTTAAGTGATTTTAACTTTTTGCCTAATTTTCTTGCCCACAAATGGGATTAGGATATATACCTTGCTTCAGTTCAAAGGTAAGATGATCAAGCTTATATTGGGATTCAGCCAACAGGGGATATCTTGCCTCAAGCAACTATGTTTATGTCAATAGTTAAGGTCCTTCATTGCATACTTGTGCAGAACTCACTGAAATTTACAATACTAAATCATATCAGAGAAACTTCTTGGCTGGTATAGAGAGTTTGATAATAGGGCCCAGCAAAAAGTTAAGATTGTGACTCTTGACTACATATTCTCAATTTACAAAGCCCATTGTTGAGGTCCTCAGTCTAACAAGTAAATACAGCAGAAAGTTGGAATTGTGACATTCATAAGTGAATGTGGCCACATATAGGATGGTGATTCATTTTTGGCTCCAGGTAACAGGCATAATTGTGGTCTCATTCCTGAGTCCAGTGTATAGGAAATCTGTATTCTGTCATGCCTGGGTTTATGGCTATATATAAGATCATGAGTCCATATAAACATGTAAGCCTCAGAAAGTTTAGCAACTCTGATGCATGCTGAACAAAGTTCCCTGATGTTATAGAGAGTGCCATACAATGACCAGTACATATGTGAGACTGTGGCTCTCATATACACAACTAGCTAACAGTTAATATTTTCGCCCTTAAAAATGAAAAGATGTGTCATATCCATTTGCTTAGTACCCAGGTGTTGAGACTTTTTGGTTTAAATTCCTTTCTATAAGCACTTTGTTACATATCACTGGTTCAGAATCATGATAATGTGATTCTTCTGGCTGGACCTTTTAATCAGGGAATATTTTTAGATATCTCTGGGCCTATTGGCTACCTGATATGTCTCCCTGCCAGTGTCCTGCCCACAGGGGCACTATGACATATCGTGAGATATAGCATCTAGGTAATGTGACTCTCCCCTCCTGCCTGGATTCTGCCGGCTGAAGAAATTGTGACATATTACTGAGTGAAATACCTTGGTGACGTGACTTTCCTTTTTTTCCTAAACTCTGCCAGGCTTTATTTCATAATTCTGAGCTTAGCACCCAGCCAGTGTGATTCTCTTTTTCTTCTTCAAAACTGTCTACATTGGGGATCTGGCATATTATTACAGGCTGTACCCAAGTGATATGTCTCTTCTGTCTAATTTCTGCCCAAATGTTGGATTGTGATGTATAACTAGGGAAGTACCTAGGTGATATGACTCTCCTTTTCTGCCTGGGCCCTGCAGATATTTGTCTGCAGTGGGGAACATCTATGAGCCCTTGGCCTAAGTGAAGAGACTGCTTCTTCTCCCTGGCTTTTATAACAGTGGTTTATGCCATATTGCTGAGCCCAGCCCTCAGGTTATTTTACTTTTTTCTTTTTTCTTGAACCATGATCACACAATAAATTTTGACCTATTGCAGGACCCCAACACACAGATGATGTTAGTCTTTTACCTGGGTCCTGCATATAGAGATAATTATTGCAGATTTCTGGGCCCAGCACCCTGTTAATGTGACTTTCATGCTTGTCCCAGAGCCAAAGAAAGTATTTTGACCTCTCCTGGGCCCATTATGTATGTGTTTTGTCTGTCGTAACTTGGCTTTTTTATTTTTTTATTTTTATTTTATTTGTTTGTTTGTTTGTTTTTGGTGGGGGGATGGAATCTTGCTCTGTCACCCAGCCTGGAGCTCTGGAGTACAATGGTGTGATCTCGGCTCAGTGCAACCTCCGCCTCCTAGGTTCAAGCTGTTCTCCTGCCTCAGCCTCCTGAGTGGCTGGGATTACAGGCATGTGCCACCATGCTCGGCTCATCTTTGTATTTTTAGTAGAGACGGGGTTTCATTATGTTGGTCAGGCTGGTCTAGAACTCTTGTCCTCGTGATTTGCCTGCCTTGGCCACCCAAAGTGCTGGGATTACAGGCGTGTGGCATGGTGCCCAGCCTGGATTTTTTCCCACATTTGAGATGGGGGCATATTGCTGAGTCCAGCATCTAGTTAATGTGACTCTAATTCCTATACACTCCCTAGAGAGGACATTGGGACATGTTACTTGGCACAGCACCTAAGTAACGTTACCCTCCTGCCTAGTTTTTTGCCCACAAATGGGACTATGACATATACCTTATTTCAGTTTACAGGCATAATGGTCAAACTTAAACTTGGATACAGACAATAGGAGATATTTTGCCTTTCATCACTAGGCATAGGGCAATAAGTAAGGTCCTTGGTTGCATATTTGTAGAACGCTCACAGAACTTTACAACACTAACTCATAATGTATAAGTTGCTTGATTGGTACAGAGAGTTTCATGACAGGGACCAGCAGAAAATTCAGATTGGGACCTTCAATTACATGCCCAGGTAAAAGCAAATGTTGTCACCATCCCACATGTCCAAAGCCCACTGTTAACACCGTGAGTCTAACAAGTGAATACAGTACCAGGTTGGAATTTTGACCTTCATATGTGGATCTGGCCACAGGTGGGATGGTGACTTATTTCTGTTTCCAGCTCATAGGCATAATAATGGGTCTCATACCTAAAACCATCCCACATAAAAGATGTTTACTATTATCCATGGGTTTAGGGATATAGGTAAGCTCATGAATCCCTCTGAGCACATAGGCTTCAGAGTAGTTTGCAACCCTGATGCATGCTGTATAAAGCCTTCAAATGTTGTAGAGTGTCATACAATAGCCCAAAGAACACATGATATTGTGAATCTCATATACACACCCAGCTCAATTTAATGATATCACCCACAAAAACAAAAGATTTGACCTATTACTAGGCCTAGTACCCAGGTGTTGAGACTTTTTGGCTTAATTTTTTCCCCATAGATGCATTTTGACATATTGCAGGGTTAGAATCATAATCTTGTTACTTCTGCCTGGACCCTGCAAACAAGGGATATTATCACATATCTCTGGGCCTAAGAGATAGGTGATTTGTCTCTCCTGCCTGTACCCACCCCCAGAGTACATGGTGAAATATCATTTGACCAAACATCTAGGTCATGTGACTCTCTTCTCCTGACGGGGTCCTGCTTACCACAGATGTGGTGACATACCACTGATTACAAAACATAGGTGATGTGACTCTCCTTCATATCCTAAACTCTGTCAAGAGAGGGAATTATTACATTTTGCAGAGCCCAACATCTACTGATTTGACCCTTCTGACTAGGCCCAGCCTACAAATGAGACCATATTGTGTCAGTGGCTCAGTACCCAGGTTATGTGACTCTCCCACATTGTCCCAGCTCATAGGTGAAAGTGTGACATATAACTGGGATAAGCACACATGTGCAATAATGACTCTCATTCCTGGACCCAGCCAGTAGGGATGGTGTGACTCTCATAGCCAGTTGCACTGCCATGGGTAAGGTCCTGGGTTTTTCACTTGCATAATATTCATGAAGGATTATAACGCTGTGGTATATCATATAAAGCCTTATTGGTACATAACAGCGTCATAACAGTGTCATAACAGAGAACAGCAACCAGGTGAGAACGTGACTCTTGTATGCACACCTAGCTGACACGGTAGTCATTCTGACACATAAACAGGGCCTAGGAATGTGATACTAAATCTCACTCATAAAAAGCAGTCAAAGCTTGAAATAATTACTATAGTACATGGATCTGATTCACAGGTAGTTTGGTAATATTTGAAACATGATTCAGCACACTTGTGATGCTCTGACTCTCCTACTGGAACATGATATTCAAGTAGGATTGAGGCTACTATACATGGATCTTGCCCATGGTTGGGATTGTGACTCCTCTACTTCGACCCAACTCATAGAAAGAGTTAACTCAAATACACAAAACCAGGATTCATGTGCGATAAAAAACATATTTCTCAATGTTTCTAAGAGTATGATTGAGACAGGTAAATTTGCCCAGCATATGAATAATTTGACAGTCTCTTCTAGGCCAAAGCCTAGAATGAAATTGTGCCATACGTGGAACAGACACGTAAGCCATGTATAACACCTTCTTTGGCTATGCCTACAAAATGACACTTTTATATATTCCTGGACCATCACCTGGGTAAAGTGAATTATCTGCCTGAAACCTGCCTGCAAATAGAATTGTGTCTCGTATCTCGGTCCATCATGTATGTGATGTGACAACCTTATACTGCCTTGGACAAGCACTTACAGTACATTGTGACACATAAGTGTGCAATGCACCCAGGTGATGTGATTCTCCTTCCTGGGATCTGCCAACAGGAAGCATTGTAATGTATCACTTGGCTCAACACCTAAGTTGTGTTTCTTTTTTGCTTTAGCCTTTGTCTTGATTACAGGGAGATTGTGACATATTGTTGGGTCCAGCACCAATGTGTGATCATGCTCCAGGTTTGGTACTGTACAGAAAAGACACTATGAAATATACCTAGGCCAGTTGCCTAAGTGAATTGTGTCTCCTCTTTTTCCAAAGTCCTGCCCACAGAGGAGTTTTTGATATGTCACTGAAACCAGCAGCCAGGTGATGTGACTTTCCCACAAAGACCTTCACACAAGGGGTATTGTGACATCTCGCAGGACCCACACCCAAGTAGGTGATTTGACTTTCTTGCCTTCTCTGTGTCCACAGGTGATATTGTGCCATATATCTGACACCATAATAAAAGCCTTATAACAACTCATATACCTGGAGCCAGAACATGTGCAAGATAATGACTCTTATTTCTAAACCTCCCCACAAGTATAATTGTGACATAAACCTTTTCCCAGCTCCAGAATGATTTAATAATTTGCCAGGTATAGCCCACAAAAGAGATTTTGACATATACCTGGGCCAAGCACCTTGGTGATTTGACTGTGCTAGTACAATCCTCAGCGGGGATTGTGATAGATTTCTGGACCCATCAACTAGGTTACGGGACTCTCCTCTACCCTCTACTGCCTGTATTCTGCTTCCTTTGGTAATTGTAGCATTTCTAAACACTGCACCCAAGTGATATGACTACTGTGCTTGGGCCCTGTTAACAGGAGGCATTGTTACAAATTTTTGGGCCCACCATTTAGGTGAAATGTCTCTACTCTCCTGCTCTGACACCTCACACAAAGGACACTGTGCAACATATTTGGACCTAGCACAAAAGTTTGGTGGCATTTCTGACAAAGCTTTGCCTACAAAGAGAATATTGGAATAATTCTGGCCCGGCATTTCAATAATATGGCTGTTCCACCTGCTTCATAGCCATACAGAGGATTGTAATATGTACCTAGGCATGGTTCAAAGGAATGATGATGATTGTCATATGGGGATTCAGCTAACAGAGGTTATTTTGACTCTTATAACCAAGTTTAGGTACATGCATGATATCCTGAATAACGTTCTTATACAAATGCCACAAAAGATTACAACATTCGCATATATTTTACAAAGTCTTTGGGTTATAGAGACAGAGTTGTAGCAGGGCTCAGAACACAGGTTAAATTGTGAGTCTTGCATGCACACCCAGCTGACAGTAAAGGCTGTCATCATCTCACACGGATAAAGCCAAATGTCACACATGAAAAAAAGGATATGTGGGGTACTGTAAATCTCACCTTTGCAATTATCTGACACTGTGATTGTGATATAAATCTTTGCCAAGCACCTGTATAATTTGACTCTGCAGACTTATTCCGGCCCAAATATGGTATTGTGCTATCTAGCTAGGCCAACCTCAAGGTGATGTTATTCTCCTGCCTGGGCCCTTCTCTAAGTAAGGATGGTGACATACATCTGAATCTAGCACCCAGCTGATGTTACATTCTTGCCTGTGCCATGTCCACCAAAATTATTGCATATATTTCTATGCCCCCATTATAGGTGATGTATCTCTGCTCTCTGGAATGGGCCATACACAAAGGATGGATAATGACATATTGCAAGGCCAGGCACACAGTTGAGGGTACTATTTTGCCAAAGCCATGTTCAAGGGAGGGCACTGTGATTTATATCCAGGCCTGTCACCTGGGTTATATGGCTCTCCTGCTTGGGCCTTGCCAACCTGGAGTAATATATTTCTAGGCCAGGCACACAGTTGATGGTACTCTTTTGCCAGGACTATACTTCATAGAGGACATTGTGACATACCTTGGGGTCTACCGCCTAGATGAAGTGGCTCCCTCCTTTAGACCTACCCAAATAAAACATTGTGGAATAAGCAGAAAATCTACACCTAGATGATGTAACTCTTTGCTGGGTGCTGTCCTAAGAGAGCCTTGTGACATATCTCAGGACCCAGCACCCAAGTGATGTGGCTCCCCTACCTGGTTTCTGTCTATGTGTTACATTGTGACATATTTCTAGGGAAGCACGTAGATGATATGACTCTCCTCATCTACCTGAGCCTCGCCTACTGGAGATATTGGACATATCTCTGAGCCCATGACCTAAGTGATATGATGTTCTTTGTCTGCCTGGACCTTCACAATAGAAGGATTTTGGCACATTGCTGAGCCCAGCACTCAGGATAGGTGACTCACCTCTTTTTCCTAATCCATGCCCACAAAATAACAAATTTTGACTTATTGCATGGCCCAGCACCCAGATGATGTTACTCTTTAGTGTGGGTTCTGCATAAAGAAAAATTGATGGCATATTGCATATTGCTGGGCCCAGCACCCTTACAATGTGTCTCTCCTGCCTATACTGGAGCCACCGAAGGTTTTTGTTTGTTTGTTTGTTTGTTTGTTTTGACATATCTTGGGCCCACTATGTAGGTGTTTTGGCTCTCATAACTTGGCTGGATTTTTTCCACAAGTGGGACGGTATCATATTGCTGGGTTGAGTACCCAGCTAATGTGACCCAATTTATCATACCCTGCCTAGAGAAGGCATTGTGACACAGCATCACAAGGCACTGTGACACAGTATCTAAGTGATGTTACCCTCCTGCCTAGTTTTATGCCCACAAATAGGATTATGACATATACCTTGCTTCAATTCACAGGCATGATGATCAAACTTATATTTGGATTCAGCCAATAGGAGATATTTTGCCTCTCATTGCTAAGCTTAGGGCAATAGATAAACTCTGGGGTTGCATATATATTCAAAGCTGACAGAAGCTTACAACACTAACTTATATTGTATAACCTCTTTGTTGGTAGGGAGTTTCACAACAGGACCCCACAAAAAGATTAGATTGGGACTTTCAGTTATGCACCCAGGTGAAATTACAAGTTTTCACCATCCCACATTTACAAAGCCCACTTTTGAAGTCCTGAGTGTAACAAGGAAATACAGCAGAGGTGGAATTGTGACTTTTATATGTTGATCTGGCCACATGTGGAAAGATGACTCATTTCTGGACCCAGCCCACAGACATAATAATGGGTCTTCTCCCTTAACCCTGACTATAGGAGAGATGTTGACTATCAAACTTAGGCTTAGGACAATATGTAAGATTGTAAGTCCATATGAGCACCTAGGCCTCAGAGAGGTTTACAATCTTCATGGAGGTTTTTTTCTTTTTTTTCTTTTTTTTTTCTTTTTTTTTTTTTTTCTTGAGATGAACTCTCACTCTGTCACCCAGGCTGGAGTGCAGTGATGTGATCTCAGCTTACTGTGACATCTTTCCTATGAGTTCAAGCGATTCTTTTGCCTCAGCTTCCAAAGTAGCTGGGATTAAAGGTGCCTGCCACCACATCTGGCCAATTTTTTGTATTTTTAGTAGATACGGGGTTTCACCATCTTGGTCAGATGGGTCTTGAACTCCTGACCTCGTGATCTACCCACCTCAGCCTCCCAAAGTGCTGGGATTACAGGCATGAGCCACCATACCTTGCCTCTTCCTGCAGGTTTTATAAAGCCCTGAGATGTTGTACAGAGTTTCATATATTGACCCAGCTCACATGTTTCTAATATACACCCTCACCTAAAAGTTAAAAGTGTCAACCTCAAAAATCATGAGATTGTGTCATGTCACTGGGCCTAATATCGAGGTGTTGTGAGATTGTGGCTTAATTTTTTTTTCCATGGGCGCATTCTTACATATCACTTGGTCAGAATAATAATAATGTTACTCTTTTGCAGGAGCCTTGTCAACAGGGGATATTATCACATATCGCTGGGCCTATCAGCTAGGTGATATGCCTCTCCAGCCCGTGCTCAACCCCCTGAGGACATTTAGAAATATCGCTGAAACTAGCATCTAGGAAGTGTAATTCTCTTCCCCTGCCTGAGTATTGCTTGTCAAAGGAATTGTGACATATGATTGATTACAAAACCTAGGTGGTATTTCTCTCTTCTCCATTCAAGGGTTTATTTCCGTGCTGCATTCTGTTTCATTACTTTAGTGTTCTACTTTTATACCAGTACCAAAATTCTTTGGTTACTGTAGGTTTTTGTGCGTGTTTGAAAATTGTTAAATGTAAGGCTTCGAATATTTTTCTTCTTTTTCAAGATTGTCAGGCTTTTTATAGTCCTTTGAGATCTTACAGGTTTTTTTTTTCTATTTTTGAAAAATATAATTAAAATTAAAAAGAGGTGTGTTGAGTATTGGGTCACTAAGCAGCATGGACATCTTCACAATATTATGTCTTCCAACCCTTGAAATAAAGCCTACTCAAAGTTGTGTTGTTGGCTGAGGATGGTGGCTTGTGCCTGTAATCCCAGTACTTTGGGAGTCCGAAGAGGGTGCATGGAGAAGTCAGCAGAGTGAGAAAATTCTTGGCAAAATGGCAAAACCCAATCTCTACTAAAATACAAAAAACTTAGCTGGGCCTGGTGGTACATGTCTGTAGTTGCAGCTACTTGAGAGGCTGAAGCAGAAGAATCCTTTGTCCCCAGAAACTGGAGGTTGCAGTGAACCAAGATTGTGCCACTGCACTCCAGCCTAGTGACAGAGTGATACTCCATCAAAAAAGAAATTTAAAAAAGAAAAAAAAAACTGTGTATTTTAATATTTTTATTTTTTGAATTGTTCAGCTTTTCTTCTTTTACTAATTTCTAGTTTCATTCCATTTGGGCTGTAAATAATTGTAAAATTTCAATTAAAAAATCGTAAAGGCTTCTTTTCTGGTGTTACAGGTTGTCTGTGTAGAAAAATGTTTTATAAGCTATTGAAAAGAATGTGTATTCTGTTGTCTGTATACATTTATTAAGTGTAATGATTGTATAGTGCATTCAATTATTTTGTTTCCTTATTGATATTCTGTCTTGTTTATTTTTTACTGAAAGTGAGATATTGATGTATGCATCCATTATTATATTGCTGTCTATTTTTGCATCAATTCTGTCAATGTTTGCTTCATGTGTTTGGGAAAAGTTTCATATATTTGCAGGTTGTCTGTTAATGAAACCTTTTACTATAATTGAATGTACTACTTTGTTTCTTGTGAAATTTGACTAAAAGTAACTTTTGTTAAATATTACAGTTGTCAACTTAATATATTTTTGCCTCTTCTCCTCTCATTTGGTGAACATTTGCATGGAATGTATTTTTCATCCTGGCATTTTCAGTTTATGTTTTTATTGGCTCTGAAGTGAGTCTCTTGAAGCCATGACAGAGATCTTGATATAGATCTTGATGTAGTTAGATTTTTTTTTATTTTGAAGGATACAGTATTCTTGCTTAGACTCTTTTTCCTATGTTTTGACTATGTCATTCTCCTCTCTTCTTGCCTGAAATATTTATGTTCATAAATTTTCTGGTAATCTTGCAGAACCATGCATACAAATAACACATCTCTTTGCTTCGTGCATTTCAGATTCTCTTCAAGTCTTTGACTTACAAAAACTGGTTATGTTTTGTCTTGTTAGAAATCTCTTTTTGTTAAACTTAGTTAAAATTTTCTAAGATTCTTGATTTTCTTATTTTTTTACTAATGTCGAAGTGCATATTGCTTTTTGGACTTATATGCCAAAATTTTTATTTCTTTCTGTGCTTTCCATTTTTTGTTGGCTTCATTTTTGTTCTTTTATTTTGTTTTCTTTATTTCCACTTTACTCACTGAGCATCTTTGAGATGATAATTTTGATTGTTAAGGTAATTTATTTTTTCTTTTCAAAAATAGATCTAGAATTTAAATCAAATTTTCTCGGGTAATTTTTCCATCTTCATTTCATAATAATTGATTCCTGAATGTTTATTTTTAGTTTTGGTTTAATCATATTATCTGACGATTTGTATGTCTTGTAATCTTAGGTTACAATTTGTATAACAAAAAGCTATATGTCAAAATCTTTACTAAGTGTCCTTTGTCTTAAAAACATGTTGCCAATTTTTTAGACTAGAGATTCTTGGAGTCTCTCAGTCTGTTCTATGAATGTTTTCTCTGTGCTTGAGTGTTTTTTAGTTAAAAAAGTTTCCCTACGTTTTTTCTTTTAAAATTTTTTATATTTATTTATTTATTTATTTTATAATACAACAGTATTTTTCTCTTTTTTTAATTACACTTTAAGTTTTAGGGTACATGTGTACAACATGCAGGTTAGTTATATATGTATATGTGTGCCATGTTGGTGTGCTGCATCCATTATCTCGTCATTTAACATTAGGTATATCTATCTCCTAATGCTATCCCTCCCCCCTCGCCCCACGCCACAACAGGCCATGGTGTGTGATGTTCCTCTTCCTGCGTCCATGTGTTCTCATTGTTCAATTCCCACCTATGAGTGAGAACTTGCGGTGTTTGGTTCAGTTCCCATCTATGAGTGAGAACTTGAGATAGTTTGCTGAGAATGATGGTTTCCAGTTTCATCCATGTCCCTGCAAAGGACATGAACTCATCCTGTTTTATGGCTGCGTAGTATTCCATGGGATATATGTGCCACACTTTCTTAATCCAGTCTATCATTGTTGGACATTTGGGTTGGTTCCCAGTCTTTGCTATTGTGCATAGTGCCTCAATAAGCATATGTGTGCATGTGTCTTTATAGCAGCATGATTTATAGTCCTTTGGGTATATACGCAGTAATGGGATGGCTGGGTCAAATGGTATTTCTAGTTCTAGTTCCCTGAGGAATCACCACACTGACTTCCACAATGGTTGAACTATATTATGTCCCACCAACAGTGTAAAAGTGTTCCTATTCTCCACAACCTCTCCAGCATCTGTTGTTTCCTGACTTTTTAATGATCGCCATTCTAACTGGTGTGAGGTGGTATCTCATTGTGGTTTTGATTTGCATTTCTCTGATGGCCAGTGATGATGAGCATTTTTTCATGGTTTTTTGGCTGCGTAAATGTCTTCTTTTGAGAAGTGTCTGTTCATATTCTTCGCCCACATTTTGATGGGGTTGTTTGTTTTTTTCTTGTAAATTTGTTTGAGCTCATTGTAGATTCTGGATATTAGTCCTTTTTCAGATGAGTAGATTGCAAAAATTTTCTCCCATTCTGTAGGTTGCCTGTTCTCTCTGATGGTAGTTTCTTTTGCTGTGCAGAAGCTCTTCAGTTTAATTAGATCCCATTTGTCAATTTTGTCTTTTGTTGCCATTGCTTTTGGTGTTTTAGACATGAAGTCCTTGCCCTTGCCTAGGTCCTGAATGGTATTGCCTAGGTTTTCTTCTAGGGATTTTATGGTTTTTGGTCTAACATTTAAATCTTTAATCCATCTTAACTTAATTTTTGTATAAGGTGTAAGGAAGGAATCCAGTTTCAGCTTTCTACATATGGCTAGCCAGTTTTCCCAGCACCATTTATTGAATGCGGAATCCTTTCCCCATTTCTTGTCTTTGTCAGGTTTGTCAAAGATCAGATAGTTGTGGATGTGTGGTATTATTTCTGAGGGCTCTGATCTGTTCCAATGGCCTAGATCTCTGTTTTGGTACCAGTACCATGCTGCTTTGGTTACTGTAGCCTTGTAGTATAGTTTGAAGACAGGTAGCATGATGTCTCCAGCTTTGTTCTTTTGGCTTAGGATTGACTGGGCAATGCAGTCTCTTTTATGGTTCCATATGAACTTTAAAGTAGTTTTTTCCAATTCTGTGCAGGAAGTCATTGGTAGCTTCATGGGGATGGCATTGAATCTACAAATTACCTTGGGCAGTATGGCCATTGTCACGATATTGATTCTTCCTATCCATGAGCATGGAATGTTCTTCCATTTGTTTGTGTCCTCTTTTATTTCACTGAGCAGTGGTTTGTAGTTCTACTTGAAGACGTCCTTCACATCCCTTGTAAGTTGGATTCCTAGGTATTTTATTCTCTTTGAAGCAATTGTGAATGACAGTTCACTCATGATTTGGCTCTCTGTTTGTCTCTTATTGGTGTATAAGAATGCTTGTGATTTTTGCACATTTCTTTTGTGTCCTGAGACTTTGCTGAAGTTGCTGATCAGCTTAAGGAGATTTTGGGCTGAGATAATGGGGTTTTCTAGATATACAATCATGTCATCTGCACACAGGGACAATTTGACTTCCTCTTTTCCTAATTGAAAATCCTTTATTTCCTTCTCCTGCCTAATTGCCCTGGCCAGAACTTCCAACACCATGTTGAATAGGAGTGGTGAGAGAGGGCATCCCTTTCTTGTGCCAGTTTTCAAAGGGAATGCTTCCAGTTTTTGTCCATTGAGTATAAGATTGGCTGTGGGTTTTTCATAATTAGCTCTTATTATTTTTAGATACGTCCTGTCAATACCTAATTTATTGAGAGTTTTTAGCATGAAGTGCTGTTGAATTTTGTCAAAGACCTTTTCTGCATCTATTGAGATAATCATGTGGTTTTTGCCTTTGTTTCTTTTCTGTTTATATGCCGGATTACGTGTATTGATTTTCATATGTTGAAACAGCCTTGCATCCCAGGGATGAAGCCCACTTGATCATTGTGGATAAGCTTTTTGATGTGCTGTTGGATATGGTTTGCCAGTATTTTATTGAGGATTTTTGCATAGATATTCATCAGGGATATTGTTCTAAAATTCTCTTTTTTGGTTGTGTCTCTGCCAGGCTTTGGTGTTAGGGTGATGTTGGCCTCATAAAATGAGTTAGGGAGGATTTCCTCTTTTTCTATTGATTGGACTAGTTTCAGAAGGAATGGTACCAGCTCCTCCTTGCACCTCTGGTAGAATTCGGCTGTGAATCCATCTGGTCCTGGACTTTTTTTTGTTGGTAAGCTGTTAATTATTGCCTCAAATTCAGAGCCTATTATTGGTCTATTCAGAGATTCAACTTCTTCCCGGTTTAGTCTTGGGAGGGTGTATGTGTCAAGGAATTTATCAATTTCTTCTAGATTTTCTAGTTTATTTGCCTAGAGGTGTTTGTAGTATTCTCTGAAGGTAGTTTGTATTTCTGTGGGATCAGTTGTGATATCCCCTTTATCATTTTTTATTGCATCTATTTGATTCTTCTCTCTTTTCTTCTTTATTAGTCTTGCTAGTGGTCTATCAGTTTTGTTGATCTTTTCAGAAAACCAGCTCCTGGAATCATTGGTTTTTTGAAAGGCTTTTTATGTCTCTATCTCCTTCAATTCTGCTCTGACCTTAGTTATTTCTTGCCTTCTGCTAGTTTTTGAATGTGTTTGCTCTTGCTTCTCTAGTTCTTTTAATTGTGATGTTAGGGTGTCAATTTTAGATCTTTCCTGCTTTCTCTTGTGGGCATATAGTGCTATAAATATCCATCTACACACTGCTTTAAATGTGTCCCAGAGATTCTGGTATGTTGTGTGTTTGTTCTCATTAGTCTCAAGGTACAACTTTATTTCTGACTTCATTTCGTTAGGTACCCAGTAGTCATTCAGGAGCAGGTTGTTCAGTTTCCATGTAATTGAGAGGTTTTGAGTGAGTTTCTTAATCCTGAGTTCTAGTTTGATTGCACTGTGGTCTGAGAGACATTTTGTTATAATTTCTGTTTTTTTACATTTGCTGAGGTGTGCTTTACTTCCAACTATATGGTTGATTTTGGAATGGTTGGGGTGTGGTTCTGAGAAGAACGTATATTCTGTTGATTTGGGGTGGAGAGTTCTGTAGACATCTATTAGGTCCGCCTGGTGCAGAGCTGAATTCAATTCCTACAATAATAACAGGAGACTTTAACACCCCACTGTCAACATTAGGCAGATCAATGAGACAGAAAGTTAACAAGGATACCTTCAATTTCTTTAATGATTTTATGGAATTGCTATTTTACATTCTCCTGTCTTTATCTCTACATGTTCAATTAGAAAATCCTCAGTGAATACTTTTCAGTATGATAGAGAAAATATTGTGCAATTAATTACTGATAGATACACAGTGAAGTAATTTCTGGTTTTCATTTGGTGCTCTCACACTGAGGATAGAAAAGTCTTGGTTGTAATCTTACATGATGAGGAGTTCTACTATGCTGTTTTCTTTTGCTCTGTGATCTACTGTCACAGTTGTTTGAACTTGCCACTGAAAAAAGTGGGAAATTGTTTCCCTCATGTCTACTCATCTCCCTTTCATAGGTTTTCTGGTGGTGCATTGTCTAGATGGCTTAGTAGCTCATGATCACAGAGGTCATATTTGACAAGAGAAAGCTTTGTTGCTCCAGGACTAAGTGAAGGTGTTTACCACCTAGTGCCTAAGGTTTCTCCAGAGCCACGATGGAGCTTAAAAACCATTACTGAAACCAGAAAGTGATGGCAGACATTGAGGGCTGCCCAGAGTAGAAAGCAAAATGCTCCCTTTTGCTTTACAAGTGGTCACTGCTTATTTGGTCATTAATGTTGCTTCTGACCATGACGTGTTTCTTGTTCATCTTTCTTGGTATTCCACTGAAGGTGCATCTAAGGAAACGAGCCCTGTGTGATAGTGGTAAAGAGAACAACTGCATCCTTCTGTAGCTGATGCCTTGTTGAGCTTTGAAGCACATTGAGAAGAATCTGAAATCCTTCCTCATTATGGGGTAAGTTGTGTCAAATTTGACTCCCATGTAAATGGCAGCAGGTTCACGATGTCAAAGAAGAAACTCAGAATCAGTAAATAGGATATGGAGTTTTACTGGCGACTTACATAGAGGAGAGAAAGTCCAGTGTCAGTGGGCTTAGCAGGATAACCACGTCCACTTGGAAAAAGCATGCAGTGTGCATAGCATATTTATTAAGCACATTTTTTCTGAACAATCTTTTATCTGTTGTCCTTCATTTAACAAAAAATAAGGGCCTCAGTCCCCTGTGTGGCCTACTCCATACCACAGCATGGGAGAGAGCAAAGGCTCAGACTTTCCTCATAGATAAAGAGTAATCTCCAGGTTGGCCACTACTAGATTTTTTTTTTTTTTTTTTTTGAAATGAAGTTTCACTCTTGTTGCCCAGGCTGGAGGGTGTTTGCACAATCTCAGCTCACCGAAACCTCCGCCTCACAGGTTCAAGTGATTCCTCTGCCTCAGCCTTCTGAGTAGCTAGGATGACAAGCATTTGCCATGATACCTGGCTAATTTTGTATTTTTAGTAGAGACCAGGATTCTTCATGTTGATAAGGTGGTTCTTGAACTCCTGACCTCAGATGATCCATCTGATTTGGCCTCCCAAACTGCTGGGAGTACAGGCCTGACCCACTGCAGCTGGCCAGGCCACTAGTAGATTTTTAGCTTGAAACTCTGAACACTCAGAAACATTTTTTATATAAGATCAGTCTTCAGGTATGTGCAAGACAAGTTACCACTGTCAGTTGCATCCATCATACAGGCTGGTCCAGGCAGTGGAGGTTCTTCTTCCTGAGAATCTAGATTCAAACTTTTTTTTTCCTTTTTCTTGAATCCTTGGATTAACAGGAGTTTATCTAAAAAGCCTGATGTGTGTGCACATTGCTGGTATGGTTTTCTAAGTAAATGAGATGGCTTCTTACTTGGTAGGGTTTGTTCCTGTTACAGGTGTGTTCAGGCTGCTGAGGTGCCCATTCTCAAGATTTTCACTGGACATTCTGGGGTCCCAGTTCAAGTATTTTCCAATGTGAGTCAAGGTGAACCAGAGCCTGAAATTTTGGTTCAGTGTGGCCAGGCTGAGGCTGCCCTTTTAAAGGGAGAAATGTCAGGTTTGTGTCTTATTTTCCTTGTCATTTTAACATATCTTTTGGAATGGAGACCAGAAAAGAATCTGGATATTTGACAGCCCTCCTCCTAGATCTGGTACTATCTATACATGACTCTTAAGTGTCAACGTAGTTTGAGAGATCTCTCTTCCTGGAATAGCCTGAGTAGCCTAAAGAACAATGATCCTTGATGCTTGGCTCATGTGGTCTTCAGAGGAATTTCAAAAACCATAGAATTTGGAGGGTAGAGAAAGAGCTGTTACAAGTGATATGTTGCAGATGAAATAACTGGAGGCACGAAGTAAATGGGACCTGCTTGGAATGGTACACACACTGCCTGAGTGCAGTTGAACAGTCAAGCCAGTTCTCTGATTTGGGCCTACACTCACAATGAAGAGGAATATTTTTCCTCAAGGGAAGCCCAGGGGTTCTGAGGATTATGGGTGCCAGTGAAGAAAAAATGTGATGCCTCAGCCTAGTGCTTTTGCTGCTCCTGGCTTGTGACTTTGGGGATTCAATTTTCTCATTAGAGACATGGGCAATGGAAGTCACTCAGTGACTGGCTGCTCACCCAAGTTTTACCAGGCCACTACCCAGTGCGCACCCTGGAGTTCCAGGTACAGCTTGTGGTTCAAAAGGCTGGGGGATCTCTTGGGTGAGTTGAGGGCTTTGAGGGGGTTCTCCCACTCAGGGACCACTCATACCTACCCTTGTGTGCCCATCTGACAGCTCAGCATGTCTGCTGTATGCCACCCTTACTTTCTGCTCTGGCCAAGCCCATGTCTCCCCGGATTGGCTAGGGGCACTTGCTCACTAAGTCCCAGGTGACCTGTCCGTCCTTCCTCCAATGCACATCTTCAGGCAGGTGTCACCCAAATTTCCTCCTAGAGTGTGATCTCTGTGGGTTAGAGCAGCACATTCTGCTACAGCTTATTGACGAGTTACTAAATCACTGAATTTTCCAAGAAGAATGTGATCCTTGACACTCTTGATCTCCTTCTAGGGGGGCTGCACTTGTGGTTGCCATCCTGATTTCTTTGTGGAAATACCTAGTGGGTGAGGAAGGACTCAAGGACCGGGAACATGACAGAGCACCTAGGCTGACCTACCACGTGGCCCTCTGAGATCACTGCTGGCAGGAGTGTTTCATGGAGCTCCAGGCCCCTATTCTAAGATGCTTGCCCATAGCCCCTTCCGTGACTTCCAGGAAAGGTCTACTCTTTTAGCAAGCTGCACCCACTGGTCTCTAGGAGACAAGTATTCATTTACCTTTGTGTAAGTCACCTTCTGCTTCATTTCTATTAAATGTTCTCCTGGAAAAAAATGCCTAAGGAATGCTGGGTCTGTGCTGGAGCTTCTCTAAGTGCCAAAATCAGTAAGACGGTCTCAAAGATATAATTAATAGCACTTTCTACACAATATCTCAGGTTACTTTTGACCAATAATGTGTAAAACTAATACTATCCTTTCATTCTTCATATTACTTTATTTAGGTCATCATACAAACATTTCATTTTCTTGAAATTTTTTATGCCAATTATTGTATTTTCTCTACTTTGTTCTAATTGCTACCATTTTAGATGCAAAATTTTAGTAATATAATATGCTGCATAAAGGCTAATAGGTGATCACAACTTATTTAAACTGTAATTAGATTTCTTAAGTAAATAATTTCAGAAAACTGAGTTTATATTATTTGTATGAATTATTTTACATCTTATCCTCTATCTTAAGAAAATTTTAGCTGCATATGCAATTCAAAATTGGCAGATTTTTTAAATAGGCAACTTTAAAACATTTCATTGAATATGTTTGGTAATACAATTCTAAAATATTTTATTTTAGAAACCAACACACTTGACAGTTGATATTCATATTATCTATGAAAGTAACATTATGAACATGCTTTTATAGTTTCCCAAAAGAAGAAAAAAGTCTATTCTGGTCTTCAGTAGTAAAACTTAAAGATTATGGAAATGAGATTAAATTTATTCACTAAAATACTTACAAAAACTGAGATTCATTAACTTGTTCTTTATTATTTACTATATGATAATGAACAGATTATAAGATGTTCAGAATTTGCTTCATTATAGAAATAAAGCCAAACATCTCTTTGAAAGAATCATTACAATTAAACAGAAGAAACCTATCATTTATATTATTTTAAAAATCACTGGAGGAGCCAAGATGGCCGAATAGGAACAGCTCCGGTCTACAGCTCCCAGGGTGAGTGAAGCAGAAGATGGTGATTTCTGCATTTCCATCTGAGGTACCCAGTTCATCTCACTAGGGAGTGCCAGACAGTGGGCGCAGGTCAGTGGGTGCGCGCACCATGTGCAAGCCGAAGCAGGGCCAGGCATTGCCTCACTTGGGAAGTACAAGGGGTCAGGGAGTTCTCTTTCTGAGTCAAAGAAAGGGGTGATGGACGCACCTGAAAACTCGGGTTACTCCCACCAGAATACTGCTCTTTTCTGACCGGCTTAAGAAACGGCACACCACGAGATTATATCCCACACCTGGCTCAGAGGGTCCTATGCCCACGGAGTCTTGCTGATTGCTAGCACAGCAGTCTGAGATCAAACTGCAAGGTGGCAGCGAGGCTGGAGGAGGGGCGCCCGACATTGCCCAGGCTTGCTTAGGTAAACAAAGCAGCAGGGAAGCTCGAACTGGGTGGAGCCCACCACAGCTCAAGGAGGCCTGCCTGCCTCTGTAGGCTCCACCTCTAGGGGCAGGGCACAGACAAACAAAAAGACAGCAGTAACCTCTGCAGACTTAAATGTCCCTGTCTGACAGCTTTGAAGAGAGCAGTGGTTCTCCCAGCAAGCAGCTGGAGATCTGAGAAGGGGCAGACTGCCTCCTCAAGTGGGTCCCTGACCCCTGACCCCCGAGCAGCCTAACTGGGAGGCACCCCCCAGCAGGGGCACACTGACACCTCACACGGCAGGGTATTCCAACAGAACTGCAGCTGAGGGTCCTGTCTGTTAGAAGGAAAACTAACAAACAGAAAGGACATCCACACCAAAAACCCATCTGTACATCACCATCATCAAAGACCAAAAGTAGATAAAACCACAAAGATGGGGAAAAAACAGAACAGAAAAACTGGAAACTCTAAAAAGCAGAGCGCCTCTCCTCCTCCAAAGGAACGCAGTTCCTCACCAGCAACGGAACAAAGCTGGATGGAGAATGACTTTGACGAGCTGAGAGAAGAAGGCTTCAGACGATCAAATTAATCTGAGCTACAGGAGGACATTCAAACCAAAGGCAAAGAAGTTGAAAACTTGAAAAAAAATTAGGAGAATGTATAACTAGAATAACCAATACAGAGAAGTGCTTAAAGGAGCTGATGGAGCTGAAAACCAAGGCTCAAGAACTACATGAAGAATGCAGAAGCCTCAGGAGCCGGTGCGATCAACTGAAAGAAAGGGTATCAGCGATGGAAGATGAAATGACTGAAATGAAGTGAGAAGGGAAGTTTAGAGAAAAAAGAATAAAAAGAAATGAACAAAGCCTCCAAGAAATATGCGACTATATGAAAAGACCAAATCTATGTCTGATTGGTGTACCTGAAAGTGACAGGGAGAATGGAACCAAGCTGGAAAACACTCTGCAGGATATTATCCAGGAGAACTTCCCCAATCTAGCAAGGCAGGCCAATGTTCAGATTCAGGAAATACAGAGAACACCACAAAGATACTCCTCAAGAAGAGCAAGACACATAATTGTCAGATTCACCAAAGTTGAAACAAAGGAAAAAATGTTAAGGGCAGCCAGAGAGAAAGGTCGGGTTACCCTCAAAGGGAAGCCCATCAGACCAAGAGTGGATCTCTCGGCAGAAACCCTACAAGCCAGAAGATAGTGAGGGCCAATATTCAACATTCTTAAAGAAAAGAATTTACAAACCAGAATTTCATATCCAGCCAAACTAAGCTTCATAAGCGAAGGAGAAATAAAATACTTTACAGACAAGCAAATGCTGAAAGATTTTGTCACCACTAGACCTGCCCTAAAAGAGCTCCTGAAGGAAGCGCTAAACATTCAAAGGAACAACAAGAACCAGCCACTGGAAAATCATGTCAAAATGTAAAGACCATCAAGACTAGGAAGAAACTGTATCGACTAACGAGCAAAATAACCAGCTAACATCATAATGACAGGATCAAATTCACACATAACAATATTAACTTTAAAAGTAAATGGACTAAATGTTCCAATTAAAAGACACAGACTGGCAAATTGGATAAAGAGTCAACACCCATCAGTGTGCTGTATTCAGGAAACCCATCTCACGTGCAGAGACACACATAGGCTCAAAATAAAAGGATGGAGGAAGATCTACCAAGCAAATGGAAAACAAAAAAAGGCAGGGGTTGCAATCCTAGTCTCTGATAAAACAGACGTTAAACCAACAAAGACCAAAAGAGACAAAGAAGGCCACTACATAATGGTAAAGGGATCAATTCAACAAGAAGAGCTAACTATCTTAAATATATATGCACCCAATACAGGAGCACCAAGATTCATAAAGCAAGTCCTGAGTGACCTACAAAGAGACTTAGACTCCCACACAATAATAATGGGAGACTTTAACACCCCACTGTCAACATTAGACAGATCAAAGAGACAGAAGGTTAACAAGGATACCCAGGAATTGAACTCAGCTCTGCACCAAGCGGACCTAATAGACATCTGCAGAACTCTGCACCCCAAATCAACAGAATATACATTTTTTTTCAGCACCAAACCACACTTATTCCAAAATTGACCACATACTTGGAAGTAAAGCTCTCCTCAGCAAATGTAAAAGAACAGAAATTATAACAAACTATGTCTCAGACCACAGTGCAATCAAACTAGAACTCAGGATTAAGAATCGCACTCAAAACCACTCAACTACATGGAAACTGAACAACCTGCTCCTGAAGGACTACTGGGTACATAACGAAATGAAGGCAGAAATAAAGATGTTCTTTGAAACCAACGAGAACAAAGACACAACATACCAGAATCTCTGGGACGCATTCAAAGCAGTGTGTAGAGGGAAATTTATAGCACTAAATGCCCACAAGAGAAAGCAGGAAAGATCCAAAATTGACACCCTAACATCACAATTAAAAGAACTAGAAAAGCAAGAGCAAACACATTCAAAAGCTAGCAGAAGGCAATAAATAACAAAAATCAGAGCAGAACTGAAGGAAATAGAGACACAAAAAACCCTTCAAAAAATTAATGAATCCAGGAGCTGGTTTTTTGAAAGGATCAACAAAATGATAGACCGCTAGCAAGACTAATAAAGAAAAAAAGAGAGAAGAATCAAATAGATGCAATAAAAAATGATAAAGGGGATATCACCACCGATCCCACAGAAATACAAACTACCATCAGAGAATACTAAAAACACCTCTATGCAAATAAACTAGAAAATCTAGAAGAAATGGATAAATTCCTGGACACATACACTCTCCCAAGACTAAACCAGGAAGAAGTTGAATCTCTGAATAGACCAATAACAGGATCTGAAATTGTGGCAATAATCAATAGCTTACCAACCAAAAAGAGTCCAGGACCAGATGGAATCACAGCCAAATTCTACCAGAGGTACAAGGAGGAACTGGTACCATTCCTTCTGAAACTATTCCAATTAATAGAAAAAGAGGGAATCCTCCCTAACTCTTTTCCCGAGGCCAGCGTCATTCCGATACCAAAGCCAGGCAGAGACACAACAAAAAAAGAGAATTTTAGACCAATACCCTAGATGAACACTGATGCAAAAATCCTCAATAAAATAATGGCAAAACGAATCCAGCAACACATCAAAAAGCTTATTCACCATGATCAACTGGGCTTCATTCCTGAGATGCAAGGCTGGTTGAATATATGCAAATCAATAAATGTAATCCAGCATATAAACAGAGCCAAAGACAAAAACCACACGATTCTCTCAATAGATGCAGTAAAAGCCCTTGACAAAATTCAACAACCCTTCTGCTAAAAACTCTCAATAAATTAGGTATTGATGGGACGTATTTCAAAATAATAAGAGCTATCTATGACAAACCCACAGCCAATATCATACTGAATGGGCAAAAACTGGAAGCATTCCCTTTGAAAACTGGCACAAGACAGGGATGCCCTCTCTCACCACTCCTATTCAACATAGTGTTGGAAGTTCTGGCCAGGGCAATTAGGCAGGAGAAGGAAATAAAATGTATTCAATTAGGAGAAGAGGAAGTCAAATTGTCCCTGTTTGCAGACGACATGATTGTATATCTAGAAAACCCCATCGTCTCAGCTCAAAATCTCCTTAAGCTGATAAGCAACTTTAGCAAAGTCTCAGGATACAAAATCGATGTACAAAATACACAAGCATTCTTATACACCAACAACAAACAAACGGAGAGCCAAATCATGAGTGAACTCTCATTCACAATTGCTTCAAAGAGAATAAAAAACCTAGGAATCCAACTTACAAGGGATGTGAATGACCTCTTCAAGGAGAACTACAAACCACTGCTCAAGGAAATAAAAGAGGATACAAACAAATGGAAGAACATTCCATGCTCATGGATAGGAAGAATTAATATCGTGTAAATGGCCATACTGCCCAAGGTCAGTTACAGATTCAATGCCATCCCCATCAAGCTACCAATGCCTTTCTTCACAGAATTGGAAAAAAAAACTTTAAAGTTCATATGGATCCAAAAAAGAGCCCACATTGCCAAGTCAATCCTAAACCAAAAGAACAAAGCTGGAGGCGTCACACTACCTGACTTCAAACTATACTACAAGTCTACAGTAACCAAAACAGCATGGTACTGTTACCAAAACAGAGATATAGATCAATGGAACAGAACAGAGCCCTCAGAAATAACGCCGCATATCTACAACTATCTGATCTTTGACAAACCTGAGAAAAACAAGCAATGGGGAAAGGATTCCCTATTTAATAAATGGTGCTGGGAAAACTGGTAGCCATATGTAGAAAGCTGAAACTGGATCCCTTCCTTACACCTTATACAAAAATCAATTCAAGATGGATTAAAGACTTAAACGTTAGGCCTAAAACCATAAAAACCCTAGAAGAAAACCTAGGCTTTACCCTTCAGGACATAGGCATAGGCAAGGACTTCATGTCTAAAACACCAAAAGCAATGGCAACAAAAGACAAAATTGACAAACGGGATCTAATTTAACTAAAGAGCTTCTGCACAGCAAAAGAAACTACTGTCAGAGTGAACAGGCAACCTACAAAATGGGAGAAAATTTTCACAACCTACTCATCTGACAAAGGGCTAATATCCAGAATCTACAATGAGCTAAAACAAATTTACAAGAAAAGAACAAACAACCCCATCAAAAAGTGGGTGAAGGACATGAACAGACACTTCTCAAAAGAAAACATTTATGCAGCCAAAAAACACATGAAAAAATGCTCATCATCACTGGCCATCAGAGAAATGCAAATTAAAACCACAATGAGATATCATCTCACACCAGTTAGAATGGCAATCATTAAAAAGTCAGGAAACAACAGGTGCTGGAGAGGATGTGGAGAAACAGGAACACTTTTACACTGTTGGCGGGACTGTAAACTAGTTCAACCATTGTAGAAGTCAGTGTGGCGATTCCTCAGGGATCTAGAACTGGAAATAGCATTTGACCCAGCCATCCCATTACTGGGTATATACCCAAAGGACTATAAATCATTCTGCTATAAAGACACATGCACACGTATGTTTATTGCAGCATTATTCACAATAGCAAAGACTTGGAACCAACCCAAATGTCCAACAATGATAGACTGGATTAAGAAAATGTGGCACATATACACCATGGAATACTATGCAGCCATTAAAAATGATGAGTTCATGTCCTTTGTAGGGACATGGGTGAAATTGGAAATCATCGTTCTCAGTAAACTATCTCAAGAACAAAAAACCAAACACCGCATATTCTCACTCATAGGTGGGAATTGAACAATGAGATCACATGGACACAGGAAGGGGAATATCACAGTCTGGGGACTGTGGTGGGGTGGGGGGAGGGGGGAGGGATAGCATTGGGAGATATACCTAATGCTAGATGACGAGTTAGTGGGTGCAGTGCACCAGCATGGCATATGTATACATATGTAACTAACCTGCACAATGTGCACATGGACCCTAAAACTTAAAGTATAATAAAAAAAAATCACCAATTTATATTAAAAAAAAAAAAACTTACTGGATTTTACTTCTGGCAGAAGCAGGTTTTCTTAGTACCTGGTGCAATGAAACCAGCCTTCATATGTCACATAATTGCCCAAAATTTACCCTGAACAGAAGGCTGATTCTGCCAGTTTCTAAGAAGAGCTATGATTCTAAGAGGCCAGGACAGCAGGGCAGAAATAAAATATCCTTTGTTTATAACAAATGTTTGGTATTATTATTCCATATCACACAGTTTTTCTATCCTCAGAGAAATTAAGTTGAGGATAGGATGTGTCAAGATCTAGAATCAAGGCTTGGCGTGGTGGCTGACACGTGTAATCCCAGCAGTTTGGGAGGCTGAGATGGGCAAATCAGAAGGTCAGGAGATCAACCATTTTGTCTAACAATGGTGAAACCCCGTCTCTACTAAAAACACAAAAAAATTAGCCAGGCATGGCAGTGGGCACATGTAGTCCCATCTACTTAGGAGGCTGATGCAGAAGAATCAATTTAACCCAGGAGGTGGAGGTTGTAGTGCACTGAGATCACACCACTGTACTCCAGTGTGGGTGGCAGAGCAAGACTCCATTAAAAAAAAAAATCCAGAATCAAATGTAAAAAAAATGGCCTAGTAATTTTGTCTAAGACACAATATAGAGTTGGGAGATTAAAATCATATTTTGCTAATCTAAAGGGAAAGGGTTTCGGGAATTTTAGGTTTTGATACCTGTGGTGCACAGTATTGACATGTATTAGCCATTCCAGGTTTGATTAAATAGACATGCCCTCTACCTCACTCAGTAGATGTTTAAAGGTAGAAATGCAATTTAAAAATTTTACAAGATTTTAACTTAGTTTTTATAGTATGTCCAACTCTATAATTTGTTTCAATTGTGAGAGTCAACTGTGCAGCAGTGGTACAATTTTGTTCACTTCATATGCAGAATTCATGTCATACTATAGACATTTTTATTTTCATCTGAGTCTACTGGCTAATTTCAAGAAGAATATTTATTTCTAATTATGTAGCTTCTATTATATAGCTAGTATTATCTTGTTTACTTCATGTATATGCCAAAAGGACCTCATGACTTAATAAATGTTCAACTATTAATTTGAATAAATTGGCCTAATAAGTTTAATAAACTCAATTATATCAAGTTCATAATGTAAAATGAACAATAAATAAAAATTGGATTAAATAGCATTCTCAAATTGAAATAAAATAAAAAATGTACTAAATAAATAGCATACAATAATACACACACCATGAAATTACATGTAAAAATTATTTTGTGAAGATCATTAAATTTTATCAAAGTCACATTCATCATCTCTGAGAAAATTATACAAGGAATGCTTTATGAAATTAGACTAAAATAAATGTATATATTATGTCTATAGTGAGCAACAAGCAAACAGACAAAAAAAGGAGAATGTGCACAAGATGTTTCTAAGACAAGAGCAATAACATTTTTGGTAAACGGGATTAATACAAGGCAGAGAAAATAGATTTGCTTTCAAAATCTTTGAAGTTTCCGGTTTGCTGGTAAGTTATCAAGACATGTAAAATTATGTGTTTTATTCTAATATTTTTCTTTGCTTCTCAAAGTAGGTACACAATCACAAACAAATATGAGTATTCTCTATAAAGCTGTTACATACAAAGTTTATTTTACAGTGATTTGTCTGTATATTTACATCCATTTAAATAAAAAATAAAGGTATGAATATGTTTAGCAGACCAGAGAAGTCATCAGTTAAAAAAAAGAAGTAGGATAAAATTTTGCAAATAGTTGTTCAGAATTCAGAATTAAAGCATATAGGTCTATTATATTCCAAATCTTCATAACAACCATCACAATAATCTGTAGTTACAAGAAAAACAAAAATATAAATTGTAGGAACCATATTCTTCAAATTATTTTAAGTTAAAGACCACTGACAAAGGAATCATGAGAGATATTATTTCAGTGTAATTCTATAGAATATAGTTACCATCTGTTACCTACAACCATGGGTAAAATGGGATAAGTAACATCAGTGGCAAGATAAAAATTCAATGTAAAGTAGCATTATTACATTCACAAATATTTTCTTCAATTAAAAAAATTAAGTTTACACATTGCCATTAAAAAGGCATTTTGAAATTCACTGTATTTTAATTATCTTAATCTGCAAATGGTAAAGCAATTTCCTTCTAAAATCCAAATTGTTTCTCTTACTATGCAGAATATTATTCTGGTTACTTTTCACACTCCTATCATCCTGTCACTTATGATACTGCACTTATGATACCCAACCACTAAGTAGACTTTCCACTTAGAATTTCTTCATGTATCTTAGATTTCAGTTTTCTTAATCTTCCATATGAAAGTATATAAATCTGTCAATCTAATATAGAAGAACCTCTCTTAAATCTAGTGCAGGGACCATTGACCATGCTCTTTCACATAAATTCTAGAAATGAACACACAGCTTCAAATATAAGACTTAAATTCCATCAATAGTTGCTTTTGAAAAAATATTAAATTTTTATTTGTTTGTTATGAGAGAAAGTTTCACCCTGTTGCCATGCTGGACTGCAGTGTGTGATCTTGGCTCACTGCAACCTCCACTTCCTGCATTCAAGCAATCCTCCTGCCTTAGACTCCTGAGTACCTGGAACTACAGGTGTGCACCACCATGCTCAAAAGTTTTTTTTGTTTTGTTTTGTTTTTGTTTGTTTTTTGTAGATATGGGGTTTCACCATGTTGGCCAGAATGGTTTTGATTTCTTGACCTCATGATCTATCCACCTTGACCTCCCCAAATCCTGGGATTACACACATGAGCCTCTGTGCCCAGCTTAAATTATTTTCATATAAAAAAGTAGGTTTCTTTTAGAGGAAAGAGACCAACATTGCAGATTAGGAGCAGCTAGACCCTGTAGTTCTCACAGAGAAAAATGCAAGGCGTGCATAAATACAGCACCTTCAAATGAAATATCCAGGTATTTGCCTTCAGAATAATCAAATAAACAACTTGTGGAGAGTAGAGCAAGGCCGAACAATGGGCCACCCAGAAAAGACATAGAGCCAAGAGAACCTCCCCATCCAGTAAAGCAGTAAGTGCATGTGTGACCCTGGGAACCTACAATTCTCCCACACATCTTTTTAATCCTCAGATGGGGAGACTCCCTGAGGAACCTACTTTACCAAGGCCTTTAGTCTAACACATAGAGCTACTTGGAGTCTCAGCATAGCAACTGCACTGGCGTGTTGCAGAGCCACAGATACTCTGGCTTTCCAGGATTCCCAGAAAAAGTAGCTGCAACGCCAGCAAAGCAGGAGGTTATACCCATATACATACCTATAGGAAATAGGCAGAATCCAGGGACCTGAGCAGTGACAGTCTGTAGGACCCACTTCCACAGTGCCTCATAGAGTAAGATCTACTGGCTTAGAATTCCAGCCAATCATTGGCAGCAGCGCTGTATCTCTCTGAATTGGAGCTACCAGAAACAGGAGTGGACCTCCATCTTTGCTGTTTCAACAACATAGCCATCCCAGCCTTCAGGCTTTGAAAAGCCTAAGCTGACTGGGGCAGCAAGGATCTATAGCACCGTACAGGTGCTCTAAAATGACACCACCAGTCTGCCTGGTAAAGCACGTCCCCAAACTCTTCCTCCTCACTGAAAAGAACTTCCCAAACAGGGTGTCCAGCTACCACCACCAGTGTTATTTGATTTATGGAATTTTGAAACCTCTTCGGGGTATAGTTCCTAGAGTGAAGAGTGAGCTGCCACTTTTGCTGTTTTTGTGACTTAGCTGTTCCAGCTTTCTGGCTTTGGAGAATCCAAATAAACAAGGGATGAAAGTGATACCTCTGCACAGCAGAGCTCTCCTACAAAAATGTGGCTAGACTGCTATCTTAAGTGGGTCCCGAATTATGTTTTCCTCACTGGGTAAGACATTTGAAGAGGGGTTCCAGCTATCTCCTTCAGGTGCTTTTGGGCTGGAAACAGGTCTATACCTGCCTGGGATGGAGCTTCCAGAGAATGGGGCATACTGCCTTTGTTGCTGTTTTTCAGCATTCAGTGGGACAGCTTCAGATTCTGTAAAACCTGAGGTGACCAGAAACTGCAGTGGACACAAAACATACTGCAGCAGCCCTTTAGAAAAGTGGCCATACTGTTACATGAGCACCTGTTCTCACACATTCTCACTGTGCAGACTCTCCAGGTCTCGGCCATTAGCCAATCATTGGCAGGGATATTGAGCCTGCAGCAACCTAGCAACTTCCTGGACACAGCCTCTAGGAGTAACTGAAAATATTTCTGCCACTATCTCTGTGTTAGAACTGTCCTTGCTATGCTTCTCAGACTAATGAAAAATTCAAAACCCAGGTACCTTATTTACACCTCAAACAAGCTGCATTTTACCCAAAGAGTGAGGGCCAGTCCACCCTCCATGGGTTCCACAAGCTACCTATTGCTCCTCACAAGACAGTAAACACCAAACTTGGCCAAAAGCAGAGATCCTCCATCCTGGGCTGTCTGTAGTAAGGGATTGCTGACCTACATCTCTCTGAGATGCAGCCCCTAGAAGCCAAGCAAAGAAGGGGCAGCAAGCCACCTCATGTGGTGTCAAGAGTGTTGGTGCAAGAGCATCTGTAGTAATATGTTGCCAGTGATGGCCACTTCTCTAGGTTCAACTTTCTCCCATAAGAGGCTTTAGCCCTAGAAAAATTGTTGGACCTAATTTTTGCAGGATGGTCTTGCAAATCAGAAGAAATTGTTCCAATTGAATACCCCTTGGTCTCCTGGCCTCTTATAGGGACCTATTCTGGCCACAGGTTCTTACAGGGCAGTCTCAGTTACCCTGGGATCCCATACCATAGCATCGGTACTGGTGGGCCATGCCTGATCCCTGAAGAGCTTCAGCAATACAGCCCCTATGACTCCACCAGTCCACATGTTTCTTCCCCATACTGCAGCTTCCCACGAGACCAAAGTAAGCTTATATCCAACCAAAGGGAGCTTCAGAAGTGAAAAAAATTAATATGATCCTATTCACATAAGCAAACGCTGAAGAAATCTGTTACCCAAGACCTGTCTTACAAGGGCTTCTGAAGAAAACACTAAATAAAAAAAAAACCCTGTAATTAGTCACTTCAAAAACACACCAAAGTAAATAAACTGCTGACACTCTAAAGCGACCACAAAACAAATGTGCAAAATAGCCAGCTAAAATCGTGGTGGCAGAATCAAATCAACACATATGAATACTAACCATAACTGTAAATGGGCTAAATGCCCCAATTAAAAAACAGTGTGGCAAGTTGAGTAAAGAATCAAGATCTAATGGTATTCTGTAATCTAGACACTCATCTCAATTAAGCTAAATATAAAGAAAAAAGAGAAATCTACCAAATAGATGGAAAACAGAAAAAAGGAGGTGATGCAATCCTAGTTTCTAGCAAAGCAAACTTAAAATCCACGTAGTTTTTTTTTAAGAGAAAGAAGGCATTCCATAATAGTAAAATGCAATAGACAAACCCAACCCAAAAGCACTGAGTATAAAGCGAGTTCTTAGTGATGCTGCAAGATGTTAAGTTAAATCTTCTTCAACAGTCATTACCTTTATGTGGCATTTGTTCAGTATTAAGTCTCTGATGTTGGACATAAAATGAGGATGCTTTAAAAGCTTTTCCACATTTTTAACACTTGTGAAGCTTCTCTCTACTATGAGTTCTATTATTTCTAATGAAGTGTGAGAATGAACTTAATGTTTCACCACATTCTTCACATTTGTAGGCTTTTCCTGCAGTGTGAATTCTCTTATGATTAGCAAAGTCTGAAAAGCACTTAAAGGTTTTGCCACATGCTTCAGATTTGTAAGGGCTGTCTTCTATATGAATTATCTTGTGGTTAATAAGGATTGAAAAGCAGGTAAAGGCTTTGACTTTTTTTTTTCTACAGGTGTAGGGTTTCCCTCCAGTATAAATTCTCTTATGTTTACTAACGGCTGAGAACCACTTAAAAGCTTCTCCACATTAGTTATATATGTAGGGTTTCTCTTCAGTATGAGTTATCTTATGTTTATTAAGGTCTGAGAACCCCCCATAGGCTCTGTGACATTCTTCACATTTGTATGATGGTTTCTCTCCAGTATAAATTATTTTATTTTTAGCAAGTTCTGAGAATTCTCTTAGAATTAGTAAGGTCTGAGAAACATTTAAAGGCTTTTACACATTCTTTGCAATTGTAGGATCTATTTCCAAAATGATTTATCTTGTGTTTAATAAGGGTTGAGGAGCAGGTTAAAATTTTGTCACATTCTTCACATTTGTAGGTTTTTCCTCCAGTATGAACTCTCTTATGTTCAGTAAGGTTTGAGAACTTTTTAAAGGCTTTGCCGCATTCTTCATATCTGTAGCATCTCTCTGCAGTAAGTATTCCATTTTTTATAGTAAAATCTGAGAACTACCTACAGTTTCTGCCATATTCTTTGCATTTGTAGTATTTCTCTCTGCTAAAGGTTTTCTTCTGTTCACTGAAGATTGGGTACACCTGGAAAGCTTTCCAAATTTATAACATTGACAAGTTTTTCTCTGGGTAGTTGATAAACATTGAAGAAAGAAATTATAACTGCTTTTCTTTCTGTCCCTTGTAGTAATTCACACTTTGCTAGTCTTTTTTAAATGTAAATGGTTAAGGTCACAGGTTCCATATTTTCTCAGAATCACTTTTTGAAATGAATGTTTTATAATATGTTCCCACCATATGTCTGCAGTAATATGAAAAGAGCCAGCTGAAAAACAAAAACAAAAGGAACAACAAAATTTCTCCCACATTAGGCTCATGTGAATACATTTTACAAATATTAGTTACACAAAGCACATTAACAAGGTGACAATAAAATACCACAGGCTGTAATTCCTTTATAGACATGTAAACTTAACACAATTATAATGAACAAAATTCCTGTGTGAGAAGACTAAGAATCAGTTAAGAATTTATAGCACTTCAAGGGAGCAAAATGTCAAGAACTACATAGAAGTGTAATAAAAGTGTTTTATATTTACCCACCGCAGCCATTCTTCATCCTATGATGACTTCAAATATAGACTCCCAACTCATGTCTTCCCCCTTCAAAAATAAATAAAATAGTGGCACCTGTGTTCAGGCTTCTTGTTTTGTGAGACCTTACTAAAGACTAATTTCTATATTATATGACAGTGTTTAAAGGAAAAGTGGTATTCTTTGACAGTTTGGGGCTGGTGAGACCAAAGGTAAATGACTGTTACAAAAAAAGACTTCAGTGTCATAGACAGAAAATGGGTATAGCAATTGACTGTAGTCAGAATCTCAATAGGAAACATAGGGAATGTCCATGAGTGGTGGCCCACACCTGTAATCCCAGCACTTTGGGAGTCTGAGGCAGGCTGTTCACCTGTGGTCAAAAGTTCAACACCAGCCGGGTCAACATGGTGAAACCCCATCTCTACTAAAAATACAACAATTACACAGGCATGGTGGCGGGCACCTCTAATCTCAGCTACTCTGGTGACTGAGCCAGGAGAATCACTGGAAAGTAGGAGTTGATTCTTGCAGTGAGCCAAGACCATGCCATCACATTGCAGCATGGACAACAAGAGTAAAATGTTCACTCAAAATAAAATAAAATAAAATAAATATAAAATAAAATAAAATATAATAAATAATTGGAAATATTTTTTAATGAAAAAACACAAGCCCAGATAAAACTTGTATAGAACAGAAGTGAGAGACGTCAAGAATCTCTAGCCCAAAAGTTGGTTCATATTTCCCAAGAAAAAATCACTTAATAAGCATTTTCACATGTGGTGATTTATTATACAAATTGCAACATAAGACTACAACATATACAAAACATTAAGATAATATGTCTCACTCAAAGATAAAAATAAATATTCAGAAATCAATGATACAAAACAGAGATGTAAAACTTACCTAAGAAAATTTCAATTAAAGTCTGCATTTATTTTTGAAAGAAAAAATAAATTGACCTGAGAAATTAACTTACCATCTGAATGATGCTTAATGAGTTAAATGGAAATAAATAAAACAAAATGAAATAACAAAAATGAAATTAAGAAAACGATAAAAAGCACAAAAAAGTGTAGAAGTACAAAAAAGTCTCATACGCACTTCAATATTATTTAAAAATATGAGAAAATCAAGAAGCTCAGTAAATTTCAACTAACACAAATAAATTTCTAACAAGACCCCAAATAAGCAATGTTTTGAAAGTCACACACAAAAAGAGAATCTGGAATGCAGGAAGAAAAAAGAGTTATGTTATTTATATGCATGCTTCTGTAAGATTACCAGTAAGTTTATGAACATAAACCTTTCAGGAAAAAAGGAGTAGGATAACATACTTAAAACACCGAAAAAAAAATTATGTTAGAAAATCCTATTCCTCAGAGCCAAAAAATAGAACTAATACTCAGACAAGGAATCTTCTCAGCAAGGCAATTTTACTTTCTGCAGAAAGGGTGCTGCTCATCAGCAATCCTACCCTGAGAGCACAATGAAAAAGAAAGGCAGGAATATTTACCCGTATGCATTGAGTCCTTACTTCTGTGTCCTATCTCCATTAGTTGGAACTAGGCATCACAGTCTAAGCTAAACCTGATTGGCTAACAACCTGAAACTTCCCTAAATAGGTAAAGGCAATGGAGAACAAAGAAAAAGGGAAAGTTTTTGCAAAAATACTTAGAGAAGTAATAAGATTTCCAAATAAGAAAGGGGACATAAGCTGCAACCTGGGACATGCCTGAGCATGTACAGAAGAAATGTTCTGGTGAAAGTACAAGGCCATAGAATGTACTTATTCCCTTATGTATAACAGCTACATAGAGTAGGGCTTAACAAAGAGTTATTAGCACAAAACAAGAAGGCTTTGAAGAAATTTTATCTTTAAAAGAAAATCTTATTTCTAACATTTAGTATTTTTCTTTAAAAGAAGGGAAACTTGATGAGAAACATTTTACAAAGTCTAAGTGAGAATACAATATCCAGCAAAAGTATCCTTCAACAGGAAAAAGAATAAAACTAACTATATTATGACCTGTATCAAGATGTATCGATGTCATGTCTTCAAGAGACTCACTTCAGACCTAATTTAAAAAAATAGACTGAAAATGGCAGGATAAAAAATACATGCCATGCAAGTGTTAACCAAATCATAAGAGAAAAGGCAACAATTTATTAAGTTGAAAACTGTCATATTTTATGAAGTTTGCTTTAAGTCAAAATTCACAAGAGACAAAGTAGGACATTCAATTATATTAAGAGAGTTCATTCACTGAAATTCCGTGAATATGTGAGAGTTTTCCCAAACACATAAAACAAACATTGACAGAATTGAAGCAAAAATAGATAGCAATACAATAATGGAAGGATACATTTGTATCCCACTTTCAGTAATAAATAAAGACAGAATATCAACAAGGGAACAAAAAGTTTGAATACACTATACAATATATTTACCTAACAAATGTATACCGGTAAAAGAATACACTTTTTTTTTTTTTTTTGCAATAGCTCATAAAACATTTTCCTAGGTGGATTACCTGTGATGCCATGAAAGAAGTCTTAATAGTTTTTTTAATTGAAATTTAGCAGACAATTTTTTATAGCACAAATGAAATGAAACTAGAAATCAGTAATGGGAGAAAAGCTGAAAAAATATATGAAAATTAACTGTTAACATAGTTTTACTTTTTTTCTTTCCTTTTTTTTTAGATACAGCCTCACTCTGTCACTAGGAGGAAATACAGTGGCACAATCTCGGCTCACTGTAACCTTAACTTCCACGTACAAGCAATTCCCCTGACTCAGCTTCTCCAGTAGCTGGCATTACAGGCATGCCCAACCACACTTAGCTAATTTTGTGCATTTTAGTAGAGATGGGATTTCATCATGTTGGCCAAAATGGTCTTGATCTCCTGATCTGGCTATGTACCCTCCTCAGCCTTCCAAAGTGCTGGGATTACAGGTATGAGTCACCATGCCTGGCCAGTAACACACTTTTGAGCATGCTGTTTATCAAGGGTTGGAAGACATAGTATTGTAAAGTTGTCCATGCTGCTTGAAGTGATCCACACATTTGACAAACCAATTTTATTTCTCTTTTATTATTATTATTATTTCTTGAGATGGAGTATCGCTGTGTCACCCAGGCTGGAATGCAGTGGCACAATCTTGGCTCACTGCAAGCTCTACCTCCCAGGTTCATGCCATTCTCCTGCCTCAGCATCCCGAGTAGCTGGGACTACAGGCGCCCACCACAATGCCAGGCTAATTTTTTTGTATTTTTGAAGAGATGGGGTTTCACCGTGTTAGCTAGGTTGGTCTCAATCACCTGGCCTCGTGATCCACCTGCCTCAGCCTCCCAAAGTGCTGGGATTACAGGCTTGAACCACCGTGCCCAGCCACCAATTTTCAATTTTAAATTAAACTTTCCCAAAAATAGAAATTACAAAACCCACAAATTACATGAAAATCCTGGCAATCTTTAAAAACAAGAAAAATATTAGAAGCATTTTTCCAAGTTTTTAACTTCTTTCCCATTGGTTTGAATTTCCTCCTGTAGCTCAGAGTAGTTTGATCATCTGAAGTCTTCTCTCAACTCGTCAAAGTCATTCTTGGTCCAGTTTGTTCCATTGCTGGAAACTTTGAAAAAAATTAGATGAATGGATAATTAGAATAAACAATGCAGAGAAGTCCTTAAAGGAGCTGATGGAGCTGAAAGCCAAGGCTCGAGAACAACGTGAAGAATGCAGAAGCCTCAGGAGCCAACGCAATCAACTGGAAGAAAGGGTATCAGTGATGGAAAATGAAATGAATGAAATGAAGTGAGAAGGGAAGTTTAGAGAAAAAAGAATAAAAAGAAATGAACAAAGCCTCCAAGAAATATGGGACTTTGTGAAAAGACAAAATCTACGTCTGATTGGTGTACCTGAAAGTGACAGAGAGAATGGAACCAAGTTGGAAAACACTCTGCAGGATATTATTCAGGAGAACTTCCCCAATCTAGTAAGGCAGGCCAACATTCAGATTCAGAAAATACAGAGAACTTCACAAAGATACTCCTCGAGAAGAGCAACTCCAAGACACTTAATTGTCAGATTCACCAAAGTTGAAATGAAGGGAAAATTGTTAAGGGCAGCCAGAGAAAGTTCGGGTTACCCACAAAGGGAAGCTCATCAGACTAACTAACAGCAGACCTCTTGGCAGAAACTCTGCAAGTCAGAAGACATTGGGGGCCAATATTCAATGTTCTTAAAGAAAAGAATTTTCAACTCAGAATTTCATATCCATAAGTGAAGGAGAAATAAAATACTTTACAGACAAGCAAATGCTGAGAGATTTTGTCACCACCAGGCCTGCCGTAAAAGAGCTCCCGAAGGAAGCACTAAACATGGAGAGGAACAACCAGTACCAGCCACTCCAAAAACACGCCAAAATGTAAAGACCATCAAGCCTAGAAAGAAACTGCATCATCTAACGAGCAAAATAACCAGCTAACATCATGATGACAGGACCAAATTCACAAATAACAATATTAACTTTAAATGTAAACGGGCTAAATGCTCCAATTAACAGACACAGACTGGCAAATTGGATAAAGAGTCAAGACCCATCAGTGTGCTGTATTCAGGAAACCCATCTCAAGTGCAGAGACACACATAGGCTCAAAATAAAGGGATGGAGGAAGATCTACCAAGCAAATAGAACACCAAAAAAAGGCAAGGGTTGCAATCCTAGTCTCTGATAAAACAGACGTTAAACCAACAAAGATCAAAAGACACAAAGAATGGCATTACATAATGGTAAAGGGATCAATTCAACAAGAAGAGCTAACTATCCTAAATATATATGCACCCAATACAGGAGCACCAAGATTCATAAAGCAAGTCCTGAGTGACCTACAAAGAGACTTAGACTCCCACACAATAATAATGGGACACTTTAACACCGCACTGTCAACATTAGACAGATCAACAAGACAGAAAGTTAAAAAGGATACCCAGGAATTGAACTCAGCTCTGCACCAAGCGGACCTAATAGACATCTACAGAACTCTCCACCCCAAATCAACAGGATATACATTTTTTTCAGCACCACACCACACCTATTCCAAAATTGACCACATAGTTGGAAGTAAAGCACTCCTCAGCAAGTGTAAAAGAAAAGAAATTACAACAAACTGTCTCTCAGACCACAGTGCGGTCACACTAGAACTCAGGATTGAGAAACTCACTCAAAACCTCTCAACTACATGGAAACTGGACAACCTGGTCCTGAATGACTACTCAGTACATAACAAAATGAAGGCAGATATAAAGATGTTCTTTGAAACCAATGGGAATAAAGACACAACACACCATAATCTCTGGGACACATTCAAAGCAGTGTGTAGAGGGAAATTTATAGCACTAAATGCCCACAGGAGAAAGCTGGAAAGATCTGAAATTGACACCCTAACATCACAATTAAAAGAACTAGAAAAGCAAGAGCAAACACATTCAAAAGCTAGCAGAAGGCAAGAAATAACTAAAATCTGAGCGGAACTGAAGGAAATAGAGACACAAAAAAACCCTTCAAAAAATTAATGAATCCAGGAGCTGGTTTTTTGAAATGATCAACAAAATTGATAGACTGCTAGCAAGACTAATAAAGAAGAAAAGAGAGACGAATCAAATAGACGCAATAAAAAAATGATAAAGGGGTTATCAACACCGATCCCACAGAAATACAAACTACCATCAGAGAAGACTACAAACACCTCTATGCAAATAAACTAGAAAACCTAGAAGAAATGGATAAATTCCTTGACACATACACTCTCCCAAGACTAAACCAGGAAGAAATTGAATCTCTGAATAGACCAATAACAGGATCTGAAATTGTGGCAATAATCAGTAGCTTACTGACCAAAAAAATTCCAGGACCAGATGGATTCACAGCTGAATTCTACCAGAGGTACAAGGATAAGCTAGTACCATTCCATCTGAAACTATTCCAATCAATAGAAAAAGAGGGAATCCTCCCTAACTCATTTTATGAGGCCAGCATCATCCTGATACCAAAGCCTGGTAGAGATACAACAAAAAAGAGAATTTTAGACCAATACCCTAGATGAACACTGATGCAAAAATCCTCAATAAAATAATGGCAAAACGAATCCAGCAGTACATCAAAAAGCTTATCCACCATGATCAAGTGGGCTTCATCCCTGGGATGCAAGCCTGGTTGAACATATGTAAATGAATGAATGTAATCCAGCATATAAACAGAACCAAAGACAAAAACCACCTGATTATCTCAATAGATGAAGAAAAGGCCTTTGACAAAATTCAACAACCCTTCATGCTAAAAATTCTCAATACATTAGGTATTGATGGGATGTATCTCAAAATAATAATAGCTATCTATGACAAACCCACAGCCAATATCATACTGAATGGGCAAAAACTGGAAGCATTCCCTTTGAAAACTGGCACAAGAAAGGGATGCCCTCTATCACCACTCCTATTCAACATAGTGTTGGAAGTTCTGGCCAGGGCAATTAGGCAGGAGAAGGAAATAAAGGGTATTCAATTAGGACAAAACGAAGTCAAATTGTCCCTGTTTGCAGATGACATGATTGTATATTTAGAAAACCCATTGTCTGAGCCCAAAATCTCCTTAAGCTGATAAGCAACTTCAGCAAAGTCTCAGGACACAAAATCAGTGTACAAAAATCACAAGCATTCTTATACACCAATAACAGACAAACAGACAGCCAAATCATGAGTGAACTCCCATTCACAATTGCTTCAAAGAGAATAAAATATCTAGGAATCCAACTTACAAGGGATGTGAAGGACCTCTTCAAGTAGAACCACAAACCACTGTTCAATGAATGAAAAGAGGACACAAACAAATAGAAAAACCTTCCATGCTCATGGGTAGGAAGAATCAATATCATGAAAATGGTCATACTGCCAAAGGTAATTTATAGATTCAATGCTATCCCCATCAAGCCACCAATGACTTTCTTCACAGAATTGGAAAAAAACGACTTTAAAGTTCATACAGAACCAAAAAAGAGCCTGCATCGCCAAGTCAATCCTAAGCCAAAAGAACAAAGCCAGAGGCATCGTGCTACCTGACTTCAAACTATACTACAAAAAAGCGTGGTACCGGTACCAAAACAGAGACATAGATCAATGGAACAGAACAGAGCCCTCAGAAATAATGCAGCATATCTACAACCATCTGATCTTTGACAAATCTGACAAAAACAAGCAATGAGTAAAGGGTTCCCTATTTAATAAATGGTGCTGGGAAAACTGGCTAGCCATATGTAGACAGCTGAAACTGGATCACTTCTTTACACTTTATACAAAAATTAATTCAAGATGGATTAAAGACTTAAACGTTAGACCTAGAACCATAAAAATCCTACAAGAAAACCTAGGCAATACCATCAGAACATAGGCATGGGCAAGGACATCATGTCTAAAACACCAAAAGCAATGACAATAAAAGCCAAAATTGACAAATGGGATCTCATTAAACTAAAGAGCTTCTGCACAGCAAAAGAAACTACCGTCAGAGTGAACAGGCAACCTACAAAATGGAAGCAAATGTTCACAACCTACTCATCTGACAAAGGGCTAATATCCAGAATCTATAATGAACTCAAACAAAATTTACAAGAAAAAAACAAACAACCTGAATCAAAAAGTGGGCAAAGGATATGAACAGACACTTCTCAAAAGAAGACATTTACGCAGCCAAAAAACACATGAAAAAATGCTCATCATCACTGGCCATCAGAGAAATGCAAATCAAAACCACAATGAGACACCATCTCACACCAATTAGAATGGCGATCATTAAAAAGTCAGGAAACAACAGGTGCTGGAGAGGATGTGGAGAAATAGGCACACTTTTACACTGTTGGCGGGACTGTAAACTAGTTCAACCATTGTGGAAGTCAGTGTGGTGATTCCTCAGGGATCTAGAACTGGAAATACCATTTGACCCAGCCATCCCATTACTGGGTATATACCCAAAGGATTATGAATCATGCTGCTATAAAGATTCATGCACACGTATGTTTATTCAGGCACTATTCACAATAGCACAGACTTGGAACCAACCCAAATGTCCAACAATGATAGACTGGATTAAGAAAATGTGGCGCATATACACCATGGAATACTATGCAGCCATAAAAAATGATGAGTTCATGTCCGTTGTGGGGACATGGATGAAACTGGAAACCATCAGTCTCAGCAAACTATCACAAGGACAAAAAAACAAACACCACATGTTCTCACTCATAGGTGGGAATTGAACAATGAGAACACATGGACGCAGGAAGGGGAACATCACACTCTTGAGACTGTTGTGGGTTGGGGGGAGGCGGGAGGGGGGAGGGAAAAAAGAAAAAAAAGAGAAAAAAATAAATAATAAAAAAAAGAAAAATTTTGGAAGCATTACACTTAACAATTTCCAAATACAAAATAAACCTAAAGTAATCAAAGCACTTTGGTACCAGTATAAAAGTAGAAAAAGAAATTAATGAAGCTGAATGCAGCACAGAAATAAACTTTTGAATAGAGAGGAGAGACATACCACCTAGATTTTTCATTCAACTATATGTCATAATTCCTTTGGTAAGCAGGACCCACGCAGGAGAGGAGAGTTACACCATTTAGATGCTAATTTCTGTGATATTTCAAATTTTTTCTGGATGCAGAGAACAATCTGGAGAGACACATAACCTAGCTGATAGGCCAAGAGATATGTGATATTATACCCTCTTGATAGAGCTCAAGCAGAAAAATCACACTATTTTGATTCTAACCCAGTGATAAGTAGCAATGCACCCATGGAAAGAAATTTGAGCCAAAAAGTCTCAACACCTGGGTACTAGACCCAGGGATACGACACAATCTCATCATCTTTGAGGGTGACAACTTTAACTTTTAGCTAAACTTGTATATTAGAGTGACAATCTCACATGTTTGCTGGGACAATGCATGACCCTCTGCAACATCCAAGTGATTTATAAAACCTGCATAAGAGTTGCAAAGCTGTGTGAGGCCTATGTGGTGGTATGGGCTCACAATCTTACATATTAACCTAAACCCAGGTTTGATAGTCAAGATCTCTCCTTTAGGCAGGGTTAAGGAAGAAGACCCATTATTATTCCTGTGGGCTGGGTCTAGAAATGAGTGACCATCCCACTTGTGGCCAGGACCACATATAAATGTCACAATTCCAACTTTGTGCTGCATTCCCTTATTAGACTCATGATCTCGACAGTGGCATTGTAAATGTGGGATGGTGATAACTTTTAATTTCACCTGGGTATGTAACATAGAGTCCCAATCTGAAGGTTTGGCTGGGCCCTGTTATGAAATTTTATATCAACAAAGAGTTTATATACTACAGGTTAGTGTTGGAAGCTTCTGTGAGGTTGTTACATATTTGCAACCGAGGACATTGTCTATTGCCCCAAGCCTAACAGTGAAAGGCAAAATATCTTCTATTGGCTGAATCCCAATATAAGTTTGAACATCATGTCTGTGAACTGAAGCAGGGTATATGTTATAATCCCATATGTGGACAAAAAGCTAGGCAGGAGGGTAACATCACTTAGATGTTGTGCCAAGCAATATTTCACAATGTCTTCTCTAGGCAGGGCATAGGGAATTTGGTCATATTAACTGCATGCTGGACCCAGCAATATGACAACATCCCACATGTGGAAAAAACCCAGCCAAGTTATGAGAACCAAAACACCTGCATGAAGAGACCAAGATATGTCAAAATACGTTAGGTGGCTGCAGCACAGGAGGAAAGTCACATAACAATGGTCCTGGGCCGAGCAATATGCAATATTCCATAAGTTCCTCTATATGCAGAAGCAAGGCAGAAGAGTAACATCATCTGGGTGCCGGGCCCTGCTGTAGGCCAAAATTCCTGTTTTGCAGGAATGGCTTGGGAAAATGAGGAGAGTCACATAACCTGAGTGCTGGGCTCAGTAATGTGCCAAAATCCTCCTATTGTGAAGGTCCAGGCTGAAAAAGAGAGTCACATCATTTAGGTCATGGGCTCAGAGATACGTCCCAATGTCCCCAGTAGTCAGGGCTTAGGCAAACAAGGAGAGTCATATCACCTATGTGCTTCCCTAGAAATATGTCACAGGGTAAAATATGGGCAGAACTTATGCAGAAGAGCCACAACCCCAGAGTGCTGGGTTCTGAGATATTTCACAAGGTTCTCTTAGGGCAGCACCCAGCAAAGATAGTTAGGTGCGGGTTCTCTGTTTATGCCACAATGCTCCGTGTGGCCTCCATGTACACAGGGCCCAAGGAGGGAGTCACTTCACCTAGATGATAGGCCCAGAGATATGTCACAATGACCTCTATGAAGCATAGCCCTGGCAAAAGTGTACCATCACCTGTGTGTATGGCCTAAAATATATCATTGTCAAGGTTGGCAGGGCCCAAGCAGAAAAGCCACATAACCCAAAGATAGACCCAGAGACATGTCACAATATCCTTTTGTGGACATGTCTCAGACAAAAGAGTACCCTTCCCTGTGTCCGTGGCCTTGCAATGTGTCACTATCTTTCCTTTGTTCAGGGCTCATTTTAGAGAAGAGAGTTACATAACTTATGAGATGGACACAGAAATATGTTACAATATGTTATTATTCAAGTGGGCGGATCCCGGGAGAGGAGCCATATCATCTCCATAATAGGCCTTTATGGTATGTCAAAATTCCCTCTTTTGGGCATGGCCCTGGAAAAAAACTCATCACTTCTGTGCCTGGCCTAGGAATAAGTCACTATTCTGCCCTGTGTGCAGGGTCCATAAAAAAGAGGAGAGTATTGTCTTCTAAGTGATAGGCACAGAGATATGTCACAAGAATATGACATCACCTGGGTGGGGATTCAGTGATGTCACAATCTTACTGAGAGCAGGGCCTCAGTACAATAGTGTGTACAATAGTCACATTACTTCAAGTTTGACTCAGGTAGATATTAAAATTCCATATGTAGGCTGGAAACTGTCTGAAGAGTGAAATCACACAGGTGCTTGGCAAGATTTTATGCCAGAATAACGATGGAATTAAATTCTAGGGATGAGATGTAAAATAACACACGTGTCCTGTTTACCTGTAGGAGAGCTGCTTTCATCCATCTGTTATGATGATAGTCCTTACTGTCAACTGAGGGTGCATACAAGATTCACAATTTTCTCTGTGGGCTAGGACCTGTTATGACACTCTTTATACAAACCAAAGGTGGGATATCATGTGTGGGTGTTGTCATGATCTGTGACCTTTTTACCAGAAGGTAAACCTGAACAACACTCATGTCCCAAAAATAGTTATTAGAGTCAAAATTTCTCCTATTGTTTCCATTCACATATGAGAGTCATTATCATGCCTGTTAGCTGTGCCTAGGTATAGGTCACAATCCTCTCTCTGGTTATTAAACTGGCAGGACAAACACCTCACCTAAATCCTGAGCCAGAAATATTTCAATATTTTCTTTAAAGGTAAGACCCTAACAGAAACTTCACAAAACTTGGGTGCTAGGCAAAGTTCTATGGCAAAATGGCCCTTGAGGAAAAAGTCCAGGCAGGAGAGGAGAGTCATATAACAAATGATTGACCCAATGATATGTCACAATGCCTCCTGTTGAAAGGCCCAGGCCAGAGAGTCATGTCATTTGGATGCCATGTTTAGAAATTCTACAGTCTTCACTGGATGCAGGGTTCAGGCAGGAGAGGAGAGTCACATAACCTGGATGATGGGTACAGATATATGTTACAATCCCCTCTGAGGTCACTTTTAGACAGGGGAATCAAATCACCAAGGTTCTTGGCATAGGTTTACGTCAAAATGTAATCTGTGGGCTATAAGTAGGCATGGTTATTAAATCACATAGGAGCTGGACAATGGCATATGTCACAAAAACAACTGTGGAAAGGTTAAGAAATGAAAGTCACCACCTTGCATGTGTCCTGGCTCCAGGTACAATTGTCATTATTAGGGTTTCGGTCTGGTCTCAGGTATATGGAACAGTATCACCTCTGGCAGGGAGAAGAAAGGAAAGTCACATCATCTGTGTGGGTGCTGGTCCAGTGAAATGTCACAATCCTACCTGTGGGCAGGACTGTGGGAGAAGAGTCTCTTCACCTGGATGCTGGTTTCAGTGATATATGCAAATCCCCCTTGTGGGCAAGGCTTAGGAAGAACAGTAGACAAACTTCACCTTGGTAATTGGCATGAATATGTGTCACAGTGGCCACTATGTGAAGAACCAAGGCAGAAGTGTCACCTAATCTTGGTGCTGCATTCAGCAATATGTCACAATCTCTTTGGTGTTCAGGGCCCAGGCAAGAGAGAAGAAACATTACCCAGGTGCTGAGCCATGGGATATGTTAAAAAGCCCCCACAAAAAAGAGTCACATCACCTGGGTGCAGTGCCCAGTTATGTTTCACAATGCATTGCGAGTTCAGGGCCAAGGTAGTAGAAGGAAGTTACATCACTTATGCAATGCACCTAGGCAGGCAGATCACGAGGTCAGGAAATCGAGGCCATCCTGGCTAACACAGTGAAACCCCATCTCCATTAAAATACAAAACAAAACAAAAAAATAGCCAGGTGTGGTTGTGGGCACCTGTAGTCCCAGCTACTTGGGAGGCTGAGGCAGGAGAATGACGTGAACCTGGGAGGCAGAGCTTTCAGTGAGCTGAGATCGCTCCACCGTGCTCCAGCCTGGGCAGCAGAGTGAGACTCCATCTCAAAAAAAAATAAGCAAAACATAAAAGAAAACAAAAAAGCCACAGTACTCTTCTTAGGCAGGGGTCAGGATAAGATCTCACATCAGCTGTGTGATGGTCGCAGTGACATGTAAAAGTGCCTTTGTCACATGGCCAAAGAAAGTGTCATCCATTGCATAAGTGTGTGCTGCATGTGTGTCACAATTTCAACCGTGCCCTGGATGTAGAAAGTCAGAACACTCAGATATTGACAAAAGTCCACCCTTCTTATCAGTTGGGTCTAAGTACAAGAGTCATAATCTCAACAATGAGCAAGATCCATGTATAAGAGCCCCAGTCCCACTTGAAGATGGTGTTCCAGTAGGAGACTCACAGCACCACAGTTCACTGAATCATGGTTCAAAAGTCACCAAACAACCTGTGGATCAGATTCATGTATGGAAGTAACAATTTCAAGCTTCCATTGATTATATGTGTGAGATTTAGTACCTCATATGTAGATGCTGTTAATGTGTGAGAATAACAATCATGTCAGCTGGGTGTGAATCCAAGAGTCACAGTAACACCTGGTTTCTGGGGACTGTTATCACACCCTTTGTACCACTCAGGCTTTATGTGATATGCCTAAATAACATACTTTCCTGTGAATTATTACAGGTGGGTGATCTTGGACTTTACCTTTGTTGATAAGACTGGCTATGAGAGTTGAAACACCTCCCATGGCTGTGTCTAGTTATAAGAGTTATTATTGGGCATATGAGCTGAATCCAGGTGTATGTCCCAATTTCACCTTTGGACAGAGACAAGACAGAAGAGTCTCATCATCTGGGTTCTGATCCAGGGACTCAGTGGTACGTCACAATTTCTTCAGAGAGCAGGATCCAGACAGGAGAGGAGATTCACATTACCTAATGCAATATCAAGAGCTATGTCCCAGTATTCCCAGTGGACAGGGAACTGGCAGGAGAGACACATGACCTAGCTGATAGAACTAAAGATATGTGACAATATCTGCTGTTTGGCAGGGTCCAAGCAGAAGAGTGACATTATTATAAATCTAACCCAGAGATATTTCACAATGCACCCATGGAAAAGAATGTAAGCCAAAAGTTCTCAACACCTAGAGGTACTAGGCCTAGTGATATGACACAATCTCTTCATGTGTTAGGGTGACACCTTTGACTGTTAGCTAGGTGTGTGTATATAAGAGTCACAATGTCACGTGTGTTCCGGGTCATCATATGACACACTCTATCATATCTGAAGGCTTGGTATGCATGAGACTTGCAATCTACTATGAGAACTACATGCTGATATTAACTCACAATTTTACATATTGCTTTAAATCCAGTTATGATAGTCCACATCTCTCTTATTAGCTGGATTTAGACAGGGGACCCATTATTATGCCCCTGATCTGGGTCCAGAAATAAGTCACCATCTCACCTGTAACAACATCCACATATGAAACTCACGATTCCATCTTTTTACTTTATTTACATTTTAAACTCAGGGCTTCAGCAGTGGGATTTGTAAACATGAGATGGGGACAACATTGGCTCCACCTGCATGTGTAATCAAGAATCATGATTTTAACCATCTCCTGGGCCCTTTTATAAAGCTCTGTGTACCACGCAAGGATTTTATAGAATATGAGTCAGTGTTTTACACTTCTGTTAGCTTTGTTCAGATTTGCAACTCTTAATTGTAATTTAATAGGTAAATAGTAATTTACCTATTACTCTAAGTGTAGAAATGAGAGGCAAAATATCTGCTATTGGTGGAATTCCAATTTCAGTTTGATAGTCACACTTCTGAATTGAAGCAATGTAAATTTCATAATCTCATTTGTAGAAAAAAATTAGCAGCAGAGTAGCACAACTTACATTCTGTGCCAAGCAATAAGTCACATTGCCCTCTCTACACAGGGTCTGAAATGCGGGTTACAATATCTGGGTGCTGAACCCAGCAACATGACACAATCCCAAACGTGGATAAATCAAACCCAGACAAATGATGAGAGCAAATCACCTACAGAATTGGCCCAAGATATGTAAAAATACTTTCTGTTGCTCCAGCAGAGGCAGGAGAGTTACATCATCAGAGTGTGTGTCCTAGCAATATGCCATAATTATATCTTTATGCAGAACCCAGTCAGAAAAGGAACACCATCTCAGTGCTGGGCCCAGCAATAGGTCAAAATTCCTTTTTACGGTCATGGTTCGGGAAAAAAAAGAAGAGTCATATTACATAATTATTGGGCTTAGCAATAGGTCACATTGACCAATTGTAAAAAAAAATAAAAATAAAAAAAATAAAACCTGCAGAAGAAAAGAGTCACATTACATAAGACACAGGCTCAGATATATGGTCCAATGTCCCAGGTAGGTAGGACTCAGGCATAAGAGAAGAGTCATATCACGTAGATGCTTCCCTAGGTTTATGAAATAATCTAACGTGTTAGGTGAAACCATGCAGAAGAGTCACATCACTTTGATGCTGGTCTAGAGATATGTCACAAGCCTCCCTTAAGACAGGACCCTAGCTAGAGAATTACAACAAATGAGTTCAGGTTCTACCCTTATGTTCAATGTGGGCAGAACCCAAGCAGGGAGTCACATTATCTAGCTGATAGGTGCAGAGCTATGTCACAATGTCCTCCTTAAGTTATGGTCCTAGTGAAAGGGCACCATCACCTGTGTGACTGGCCTAGCAATATGTCACTATTTGAGTAAGCAGGACCCAAGCAGGAGAGCAAATTCACCTAGGTGATAGGTCCAGAGATTTGTCAAATGTCATCTTAAGGACAGGGCCCTCGCAAAAGAGTGCTGTCACCTCTTTGCCTGACACAGCCATATGTTACTATCCCCCACTGTGTGCAGGGTCCATTCTAGTGTGTAGAGTTATGTCACCTAAGTGGTTGACACAGTGATAAGTGCCAGTGATATCTGTGCACATGACTCAGGCAAAAATGTAACATGACCTGAGTGCTGGATCCAGTGATACGTCACAATTCTTACTGAGAGCAGGGATTGAGCAAAAACATCGCATCACCTAGAGGTTGGCCCAGGTAGATTTCACAATAACATATTGATCTGGAACAAGTCTGAAGAGTCAAATCACACAAGTGCTTGGCCAGCAAGCACAAGATTTATATCACAGACACAGTGGCAGAAAATTACCAGGATGAGATTTAAAATACCACACATGTCCTATTTTCATGAGTGACATTTGACTTCAGATATGTGAGACAGTGACAGTCCTTACTGTCAGCTGGGTGTGCATATGAGACTCACACTTTCACCTTCCTACTGGGTTCCATTATATATACACTCTCAGCACAAGCCAAGGGCTGTTAAAGTCTTCTTTGTCCTTTCTTAAAAGAAAGTGATTTATTCACTCCTGTTTCTGAACGAAGTTATGAAACTTAAAATTACTCCAATTTCTGGGGTCCACATATGAGGGTTATTATCATGCCTGTGAGTTGTGCCTAGGTATGTGTAACAATTTAATCAGTGGCAATGAAATAGGCACAACAGTCAAGTACAACAAATGCTGAGCCAGAAATATTCCAATATTCTCCTTGTTGGCAAGTTTCTGTCAGCAAAGTTGCATAACTTGGGAGTTACACCCAGATGTATGGCACAATGCCCCTTGTTGGCAGTGTCCAGACACAAAAAGAGACTCATATCACTTAAATGCTAGGCCCAGAGATATGACACAATGTCGCATGTTGAAAGGACCAGACAAAAGAGTCAGATCACTTGGATGCAGTGCTTAGAAATGGTACAATCCCCATTGGAAGCAGTATCCAGGCAGGAAAGGAGAATTAGATAACTAGATGATGGGTCCAGAGCCATGTTACAATCCTTCTTGAGGATACCGTAAATATAGGAGAGTCAAATCACCAAGGTGCTCAGCCAAGGTATATATCCAAATCTAATTTGTGGGCCACACGTAGGCAGGATTATTTAGTCTCTTGGGAACTGGGAAATAGTTTATGTCACAATGACACAGGTGGAAAGTTTCAGGAATGAGAATCACCCTCTTGTATATGACCTGGCTTAAGGTTTAAGAGTCATGATTAGTACTCTTATTTGGCCTCAGGTATATGGCACAATATCATCTGTGGGCAGAGAGCAAGCAAAAATATCGCATCACCTGGGTGGGTGCTGATCCAGTGAGATGTCACAATCTTTCTTGTGTCCAGGACTCTGGAAGAAGAGTCACTTCACCTGGCTACTGGTTTTAGTGATATATCAAAATTCCTTGTGTGAGCAGGCCTTAAGAAGTTGAGGAGACTTATTTCACCTAGGCAATTGGCTATATATATGTGTCTCAATGGCTGCTGGTGCAAAACCAAGGTATGAAACTGACCTCACTTTGGTGCTGGGTTTATTAATATGTCACAATCTCCCCTGCTGTCAGGGTGAGGCAAGAGAGGAGAAACATGACCTATGTGCTGAGCCAAGTGATACTTTACAAAGCTTCCTGTTGACAGAACCCAAAATGGAGAGTCACATCACCTGGGTACAGTACCCAGTTTTGTGTCACAATGCACCATAAGTGGAGGGCCAAGGAAGTAGAAGTGACATCACTTACATGATAGACCTAGATATGAGCCACAATGCCTTTTATAGGCAGAGATAAGGCAAATAATTTACCTCACCTGGGTGCTGGTCCCAGTGATAAGTAAATGTGCAATTTGTAGGCAGGTCCAGGCACCTTTGCTTAGTTGTATGTTCCACATATGTCACAAGTTCATCCGTCCTCATGGCCAAAAAAGGAGAGTTAAATTATTCAGGAGTGGGGATAACTTTTATGTCCTAATCACACACTAGGAAATATTCAGAAATACATTTCCCAGTCCCACACAAGTCTTGGCTTTGCGTGTGTGAGTCAACACATCCAGTGGCTTGGATCAAAACAGAGGAGTCACAATCTCAACAATGCACAAGATCCATGTATAAGATGCCAATTCCACTTGAAGATTGTGTTCTAAGAGGAGAGTCACAGCTTCACAGGTCTGCTGATTCATGCATCACAAAAGGATCCTTGGGTCAGATTTATTTATGAGAGAAAAAATTTCAAACTTCGACTGCTTTTTTTCATGAGATCTAGTACGTTATTTGTAGGCCCTATTCTTGTGAGAGAATGACAATCAGGTCATCTGGGTGTGCATCCAATAGTGACAATAGCATCTGATTGTTGTTCCCTGTTATGACACTCTTTGTACCACTCACGCTTTACATGATATGCCTGAGTGTCATAATCCTCTGTGAAATGTACACAATTAGGAGACTGATTACTTTACTTATGGCCATAAGACTGGCTATGAGAATCAAAATGTCTCCCTTTCTGGGTCGAGGTATGATAGTTATATTTGTGCATGGTAGCTGAATGCAGCTATATGTCACAATTTCACCTGTGGGCAGAAATATCACAGGAGAGTCTCAACACATGGATGCCAAGCTCAGGAAACATTATAATCTCCTTTGCAAGCAGGGCCAAGTCAGAAAAGTCACATCACCTGGGTACAGCCACAAGTAATATGGTCCCATGTCCACTGTAGACAGGGTTGAAGAAAAAGAGGATAGTAACACCATCTTGGTGCTGGGCTCAGCAATATGTAACAATCCCCTGTTTTGGCCAACTTCAGAATACAGAGAAGAGTTGCACTGCCTAGGTTTTCCACTCATCGGTATGTCACAATTCCTTTAGTGGGTAGGACGTAGGCAGGAGAGAAGAGTGACATTTCCTAGATGTTACCCCGATGATGTCACAATGTTCCCTGGGGGCAAATCAGAGGCAAAATAGAAAAATCACCTATCAGATAGGCTCAGAGATATGTGATATTATCCCTACTTGGCAGGACCCCAGCAGAAGAGTCACATTATTATGATTCTGTCCCAATGATATGTCACAATGCACACATGGAAAACAATTGGAGCCAAAGTTTTAACACCTGGGTACTAGGCCTAATGATATGACAAAATCTCCTCATATTTTAGGGTGACACCTTGAACAGTGATCTTGGTGTGTATATGAGTCACATTGTCATGTGTGTGCTGCATCATTTTATGATGCCCTCTACAACATCGGAGGGCCTTACATAGTATGCATGAGAGTTGCAAACTACACTGAGGCCCACACACTCATATAGACTCTCAAACTTATATAGTGCCTTAAACTCAGGTGTGATAGTCAACATCTCTCATTTAGGCTGAGCTCAGGAATGAGACTTATTTTTATGCTTTGAGCTGGCTCTGAAAATGAGACACGATCGAACCTGTGGCCAGATCCACAAATAAGAGTCACAATTCCATATTTGAAGTGTTTTTACCTGTTGAACTCAGTTCCTCAACAATGGGCTTTGTAAAAGTGGGATGGTGACAACTTTTACTTTCACCTGGGTGTCTAATTGAGAGTTACAATCTTAACTTTTTGCTAGGCCTTGTTATGAAACTCTCTGTACCACCAAAGGAGTTTGTACAATACTAATTAGTGTTGTAAACTACTCTGAGTTTGGTACAAATATGCAAACCAGGATTTTACCTATTGCTCTAAGCCTTGTGATTAGAGGCAAAATATCTTCTATTGGTTGAATCCCAATATAAGTTTGACCATCATGCCTGCGAAGTGGAGCAAAGTATATGTCATAATCTCATTTGTGGACAAAAAAATTAGGAAAAATAATAACATCACTTAGGTTATGTGGTAAGCAACTTGTCACAATGCCTTCCCTAGGAAGAATATAGGGGGAGGGTCATATTAACTGGGAGCTGGGCCCAACAATATTACACAATTTTTCTTGAGAAAAAGATTAACCAAGGGATGAGAGCCAAAACACCTAGAGAATAAGCTGAAGACCTGTAAAAATTGTGTCTGTGGCTCTGGAACCAGCAGGACAGTAGCATCATCAGGGTTCTGGGGCCACCATTCTGCAATAATTCTCATTTTATTCAGGACAGTAGCAGAAGAGTAACATCACCTGAGTGCAATAGGTCAAAATTGCTCTTTGTGTGCATGGTTCAGAATAAAGAGTAGAATCATATGACCTAAATGCTGGTCTCAGCAATATGTTCACAACCACCACCACCCCCACCATTTTGAAGGGTGACAGGAGAAGAGAGTCATATCACTTAGGTCATGGGGTCAGAGATAGGTCCCAAAGTCCTCAGTAGGCAGAACTAAGAAAGAAAAGGAGAGTAGTATCTCCTATGTGCTTCTTTATGTATAAGTCACAATCTAACACATGGGCAGAAACCAGGCAGAAGAGCCACATTACCTAGGTGCTGGGTGCTAAGATGTGTCACAGGTCCCCCTTAGAAGAGAAACAAAGTGAAAGAGTTACATCACCTTGGTGCAGGTTTCACTTTCGTATCACAATGCTCTCTGTGGGTGAGGCCCAAACATTGAGTCATATCAACTAGGTGATAGGGCCAGAGATATGTCACAATGTCCTTTTTGAAGCATAGCCCTGGGGAAAGAGTACCATCATCTGTGTGCCTGGCCTAGAAATATGTCACTCTCCAGGTTGGCAGGGACCAAGTAGAAGAGCGGCATAACCTAAGTGATACTACCAGAGATATGTCACAATACCCTCCTTTGGGCATGGCTCTGGCAAAAAAATATCCCCACCTGTGTGCCTGGCTTTGCAATATGTCACTATCCTTCCTTTGTGCAAGACCTATACCAGAAAGGAGAGTTACATCACCCAATGTGGTTGACCTAAAAGCTAAACCCAAAAATATGTCAAAATTCCTCTTGTTGAGAAGGTTCAGAAGAGAGTGTCATGTCATTTGGATGCAATGTTTAGAAATGCTACAATTACTAAAGTAAGCTGGGTACATGCCAAAAAGGAGAGTCATATACCCCAGATAATGGGTCCAGAAATATGTGGCTAGTCCCCCTGAAAACATTGGTAAGGTAGCACCGTCAAATCACCAATGTCCGTGACCCAAGTTTTGTCAAAATCTCATTTGTGGGACGTACCTAGGTGGAAGTGTTAAATTTCACAGGCACTAGACAAAGGTGTACATACAATTACACTTGTGGAAAGGTTTGAAAATAAGGCTCACCATCCTATACATGTCCTGGCTCCAGACATATGAGTTTTTATTAGTCTTTTATTATGGTCTCAGGTATATGACACCATATCTCCTGTAGTAAGAGAGAAGGCAAGAAAGTCACACCACCTATGTGGGTGCAGTTCCAGTGAGATGTGACAATCCACCTGGTGGTCAGGACCCTGGAAGAAGAGTCACATCACCTGGAAGTTCCTTTTAGTGACATATGAAAAACCCGCCTGTGAGGGTTTTAAACTCAGAACCTCAACAGTGGGTTTTCTAAATGTGGGATGGTTGCAACTTCTAATTTCACCCGGGGGTGTAGTAGAGACTTCCAATCTGAACTTTTTGCTGGCTCATGTTATGAAAATTTCTACCACAAAAGAGTTTATACAATGTAATTTAGTGGTGTAAGCTTCCTTGAGCTTGGTATAAACATGCAACCCAGGACCTTACCTATTTCCACAAGCCTAACAATGAAAGGCAAAATATTTTCTATTGGCTGAATCCCAATATAAGTTTGATCATCATGGCTGTGAACTGAAGCAGTTATATATTATAATTACATACGTGTGAAAAACACTAGGCAGGAGGGTAATGACATTTTGATGCTGTGCCAGGAAATACTTCACAATGTCTTCTCTAGGCAGGGTATAGGAAATTGAGTCACATTAGCTGAATGCTGGACCCAGCAATATGATACAATCCTGCATATGGGAAAAGACTCAGCCAAGTTATGAGAGCCAAAATACCAGCACAGTATGCCCAAGATACATCAACATATCTTAGTAGCTCCAGCACAAGCAGGAAAGTCACATCATAAGGGTACTGGGACCAGCAATATGTAATATATCATAATTAGCTCTTTATGCAGATTCCAGGTAGATGGTTAACATCATCTGGGTGCTGGGCAATGCAATAAGTCAAACTTTCTTTCCTGTGGGCATGGTTTGGGTAAAAGGAGAGAGTCACATATCCTAAGTACTGGGCTCAGCCATGTGCCAAAATCCTCCTATTGTGAATGATCGGGCAGAAAAGGAGAGTCACATCACTTAGGTCATGGGTTCAGAGATATGTCCTAATGTCCCCAGTAGGCAGGGCTCATGTAGAAGAGGAGAGGCCCATCACCTACGTGCTTCCCTAGGAATATGTCACTTTGTGACTTGTGGGCAAAAACCAGGCAGAATAGCCACATCACTTGGGTGGTGGGTCCCGAGATACATCAAAGGCTCTCTTAATGCAGCACCCAGCCAAGAGAGAAACATCATACTAGGTGTATGTTTTCTGATTATACCACAATGCTCCATACGTGTAGGGCTCAAGGAGGGGATCATTTCACCTAGGTGATAGGCCCAGAGATAGGTCACCATGTCCACTATGAGGCAGAGCCCTGGCAAAAGAATACCATCACCTGTGTGCCTTGCCTAGAAATATGTAACTCTCAAGTTTGGAAGGGCCCAAGCAGTAAAGCCACATAACCTAGATGATAGGCCCAGAGATATGTCACAATGCCCTCCTTTGGGGATCCTCTGCAAAGGAATATCCTTGCCTGTGTGCCTGTTCTTGCAGTGTGTCACTATCCTTCTGTTGTACAGTGCCCATTTCAGAGAGAAGACTTACATCAACTATGAAGTGCACAGAGAAATATGTCACAATAATTTTAGTGAGCCTGGCACAGGCAACTATGTAACATCACCAGGGTGCTAGATCCAGTGATATCTCACAATCTTTACTGAGAGATATGACCAGGTAGGAGAGTCATATCACCTCGATGTTGGCCTCGGTAGGAATCATAATCCCATATATGGGCTGGAACAAGTCTGGTGAGTCAAATTACACAAGTGCTTGGCAAACATTTATATCACAATCACACTGTCATAAAATTCCAAAGATGAGATTTACAATACCACACATGTCCTGTTTTCATGTGTGACAGTTGCCTTCATCCATGTGAGATGATAACAGTCCTTACCTTCAGCTGGGTGGGTATACAAGACTCAAAATTTCACCTGGGTGCTTAGCTCCAATTTGACTCTGACTGTATAGTCCAAAGACTTTGTAAAATGTATGTGAGTGTTGTAATATTTTGTGACCTTTGTACAAGGAGGAGATCCAGGACATCAAACGTGTCCCTAAACTTAGTTATAAGGGTGAAAATATTCTCTATTTTCTGAGTCCACATATGAGAGTCATTATCATGCCTGTGAGCCATGCCTAGGTATATGTTACAATTCCCTCTGTGGTTATGAAGCAGGCAGAACAACCACATCACCTAAATGCTGGGCTAGAATTATTTCAAAAAATTTTTTTGTATTCTGTGCCCTATCAGAAATCTCACAAAACTTGTGTGATAGATCCAGCTGTGTGGCACAATGTGCCTTGTGGGCAGTGTCCAGGCAGGAGAGGAGAGTAATATCACCTAAATGATGGGCACAAAAATATGTCAAAATGCCTATTGTTGACAGGGCCCAGGCAAGGGGTCATATCATTTGGATGCAGTGTTTAGAAGAGCTACAATTACCAAAGGAAGCAGGGTACAGGCAAAAGAGGAGAGTCATGTAGATGAAGCATCCAAGAATCAGTTACAATCTCCCCTGAGGACATTTCTAAGGTACCTCAGTCAAACTACCAAAGTGCTTGGCCAATGTGTTTGTCAAAATCCCATTTATGGGCTATACTTTGGCAGAATTATTAAATAAGTCAGTAGTTGGGCAAAGGTATATGTCACAATTACACCTGTGGAAAGGCTTAATAGTAACAGCCACCATCCTGCACAAGTCCTAGGCTCCAGGCATATTAATTGTTATTAGGTTTCTGTTATAATCATTGCTTTATGGCACAATACCACTTGTGGCAAGAGAAAAAAAAAAAGCAAGCTTCATCACCTACGTGGGTGCAGTTCCAGTGAGATGTCACAATCCACCTTGTGGGAAGGACCTGGTGGAAGAGTCACATCACCTGGATGCTAATTTCACGGACATATCAAAACCCCCTCTCTTGGCAGGACTTTGGTAAGAGAGGAGCCTCACTTCACCAAGGCCATTGGCCTAGATATATGTCACAATGTCTGTTCAGTGCAGTACAGAAGCCAGAGAGTGGCCTCACATTAGTGCTGGGCCCAGCTTTATGTCACAATCTCCCTGTGGTCAAGGTACAGGCAAAAGCCAAGAAACACCACCTAGGTTCTGATCCAAGTGACATGTTACAATGCTTCCTGTTAGCAGAACCCAAAAAGAAGAATTACATCAACTGGGTACAGTACATGGTTATGTGTCACAATGCACTGTAAGTGAAGGGCCAAAACAGTAGCAGGGAGCCACAACACTTATGTGATGGATCTAGATATAAAACACAATTTTTTTGTAGGTAGTTTTATGAGTTTTATGCAGATAATGCACATCACCTGGGTGATGGTCCCAATGATATATAACAGTTCCCATTGTAGGCAGAGCCATGAAACAAGGGATCTATTGCTTAGTCGCTTGTTCCACATATGGCCCAATTTCTTCCATGGTCTGGGCCTAGAAAAGAGTCATATTAGTCATGTGTTGGGAAAGTTATCTTGTTCCAATCACACTATCAGAAAGGTTCAGAAATAAATTTCACATCCCACACAAGTCCTGGTTTTGTTTATGTGAGTCAACTGTTCCTATGCATTGGGTTGAAGTAGAAGAGTCACAGTCTCAGCCTGGAACCAGATCCATGTATAAGATCCCCAATCCCACTTGAACACTGTGTTCCAGCAGGGGAGTCAGAGCACCACAGTGTGCTGAATCATGGTTCAAATGTTACAAAACCACCAGTGAATCAGATTCCTGAATTAGAGTAATTATTTCAACCTTCAACTGCTTTTTATGTGTGAGATTTAGTGCCTCATTCCTAGGCCCTGTTCTGTGTGAGAATGACAATCATGCCAGCTAGATGTGCATACAAGAGTCCCATCTGCCCCTTGTTTCTGTTCTCTGTTTGACACTTTTTGTCATTAAGACTTCATATGATATATCTGAGTGTTATAATCCTTCATGAAGTTTATAAAAGTGAAAAATCCAGGACTTTACCCATGGCTCTGAGAGTCAAAATATTTCTACTGTGTGAGTCCAAGTATGAGGGTTATTATTTTGTGCACGTGTGCTTAACTAAGATATATGTTAAAATTTCACCTGAGAGCAGGGAAAAGGTGTAGGGGTGGGTTGCCCCTACACACCTGTGGGTGTTTCTCGTAAGGTGGGACGAGAGATTTGGAAAAGAAAAAGACACAGAGACAAAGTATAGAGAAAGAAATAAGGGGACCCGGGGAACCAGCGTTCAGCATATGGAGGATCCCGCCAGCCTCTGAGTTCCCTTAGTATTTATTGATCATCTGTGGGTGTTTCTCAAAGAGGGGGATGTGTCAGGGTCACAAGACAATTGTGGGGAGAGGGTCAGCAGACAAACACGTGAACAAAGGTCTTGGCATCATAGACAATGTAAAGGATTAAGTGCTGTGCTTTTAGATATGCATACACATAAACATCTCAGTGCTTTACAAAGCAGTATTGCTGCCCGCAGGTCCCACCTCCAGCCCTAAGGCGGTTTTTCCCTATCTCAGTAGATGGAGCATACAATCGGGTTTTATACCGAGACATTCCATTGCCCAGGGACAGGCAGGAGACAGATGCCTTCCTCTTGTCTCAACTGCAAGAGGCATTCCTTCCTCTTTTACTAATCCTCCTCAGCACAGACCCTTTACGGGTGTCGGGCTGGGGGACGGTCAGGTCTTTCCCTTCCCACGAGGCCATATTTCAGACTATCACATGGGGAGAAACCTTGGACAATACCTGGCTTTCCTAGGCAGAGGTCCCTGCGGCCTTCCGCAGTTTTTGTGTCCCTGGGTACTTGAGATTAGGGAGTGGTGATGACTCTTAAGGAGCATGCTGCCTTCAAGCATCTGTTTAACAAAGCACATCCTGCACCGCCCTTAATCCATTCAACTCTGAGTTGACACAGCACATGTTTCAGAGAGCATGGGGTTGGGGGTAAGGTCATAGATTAACAGAATCTCAAGGCAGAAGAATTTTTCTTAGTACATAACAAAATGGAGTCTCCTATGTCTACTTCTTTCTACACAGACACAGTAACAATCTGATCTCTCTTGCTTTTCCCCACAAAAAGGCAGGAGAGACATCACCTGGGTGCTGAGCTGCTGATACATTATAATCTCATTAATAGGGTGGGCCTATTTAGAAGAGTCACATCACCTGGATATAGCCTCAAATAATATGTCCCCAAGCCCACTATAGAAAGGGAATAAGAAAAAGAGGAGTTACTCCACATAGGTGCTGTGCTCTGCAGTGTGTAATAATCCACTTTCTTGGCAGGGCCTAGCATATGAAGAAGAGTCACATCACATAGTTTCTGCAATAAGCAGTACATCAAAACTTTTTTGGTGAGCAGGACACAGGCAGGGGAGGAAATCACATAACCTAGATGTTAAGCCAAACAATATTTCACAATGTGTTCTGATGGCAGTGCACAGGGAGGGGAGAAAAATCACCTAGCTTATAGGCCCAGAGATATGAGATAATTTGCCCTGTTGGCAGGGCTCAGGCAGAACAGTCACATTATTATAATTCTAACCCAGTGATATGTCACAATGCACCCAACAGAAAAAAAATGTAATCCAAAAACTCACAACACCTGGTTACTAGGCCTAGTAATATGCCAAATCTTTTTGTCTTTGATGTTGACACCATTGAATGTGAGCTGGGTTTGTATATGAGAGTCACAATTTTCCATGTTTCCTGGGCTGTTGTATGACACTCTACAACATTTTAAGGGTTTATACAGCACGTGTGAGAGTGGCAAACCACTCTGACCCCTACATGGTAGTATAGATTCACGATCTTAACATATTGCCCTAAACCCAAGTTTTATAGTCAACATCTCTTCTGCAGGCTGGGTTAAGGAATGAGATCCATTGTCATGCCTGTGAGCTAGATGTAAAAATGAGTCGCTATCCCATCTGTGGTCAGATCCACATAGGAAGGTCAAAATTCCAACTTTCTACTGTATTTACTTTTTAGACTCAGGACCTTAACAGTGGGCTTTGGCCATGTGGGATGGAAACATTTACTTTCACTTGGGTGCATAACCAAGAATCCCAATCTGAACATTTTGCTGGTTCTTGTCTTGAAACTCTCTGTACCACCCAAGGAGGTTATACACTATGAGTTAGTGCTGTAAAGCTCTGTGAGCTTCATACAAATATGCAACCCAGGGCCTTACCCATTGCCCAAAGCCTAGTGATGAGAGGCAAAATATCTCCTATTGGCTGACTCCAATATAAGTCTGATCACCAGGCCTGTGATCTCAACTAAGGCATATGTTGAGATCAAGGTATATGTCAGAGTCCCATTTGTGGGCAAAATGTATGCAGGAGGGTAACATCTCTTTGGTGCTGTGCCAAGCAACTTGTCACTATGTCCTCCCTTGCTTGGCAGGGTATAGGAATTAGAGTCATATTAAATTGGTGCTGGACTGAGCAAAACAAAACCATCCTACCTGTGGAAGAAACCCAGGCAAAAGATATCAGAACACCCACATGATGGGCCCAGGATGTGTCAAAATACCTTCTGTGGCTCCAGGACAGTCATGAGTCATGAGATAATGTCCTGCTCTCAACAGGAAATTATCAGAGTTTTGGCCCCAGCAATATGCCATACTTCTATCTGTATGCAGGACCCAGGCAAAAGAGAAACATCGCCTGGGTGCTGGACCTTGCAATAGGCCAAAAATTCGGGTGGTGGGAATGGTTCCAGAAAATAAGGAGTGACAAATAACCTGACTTCTGACCTCTACGATATGTCACAATCCCTTCTTGTAAAGACCAGGCAGAAGCTGAAAGTCACTTCACTTCAGTCTTGGGCTCAGAGATACATCCCAGTGTCCTCATTATGAAGGGCCCACAAAGAAAAGTCATATCAACTAGGTGCTTCCCTAGTTATATGTCACAATCTAACATGTGGGCAGAAACCAGGCAGCAGAGCCACACCACCTGGGTACAGCCTCAAGTAATATGTCACTATGCCCAATGTAGACAGTTTACAGTAAAAAAAGAAAATCACACCACCTGGGTGCTGGGCTCAGCAATATGTAATAATTTCCTTTCTTGGTAGAGTTCAGGACAAAGAGAACATTAATGTCACCTAGGTTTTGCACTCAGTGGTATGTCACAATTTCTTCAGTGGGCAGGATCTGGCCAGGAGAGCAGAGACACATTACCTAGATGCTGTATCTAACAATATGACACAGCTGGATATGGGAAGGCCATTGGCAAGAGAGATATATTACCTAGTCAATAGGCCCAGAGATATGTGAAAATATCCACTGTTTGCAGTTCCCAGGCAGAAAAGTCACATTATTATGATTCTGAACCATTTCTGAACCATGTAGCATTATGGCTCTGAACCATTTCTGAACCATGTAACATTATTATGATTCTGAACCATTTCTGAACCGTGTAAGAATGCCCTTCTGGAAAAGAATTTATTTTTATTGTTTTTATTTTTATTATTATACTTTAAGTTCTAGGGTACATGTGCACAATGTGCAGGTTAGTTACATATGTCTACATGTGCCATGTTGGTGTGCTGCACCCATTAACTCATCATTTGCATTAGGTATATCTCCTAATGCTATCCCTCCCCTCTCCCCCTACTCTATGACAGGCCCCAGTGTGTGATGTTCCCCACCCTGTGTCCAAGTGTTCTCATTGTTCAATTCCCACCTATGAGTGAAAATATGCTGTGTCTGCTTTTCTGTCCTTGTGATAGTTTGCTGAGAATGATGGTTTCCAGCTTCATCCATGTCCCTACAAAGGACATGAACTCATCCTTTTTAATGTCAGCATAGTATTCCATGGCATATATGTGCTATATTTTCTTAATCCAGCCTGTCATTGATGGACATTTGGTTGGTTCCAAGTCTTTGCTATTATCGGTAGTGCCACACTAAACATATCTGTGCATGTGTCTTTATAGCAGCATGATTTATAATCCTTTGGGTATATGCCCAGTAACGGAATGGCTGAGTCACATGGCATTTCTTGTTCTACATCCTTGAGGTACTGCCAAACTGTCTTCCACAATGGCTGAACTAGTTTATGTCCCACCAACAGTGTAAGAAACTCTGATGACAGCTTCTTTTGCTGTGCAGAAGCTCTTTCATTTAATTAGCTCCTATTTGTCAATTTTGGCTTTTGTTGCCATTACTGTTGGTGTTTTAGTCATGAATCCTTGCCCATGCCTATGGCTTGAATGGTATTGCCTAAGTTTTCTTCTAGGGTTTTTATGGTTTTAGGTCTAACATTTAAGTCTTTAATCCATCTTGAATTAATTTTTGTATAAGGTGTAAAGAAGAGATCCAGTTTCAGCTTTCTACATATGGTTAGCCAGTTTTCCCAGCACCATTTATTAAATAGGTAATCCTTTCCCCATTTCTTGTTTTTGTTAGGTTTGTCACAGATCAGATGGTTGTTGATGTGTGGCATTATTTTTGAGGGCCCTATTCTGTTCCATTGGTCTATATCTCTGTTTTTGTACCAATACCAAGCTGTTTTGGTTGCTGTAGCCTTGTAGTGTAATTTGAAGTCAGGTAGCATGATGCTTCCAGCTTTGTTCTTTTGGCTTAGAATTGTCTTGGCAATGCAGGATCTTTTTTGGTTCCATATGAACTTTAAAGTAGGTTTTTCCAGTTCTGTGAAGAAAGTCATTGGTAGCTTGATGGAGATGGCATTGAATCTATGAGTCACCTTGGGCAGTATGGCCATTTTCCACAATATTGATTCTTCCTATCCATGAGCATGGAATATTCTTCCATTTGTTCATGTCCTCTTTCATTTTGTTTAGCAGTGGTTTGTAGTTCTCCTTGAAGAGGTCCTTCACATCCCTTGTAAGTTGGATTCCTAGGCATTTTATTCTCTTTGAAGCAATTGTGAATGGGAGTTCACTCATGATTTGGCTCTCTGTTTGTTATTGGTGTATAGGTCTGCTTGTGATTTTTGCACATTGCTTTTGTATCCTGAGACTTTGCTGAAGTTGCTTATCAGCTTAAGGAGATTTTGGGCTGAGACGATGGGGTTTTCTAAATATACAATCATGTCATTTGCAAACAGGGACAATTTGAGTTCCTCTTTTACTAATTGAATACCTTTATTTATTTCTCTTGCCTGATTGCCCTGGCCAGAACTTCCAACATTATGTTGAATGGGAGTGGTGAGAGAGGCCATCCCTGTCTTGTGCCAGTTTTCAAAGGGAATGCATCCATTTTTTGCCCATTCAGTATGATATTAGCTGTGGGTTTGTCATAAATAGCTCTTATTATTTTGAGATATGTCCCATCAATACCTAATTTATTGAGAGTTTTTAGCATGAAGTGCTGTTCTGTTTATATGATGGATAATGTTTATTTATTGGTGTATATTGAACCAGCCTTACTTCCAAAGGATGAAGCCGATTTGATCATGATGGATAAACTTTTTGATGTGCTGCAGTATTTTATTGAGGATTTTTGCATCGATGTTTATCAGGGATATTGGTCTAAAATTATTTTTTGTTTTTCTGTCTTTGCCAGGCTTTGATATCAGTATGTTGTTGGCCTCATAAAATGAATTAGGGAGGATTCCCTCTTTTTCTGTTGATTGGAATAGTTTCAGAAGGAATTGTATCAGCTTTTCTTTGTACCTATGGTAGAATTTGGCTGTGAATCCATCTGGTCCTGGACTTTTTTTGGTTGATAGGCTATTGATTGCTGCCTCAATTTCAGAGTCTGTTATTGTTCTATTCAGAGATTCAACTCCTTCCTGGTTTAGTCTTGGGAGGGAGTGTGTGTCAAGGAATTTATCCATTTTTTCTAGATTTTCTAGTTTATTTGCCTAGAGGTGTTTCTAGTAGTCTCTGATGGTAGTTTCTATTTCTGTGGGATCAGTCATGATCTCCCCTTTGTCATTTTTATTGTGTCTCTTTGATTCTTCTCTCTTTTCTTCGTTATTAGTTTTGCTAGCAGTCTATCAATTTTGTTGATCTTTCCAAAGAACCAGCTCCTGGATTCACTGATTTTTTGAAGGGTTTTTTTGTGTCTCTAACTCCTTCAGTTCTGCTCTGATCTTAGTTATTTCTTACCTACTGCTAACTTTTGAATGTGTTTGCTTTTGCTTCTCTAGTTCTTTTAACTGTGATGTTAGGCTGTCGATTTTTGATCTTTTCTGCTTTCTCTTGTGGGCATTTAGTGCTATAAATTTCCCTCTACACACTGCCTTAAATGTATCCCCAAGATTCTGGTATGTTGTGTCTTTGTTCTCACTGCTTTCAAAGAACATTTCATTTCTGCCTTCATTTCGTTATGTACCCAGTAGTCATTCATAAGCAGGTTGTTCAGTTTCCATGTAGTTGAGCGGTTTTGAGTGAGTTTCTTAATCTTGACTTCTTGCTTGATTGCACTGTGGTCTGAGAGACAGTTGGTTATAATTTGTGTTCTTTTACATTTGCTGAGGAGTGCTTTACTTAAAACTGTGTGGTCAATTTTGGATTAAGTTTGATGTGGTGCTGAGAAGAATATATATCTGTTGATTTGGAGTGGAGAGTTCTGTAGATGTCTATTAGGTCCACTTGGTGCAGAGCTAAGTTCTATTCCTAGATATCCTTTTAACTTTCTGTCTCGATCTGTTTAATGTTGATAGTGGGGTGTTAAGGTCTCCCATTATTACTGTGTGGGAGTCTAAGTATGTTTGTAGGTTTCTAAGGACTTGCTTTATGAATCCGACTGCTCCTGTATTTGATGCATATATATTTAGTAAAGTTAGCTCTTCTTATTGAATTGATCCCTTTACCGTTAGGTATTGGTCGTCTTTGTCTCTTTTGATCTTTGTTGGTTTAAAGTCTGTTTTATCAGAAACTAGGATTGCAACCCCTGTTTTTGTTTTTGTTTTCTTTTTCTTTTTTTTTCATTTGCTTGGTAAATCTTTCTCCATCCCTTTATTTTGAGCCTATGTGTGTCACTGCACGTCAGATGGGTCTCCTGAATACAGCACACTGATGGGTCTTGACTCTTTATCCAATTTGCCAGTCTGTGTCTTTTAATTGGAACATTTACCCCATTTACACTTAAGGTTAATATTGTTATGTGTGAATTTGATCCTGTCATTATGATGTTAGCTTGTTATTTTGCTCATTAGTTGATGCAGTTTCTTTGTAGCATTGATGGTCTTTACAATTTGACATGTTTTTGCAGTGGCTTGTACCAGTTGTTCCTTTCCATGTTTAGTGCTTCCTTCAGGAACTCTTGTAAGGCAGACCTGGTGGTGACAAAATTTCTCAGCATTTGTTTGTCTGTAAAGGATTTCATTTCTCCTTCACTTATGAAGCTTTATTTGGCTGGATATGAAATTCTGGGTTGAATATTATTTTCCTTAAGGATGTTGAATATTAGCCCCCACTATCTTCTGGCTTGTAGAGTTTCTGCCAATAGATCCACTGTTAGTCGGATGGGCTTGCCTTTCTGGGTAACCTGACCTTTCCTTTGGCTCCCTTAACATTTTTTCCTTCATTTCAACTCTGGTGAATCTGACAATTATTTGTCTTGTTGTTGCTCTCCTCGAGGAGTATCTTTTAGGCATTCTCTGTATGTTTTTGAATTTTAATGTTGGTCTGCCTCACTACATTGGGGAAATTCTCCTGGATAATATCCTGCAGAGTGTTTTCCAACTTGGCTCCATTCTCCCCATCTCTTTCAGGTACACCAATCAGATGTATATTTGGTCTTTTCATGTAGTGCCATATTTCTTGGAGGCTTTGTTCATTTCTTTTTACTCTTTTTTCTCTAAACATCTCTTCTTGCTTTATTTCATTCATTTGATCTTCAATCACTGATATCCTTTCTTCCACTTGACAGAATTGGCTACTGAAGCTTGTACATGCATCACATAGTTTTCATGTCATGGTTTTCAGCTCCATCAGGTCATTTAGGGACGTCTCTACACTGTTTATTTTAGTAGACATACATCTAATCTTTTTTTCAAAGTTTTTAGCTTCTTTGCGATGGGTTCGAACATCCTCCTTTAGCTCAGAGAAATTTGTTATTACCAATCATCTGAAGCCTTCTTCTCTTGACTCGTCAAAGTCATTCTCCATCCTGCTTTGTTCCATTGCTGGTGAGGAACTGCATTCCTTTGGAGGAGAACAGGCACTCTGATTTCTAGAATTTTCAGCTATTCTGCTCTGGTGTCTCCCCATCTTTGTGGTTTTATCTACTTTTGTTCTTCGATGCTGATGTATAGATGGGGTTTTTGTGTGGATGTCCTTTCTGTTTGTTAATTTTCCTTCTAACAATTAGGACCCTCAGTTGCAGGACTGTTGGAGTTTTCTGGAGGCCCACTCCACACCCTGTTTGCCTTGGTATCACCAGCAGAAGCTGCAGAACAGCAAATATTGCCGAACAGCAAGTATTGCTGCCTGATCATTCCTCTGGAAGCTTCAACTCAGAGGGGCACCCAGTTGTGTGAGGTGTCAGGTGGCCCCTACTGGGAGGTGTCTTCCACTTAGGCTACTCGGGGTTCAGGTACCAGTCTGTCCATTCTCAAATCTCAAACTCTGTGCTGGGAGAACCACTACTCTCTTCAAAGCTGTCAGACAACAATGTTTAAGTCTGCAGAAGTTTCTGCTACCTTTTGTTCATCTATGCCCTGCCCCCAGGGGTGGAGTCTACATAGGCAGGCAGGCCTCCTTGAGGTGAGGTGGGATCCACCCAGTCCAAGCTTCCTTGCCACTTTGTTTACCTAGTGAATCCTCAGTAATGGCAGATCACCCTCCCCCAGCATTGTTACCACCTTGCAGCTCAATCTCAGACTGCTATGCTAGCAGTGAGTGAGGCTCCATGGGCAGGGGACCCTCTGAGCCAGGCACGGGATGTAATCCCCTGGTGTGCCATTTGCTAAGGCCAGTGGAAAAATGTAGTTTTAGGGTGGGCATGACCCAATTTTCTGGGTACCATCAGTCACGGCTTCCCTTTGCTGGGAAAGGGAATTCCCCAATCCCTTGCATTTCCCAGGTGAGGCAATGCCCCTCCCTGCTCTGTGGGCTGCACCCACTGTCTGACAAGCCCCAGTGAGATGAACTTAGTACCTCAGTTGGAAATGCAGAAGTCACCCACCTTCTGCATTCCTCACACTGGTAGCTGCAGACTGGAGCTGTTCCTATTCTGCCATCTTGGAAGCTCCTCCCTGGAAAAGAATTTAAACCAAAAAGTCTCAACACTGGGGTGCCAGGTGAAGGATATGACACAGTCTCCTCAACTATAAGGGTGACACCATTAACTATTACCTAGTTGTGTATATGTCAGTCACAAACTCACATGGGTGCTGGCCATAGTATGACACTCTATACAACATCTGAGAACTTTATATAACATGCATGAGAGTTGAAACCTCACTGAGGCCTACATGCTTATATGGACTCACGATCTTACATATTGCACTAAACTCAGATATGACAGTCAACATCTCTCTTATATGCTGGCTTCAAGGATGACAGCATTATTGGGTTTGTGAGCTGGGTCCAGAACTGAGTGACCATCCCACCTGTGGCCAGATTCTTTGATAAAAATTACAATTTCATCTTTGTGCTGTGTTTACTTATTAGATTGAGGACCTCAACAATGAACGTTGTAAACGCAGGATGGTAATAACTTTTACTTTCACATGAACGTGTTGTGTAAAATCATGATACTAACATTTTTCTGGACCCTGTTATAAAATTCTCTACCACCTAAAAAGTTTTTGTGAGATGAGTTATTGTTGTAAAATTCTGTGAGCTTGTTCACATATGCAATTAAAGGCTTTACCTACTGACTTAAACCTAGTCATGAAAGGCAAAACGTCTCGTACTGGCTGAATCCCAATAGAAGCATGATCATCATGCTTTTGAACTGAAGAAAGGTATATGTTATAATCAAATTTGTGGGCAAAAAAAATCGGCAGGAGGTTGATATCACTTAGGTGTTGTGGCAAGAAGTATGACACAATGCCTTGTCTATGCAGGTCTTAGGAAAGAGGGTCACAATAATTGGGCTCTGGAGCCAGCAATATAACACAACTTCACATAGAAGAAACCCAGCAAAATAAGGAGACTCAAAACACCTATGGAAATGGGCCAAAGGTATATCAAAATACCTGCTCTGGCTCTGGCACAGGCTGGAGAGTCACATCATTAGTGTGCTAGGCCCAGAAATATGCTGAAATTCCCTCTTTATGCACGACCTAGGAATAAGTGTAACAGAATCCAGGTGTGGGGCCCTGAACTACAGCAAAAGTCCTGTTTGTAGGCAATTTTTGGCAACATGATGAGAGTCACATTACCTAATTGCTGGGCTCATCAACACATCACAATCTTCTCATTGTAAAGGCTTAGACAGAATAAGAGACTCACATCACTTAGGTCATGGGCTCAAAGATATGGCCCAATGCCACAAGTAGGCAATACTCAGGCAGAAATAAAGAGTCATAACACCTAGATGCTTTTTCAGGTATATGTCACAATTTCACCTGTGTCCAGTCCTTCCATCCAGTCCTTTCTGTCAGCTGGGTGTGCATACAAGACTCACAATTTCAGCTGTGTGCTGAGCCCTGCTTTGACTCTGTCTGTATAACCCAAAGACTTTGGAAAATACATGTGAATGTTGTAATCTTTTGTGACCTTTGTAGAAGAAGGCGATACAGGACATCATGCATGTCCCTAAATCTAGTTATAAGTGTCAAAATATTCTCTATAGGCTGAGTACACATATGAGAGTCATTATCACTCCTGTGAGTCATGCCTAGGTATCTGTTACAATATTCTCTGTGGTTATAAAGCAGGAAGAATAGTCATATCACCTAAATGCTGGACTGTACATATTCCAATATTCTCTTTGTAGGCAGGGTCCTGTCAGAAATCTCACATAATTTCTGTGCTAAATCCAGCTCTGTGGCACAATGTCCCTTGTGGGTAGTGTCCAGACAGAAGAGGAGAGTCATATCACCTAAATGTTGGCCCCAAAAATATGTCACAATGACTAATGTTGACAGGGCCCAGAAAAACGAGTCATATCATTTGGATATAGTGTTTAGAAATGCTACAATTACCAAAGCGAGCTGGGTACAGGCAGGAGAGGGGAGTCATGTAACCTAGGTGATGTGTCCAGAAATATGTTACAATATCCCCTGAGGACATTGTTAAGACAGCAAGAGTCAAATCACCAAGGTGCTTGGCCCAGGCATTTGACAAAACCTCATTTGTGGGTGATACCTAGGCAGAATTATTAAATCACTCAGGAGCAGTGCAAAGGTTTATGTCATGATTACACTTGCGGAAACGTTTAAGAATAAGAATAACTCTCCTGAACATATCCTGGCTTCAGGTATATAAGCTGTTACTAGGCTTTTGTTATGGTTTCAGGTATATGGCACAATATCACCTCTGGTCAGAGAGAATGCAAGAAAGTCACATCACATAAGTGGCTGTGGCTCCAGTGAGATATCACAATCCACCTTGTGGACAGGACCTTTGCAGAAGAGTCACATCACCTGGATGCTGGTTTCAGTGACAAAAACCTCCTTGTAAACATGACTTTGGAAATAGAGGAGACTCAATTAACCTAGGCAATTGGCCTAGACATATGTCACAATGGCCCTTATGTACGGTGCCAAGGCTGGAGAGTTACCTTACGTTGGTCAGTGGGTTTGGCAATATGTCACAATCTCCCTGTGGCTGGGGCACAGGCAAAAGTGAAGAAACATCACCTTAGGTTCTGAGCCAAGTGATACGTTACAAGGTTTCCTGTTGACAGAATGCAAAAAGGAGAATCCCATCCCCTGGATGAAGTTCCCAGTTATGTGACACAATGCACTGTAACTGCAGGGCCAAGGCAGTACAAGGGAGTCACATCACTTACCTGATGGACCTAGATATAGAACACAATTGTCTTTGTAAGCAGGCTTCAGGCAGATAATTCACATGACCTGGGTGATGGTCTCAGTAATATATTAAAGTGACCTTTGTAGGCAGAGTCAAGGAAGATATCATATATTGCTTTCATGTTTGTTCCACATATGGCACAATTTCATCTGTGGTCTGAGCCTAGAAAAGAGAGTCCCGCTATTTATGTGCTGGGCAAAGTTACCTGTCCCAATCACATGCTAAGAAAGGTTTGGAAATAATTTCACATCACACACAAGTCCTGGTTTCACATATGTGAATCAATCCTATTTATGTTAGGCTAAACTAGAGGACTCACAATCTCAACAGTGGACAGGATCCATGTATAAGAGCTCCGATAACATATTATGTCAATGAGATTGTGTCATATCACTGGACCTAGTAACCAGGTGTTAAAACTTTTGCTTAAATTGTTTCCCGTGTGTGCATTGTGAGACTCTTCTGCCAGGGCACTGCCTAAAGGAGATATTGTCACATATCTATGAGCCTATCCACTAGGTGATTTGTCAATTTTACCTGTGCTTTGCTCCCAAAGAACATTATGACATCTTTTAATGTATCATTTAGGAAATGTGACTTCTCTCTCCTGCCTAGGTCCTGTGCTCTAAAGAAATAGGTACATAGTGCTGAATGCAAAATTTAAATAATGCAACTCTGCTCTTTATTCTGGAGTCTGCCAACAGAGGACATTTTTAAATATTGTTGAGTCTAACACCTTGAAGCTGCACCCAGATGATATGACTCTTCTGACTTGGCACTACCTGCAGAAGAGATTATAATGTATTCTCAGCTCAGAATCCTGGTGATGAGAGTCTCCTACCTTGGTTCTGCCCACAGGAGAAATAGTGACATATACCTGGGTTCAGCTCACATGCACAAATACAGCTGTTATATCTAGACCCAGAAAGAAGAGATATTTTGACATTCTTAACCAGTCTTATGGCCATAAGTAAAGCAATGGGTCTACTAATTGTATAAAGTTCACAGAGGACTATGACACTCAGGCATATGATATACAGCCTGAATGGTACAAAGGATGTCCTAACAGGGACAGTAACCCAGTGCTATTGTGACTCATGTACATACGATCAGCTGATCCTACTGTCATTCTCTCACAAGAATAGCCCCTACAAATAAGGTACTAAATCTCACACAAAACAGCTGTCCCTGGTTGAAACTGTTCCTCTCATACATGTGTCTGGTCCACGGGTCTTTTGGTGATGCATGATTCAGCACACCTGTGAAGCTGTGACTCCCCTCCTGGAACACAATCTTAAAGTGGAATTGGGCATCTTATGCATGGATCATGCTCACTGTTGAGACTGTGACTCCTCTACTTTGGCCCAAGTCATAGGGGGTGTTGACTCACATACACAAAGCTGGGATTTGTGTGGGACTGTGAAACTTATATCTGAATATATCCTAGTGTGTGATTAGGACATAAAAGTTAGCCCAGCTTCTGAATAACTTGACTCTCATTTTTAGGCCATAACCACAGATAAAATTGTGACATGCCTGGACCATGCCCCTAAGCATAGGTGCCTGGGCCTGCCTACAAATTACACTTTTACATATCACTGGGACCAGCACCAAGGTGATTTGAATTATCTGCCTGAGTGCTGCCCAAGAAGAGCACTGTGGCTGATATCTAGGTCCATCAGGTAAGTGATGTGACTCCCTTCTCCTGCCTTGGCCCTGCACTTATGGAGCATTGCAACACACAACTGGGTTCTGCACCCAAGTGATGTGACTCTCCCTTTTGGGTTCTGCCAGTGAGAAGCTTTGTAACATATCACTTTGCTCATCACCTAGGTCATGTTTCTCCTCTCTTCTCTCGACCTGATCACAGGGGAGATTGTGACATATTGATAAACTCAGCACCAAGGTGTAGTCACTTTCTTACCTTGGTTTTGCACACAGCAGCCATTGTGACATATACCTATGCCAACTGCCTTGGTTAAGTGAGCCTCCTCTCTTTCTTAAGCCCTTCCCACAGGTGGGATTTTGATATATCACCAAAAACAGTATCCAGTTGATGTGATTCTTCTTTCAGAGTCCTGCCCACAAGATGGATTGTGACATCTCACAGGACCAGCACCCACCCAGGTGATGTGACCTTCCCACTTGCTCTCCACTCACAGCCGATGTTGTGACATATACCTGAGATGAGATAAGAGGACTGACTAATCATGACTCTTAAATATGGAGCCAGGTCATATGCTATATGGTGACTCCCATTCCTGAAGCATTTCACTAATGTTATTGCGACATACACAATTGTCCAGCTCCTGAGTGATTTAATAATCCTGCCAAGGTGTAGTCCACAAGTGAGATTCACCTATATATTTCAGCTGCTCACCTTGGTGATTTGACTCTCCTGTCTTAACAATATCCCCAGGAAGAATTGTAACATGTCTCTGAATCCATCTTCTAGGTTACCTGTCTCCCTGCCTTGCCTCCTCTGCCTGGACTCTGCTTCCACAGGGATTGTAGCATTTTTTTCTTTTCTTTTCTTTTCTTTCTTTTTTTGTTACCTAGGCTGGAGTGCAGTGGTGTGATCTTAGCTCATTGCAACCTCTGCCTTGGGGATTGTAGCATTTCTAAGCACTGCATGCAAATGACATGACTCTCCTGACTGGTTCCTTCAACAGAAGGCATTGTTGCACATCTCTCGGCCAATAATTTAAGTTATATGACTCTCCTCTTCTGCCTAGACACTGCTTAAAAGGGGCATTGTGTCATACATCTGGTTGACACCCCCAAGTTATGCAACTTTTCGTCCAGGAACTTTTCTACAAGTAGAATATTTGAAAAATTCTTGTTCAATAGTTAGGTGACTTGGCAGTCACACCTGCTTCATTACCACAGAGTAAATTGTGATATATAACTAGGCACAACTCACAGGCATAATAATGACTCTCATACCCCACAAATAGGAGTAATTTTGACTCTCACTACTTGCTTTAGAAACATGAGTGATTGAATCTCTCTGCTTTAAAAAAAGGCCACAGAAGATTATAATAGCCTCAGAAATTTTATAAAGCCCTTGGCTTGTACAGAGAGTGCAATAACAGAATACAACAGAGAGTGTGATAACAGAATACAGAGAGTGCATGGTGAGTCTCATACACACACTCAGCTGGCAGTAAAGACTGTCACCATCTCATATATATGAAGCCACATGTCACTCCTGAAAACAGGATATGTGTGGGATTGTAAATCTCATCCTGGGAATTTTCTGTAAGTGTGAGATAAATATTTGCCGAGTACCTTGTGATTGGACTCTCCAAACTTTTTTCATCCCACATATGTAATTGTGATATGTACCTTGAATAACCTCCAGGTGATGTGACTGTCCTGCCTGAGCCTTGCTGTCAGTAAGAATCATGACATACCACTAGATCCAGCACCCTGGTCATGTTACATTTTTGCCTGAGCCCTGCCTACAGAAATCACTGTGACATATCACTGTGTCAACAACTTAGGTCACATAAATCTCCTCATTAGAATGGTCCCTGTGCACTGTCAGGGGCAGTAACATACAGTTGGGCCAGGCACAAAGCTGATGATACTCTTTTGCTAGGGCCATGTCCTAAAAAGGGCATTATGACAAATTTCTGGGTCTTCACATAGGGGATTTTGCTCTACCGCTTGGGTCATGCTTACCTGTATAGTGACATGTTGCTAGGCTAGGCACAAATGTATTGTTATTCTTTCACCAGGGCCAAGTCTCAGGGGGATATTGTGAAATATCTCTGGCCCTATCACTTAGGTGATGTGACTCCCTGCCTGGGTCCTGCCAACATAGAGCATTGAAACATAGGGGCAAAAACTGCACCTATTTGCTCTAACTCTCTTGCCTGGGTCCTGTCCTAAGGGGACCTTGTGAGATAGCTCAGAATCCAGCATCAACGTGATGTAGCTCTTTTGCCTGCTTTCACCCCACATGTAAGACTGTGTCATATACCTAGGGAAGCACCTATATGATATGTGTTATGACTCTTCTCTTCTGCTTGAGCCCTGCCTACTTGGAATATTTGGCCATATATCTGAGCTCCTGTCCTAGGTGATGTGACCCTGCTTTTCTGCCAGAGACTTTACGATGAGGTAATGTGAAATATTGCTAAGCTTGATACTTAGGAGATATGACTCTTCCTTTTTTCCCAAACTGTGCCCGTGAAAAGGAATTCTGACATATTGCTGGGCCCAGCACCCAGATGATGTTCCTCTGCTGCCTTGGTCCTTCACAGAGAATTATGGCATACAGTTGGGCCCCCAACCCCGATGATGTAAGTTCCTGCCTGTGCCACAGCAACAGAAAGTATTTTAGCATATCTTGGTCCCATGTTGTAGGTGTGTTTGCTCTCATGATTTATCTGTTTTTCTTCCATATTCGGGATTGTGTTATATTGCTGGGTCTAGCACCCAGTTAATGTAACCCCCATTTCTACACCCTGCCTAGAGAGGGCATTGTGACACATTGCTTGGCACAATACCTAAATTGTGCTACCTTCTTGTCAAGTTTTTTCCTACAAATTGGATTATTAAATTTACATTCCTTCTATTCAGAGGGATGATGGTCAAATTTTAATTGGGATTACACCAATAATAGATATGTTGCCTCTCATCACTATGCTTATGGCAATAGGTAAGGTTATGAGTTGCATATTTGTACAAAACTCACAGAATGTTACAACACTAACTCATATTCTATAAACTTATTAGGACAGGGCCCAGCAAAAGGTTAAGATCATGATTCTTGGTTTCACATGCAGGTGAGAGCAAAAGTTATCACCATCCCACATTTACAGAGGCCACTGTCAAAGTACTGAGTATAACAAGTAAATAAAGAACAAAGATGGAATTTTGACTTTCATATATGGATCTTGCTACAGATGAGATGGTGGCTCATTTCTGGACCCAGATCACAGGCATAATAATCAGTCTCCCATCTGAACCCAGTCTATAAGAGAGATGCTGACTATCATAACTGGGTTTAAAGCAGTATATAAGATTATGAGTCAATACGAGCATGTATGCCTTAGAGTAGGTTGCTACTCTTATGCATGTTGCATAAAGCCTTCGGATGCTGCAGAATGTGTCATACGATGATCTAGAAAACACATGAGATTGTGACTCTCACATACACACCAAGCTAGCCCTTAAAGGTGTCACCCTAAAAGATGAAGAGATTGTGTCATATCTCTAGGCCCAGTACTCCTAGGTGTTGAGAATTTTCGGCTTAAATTCTTTACCATGGGTGCATTGTGACACATCACTGGGTTAAAATGATGAAAAGGTGACTCTTCCGCTTGGACCCTGGCACCAGGGGATATTATCACATATCTCTGGGTCTATCAGGTAGGTGATGTGTCTCTCCTCCCAGTGCCCTGCCCACAGGGGACACTGTGACATATTGCTAGATACAACATCTAGATAAAGCGAATCTCCTCTGCTGCCTGGATCCTGCCCACTGAAGAAATTGTGACATACCACTGAGTATAAAACCTAGATGATGTGACAGTACCCTTTGTTATGTACTCTGTCAAGAGAGGGAATTTTAATATGTTGTTGAACATGGCACCTGGAGGTGTGACTATCCACTATTTTTTCAACCATGTATACAGTGGGCATGATGACATATTATTTGAGATTGTACCCAAGTGATATAAGCCTCCGGTCTGGGTTGTGCCTACAGAGGAGATTATAAGGTATGCCTGGCTAAGGACCCAGATGATGTGATTCTACTGTCTTGTCTCTGCCCAAACATAAAATTGGGACTTACTCATGAAATCAGTTCATATGTGTAACAAAAACTTTCAAACGTTGACGCAGCCAAGGGAGATATTTTGGTTCTCGTTGCCAGTCTTATGGCCATGGATAAATTCTGAGACCTCCCACCTGTAACAATTCAGAGAAAACTGTGCTACTCAGGTATATCACATAAATCATGAGTGGTACAAAGAGTTTCATAACAGGCACCAACAACCAGGTGCTATTTTGAGTCTTGGATGCACACCCAGCTGACACGATTTTCATTCTCATACATAAACAGAGCCTACAAATGAGGTACTAAATTTCACACACATAAGCAGTTGAAATCTTAAAATTGTAACTCTCATACATGAATCTGATCCGCAGTTGGTTTGGTGGCATTTGAACGATGATTCAGCAAGCCTGTGGTGCTTTGAATCTACTAGTGGAGCACAATCTTCAAGTGGGATTGGGGCTCTTATACATGCATCTTGCCCATTGTTGAGACTCTGATGTCTGTACTTCGACCCAACTCACAGGAGATGTTGACTCTTACACCCGAAGGCAGGACTTGTGTGGGACTATGAAATGTATTTCTGAACATTTTCGAGTGTGTGCTTTAGAAGTATGACTTTGCCCAGTATCTGACTGTTTTGAATCTCCTTTCTAGGCCCACAGCACAGTTCGGATTGTGACATATGTGTGCTAAGCACCTAAGCAATATATGATATCTTCTTTGGCAGAGGGACCAAGGACATCTTTACATATCCCTGAAAGAAGCACCCAGCTGATGCAAAACCTTGGCCGGAAGCTTGCCTACAAAGAGCACTGTGGCTTTCATCAAGGTCCATCATATAAGTGATGTGACTTCCTTCTACTGCCTTGGCCTTGCACTTCTAGTGCATTGTTACACATAACTGGGTACTGCACCCATGTGATGGGACCCTTTGTTTGGAGGGGGTAGATTCTACCAATATAAAAACTGTATAATATATCACTTGGCTCAGCACCTAGGTGATGTTTCTTCTCTCTTGACTGAGCCCTGACCACCAGAGAGATGGTGACATATAGGTGAAACCAGCACAAGGTGAGTTCACTCTCCTGCCTTGGTCATAAACATAGGGGCCATTGTGACATATACCCAAGCCAATTGCCTAGGTGAGGTTTGTGTCCTCTCCTGCCTAAGCCCTGCCCACAGGGGGTTTTAGATATATCACTGAAACCAACATCCGGGTTAAGTGACTCTTCTTCTAGAGGCCTGTACACAGCAAGGATTGTGACATTCAACTAGACAAGCATCCACTCAGGTGATGAGAATTTCCTTTTTTCTCCATGTTCACAGGTTATATTGTGTCATATATGTGAGAGCAGATCAAAGGCCTAATAACGACCATTGCACCTGGAGCCTGAAACTTTTTATAGGTGTTATTGTGACACTTTCCTTTGCCAATCTCCTGAGTGATTTAATAATCCTACTCAGTTATAGCTAACAGATGACATTTTGACATATACCTGGACAAAAGCGTGATGATTTGACTCTCATGTTTTAACAGTGTCCTCAGAAGGGATCATAACATATTGCTGGATTCATCCTCTAGGTTGTGTGTCTCTCCTCTCCTGCCTGAATCCTGATTCTAGTGAAGATTTTAGCATTTCTATGCACTGGATCCAAATGACACAATTCTATTGCATGGGCCCTTTTCAACAGGAGGCATTGTGACATATCTCTGGGGCCATGATTTAGGTGACATGACTCTACTCTCCTTCCTGGGCATTCTCCACAGGGGTATTATGCCATAGGGCTTTGCTTAAAACCCAAGTTTTGTGAATTTTCTGTTAGTGTCTTGCCTTCAAAGAGAATATTGGAATAATTCTGACTTAAAATTTAGGTGATGTGACTGTCCTGTCTGTTTAATAACCACAGAGGTAATGATGACATTTACCTAGGTACAGCTAACAGGCATGATAATGACTCTAATATGGGAACCCAGGCAATAAGGTAAATTTTGACTTTTGTCACAAGATTTTGAGACATGAGTGATGTTAAGGACCTTCATCTGGTAAAAAGCTCACAGAAAATCATAACAAACACACATAATTTATAACAACCTTGGGTTATATAGAGTGTCATAATAATGCCTAGCAGACAGAGAAAACTATGAGTCTCATATGCACACCCAAATAACAGTAAGGGCTTTCAACATCAAAGATGAATGAAAGCAACTATCCTACATAAAAAGAGGACATGTGTGGCATTGTAAATCTAATTCCTAGAATTTAATTCCATTGTGAATGTGATATAAATCTTTCCCAAGCACCTGTGTAATTTCACTCTTCAGATTGGGTCCAGCCTATATATGGAATTTTGATATCTACCTGGGCCAATTTTCAAGTGATGTGACACTTCCGCCTGGGCTGTGCTCTCAATAAGAATTGTGACATCACTGGATCCAGCACCCAGGTGATGTTACATTCTTGCTGCACTATGCCCACCCCCGATAATTCAATGTTATTTCACGTAGGTTCTTTTCTATTTCCCTAAGTGTTGGCTGGTCTGACAAATAAAGGGAAAGAGTACAAAAGAGACAAATTTTAAAGCTGGGTATCCGGGGGAGACATCAGACGTCGGCAGGTTCCCTGATGCCCCCTGAGCCATAAAACCAGCAAGGTTTTATTAGCAATTTTCAAAGGGGAGGGAGTGTATGAATAGGGTGTGGGTCACAGAGATCACATGCTTCAAGGTCAACAAAAGATCACAAGGCAGAAGGTCGGGGTGAGATCATGAGATCAGGGCAACATTAGAATCACTAATGAACGTCCATGTCCAGCTGTGCACGCATTGTCATCTTAACAGGGTTCAAGGGCAGAGAACCGGTCTGACTAGATTTTGCCAGGCTGGCATGTCCTAATCCTAGCACGCCTGGGGATGCTGCTGGAGACTAGGGTGTATTTCATCCCTATCTATATCTGCATAAGGCAGACACTCCTAGGGTGTCCATTTTAGATGTTCCCCCCTGGGAATGCATTCTTTTCCCAGGGCTGTTAATTATTAATATTCCTTACTGGGGAAAGAATTCAGCGGTATTTATCTTACCCGTTTTCAGTAATAAGAGAAATATGGCTCTGTCCTGCCCAGCCCACAGGCCGCCAGACTTTAAGGTTATCTCCCTTGTTCCCTGAAAATCGCTGTTACCCTGTTCTTAAGGTGCCCAGATTTCATATTGTTCAAACACACCTGCCCTACAAACATTTTGTGCAGGTAATGCAATCATCACAGGGTCCTAAGGTGACATACATCCTCAGCTTATGAAGATGATGGGATTAAGAGATTAAAGTAAAGGCAGGCATAGGAAATTGTAAAAGTATTGATTGGGGAAGTAATAAATGTCCATGAAATCTTCACAATTTATGTTCTTCTGCCATGGCTTCAGCCAGTCCCTCTGTTCGGGGTCCCTGATTTCCCTCAACATCATTGTGACATTTCACTGTGTCCATCACTTAGAAGAGGATGCCAGGGTCATGTAACAAGAGGGCATTTTGACATATCATAGGCCTATCATGTAGGTGATATGGCTCTTCTGCTTGGGACCTGCCCACTTGAATAGTGACACATTGCCAGGCCAGGCACAAAAGTGATTGTACTCTTTTGCCAGGGCCATGCTTTAAAGAAGGCTTTATGACATATCTCTGAGCCTATCACCTAGATTATATGACTTCTTGCTTTGCCTTGTCCACATGGATCTTTGTGATATAAGGGTGGAATCTGCACCTAGGTGATATAACTCTCTTGTCTGGGTCCTGTTCTAAGGGGGACTTATGAACATGTCAGGGCCCAGGACCAGATGATGTGGCTCTTTAGCCTGGTTTCTGCCCACATATTAATTTGTGATATATGCAAAAAGAAGCACCTATGTAATATGACTCTCTCTTTCTGCCTGAGCCTTGGCTACTTGTGACATTGGGCCATATCTGAGCCCATCATGGAAGTGATGTGAATCCCTTCTGCTGCCTGGGTCCTTCATTTACAGTGCACTGTGACACAGAAGTGGGTACTGCACACAGGTGATGTGATTCTCCTTTTTGGGTTCTGCCAACAGGAAGTGATGTAACACATCACTTGGCTCAGCATGTAGGTGATGTTTCTTCACTTTTGCTTAGGCCCTGACCACACGGAGATTGTGGCCTGTTGCTGGACCCAGAAACAATGTGAAGGCACTCTCTAACATTGGTACTGCACATCAAAGACATTGTGAGACATATCTAGATAAATTCCTTAGGTCAAATGAGTGTCCTCTCTTGCTACAGTCCTGCCCACAGACGGGATTTGGATATGTCACTGCAGTCAGCATAAAGGTGATGTGGCTTTTCTGCCAGGGTCCTGCCCAGAAGGTGGATTGTGACATCTCACTGGTGCCACCTCCACATAGGTGACGTGACTTTCTTGCCTTCTCTATGGCCACAGTTGATATTATGCAATATACCAGAGAAAATTACAAAAGTCTAATAACAACTCATATGCCTGGTAATTGTGACAAGTACTTTTGCCCAGCTGCTGACTGACTTAGTATTTCTGCCTCTGTATAGCCCATAAATGAGATTTTGACAAATAACTGTGCCGCACATATTAATGATTGCTTGTGTTATCTTAACAGTGTCCGCAGGGGGGAATTGTTAACATATTTCTGGACACATATTATAGCTTACATGCCTCTCCTTTCCTGCCTGGACCCTGCTTCCTTTGGTAATTGTAGCTTTTCTAAACACTGTATCCAAATGATATGAATTTCTTGCTTGGGCCCTGCCAAAATGAGGCACTGTGACATATATTTGGGCCCACGATTTAGGTCATATAACTCTCCCCTCCTGCCTCGATACTGCTACAAATGACATTGTACCACATAGCTGAACCTAGAACACAAGTTATGTAAAATTTCTGACAGTACCCTGCCTATTAAGAGAATATTGAAATATTTCTAGCCCAGTATTTAGGTGATGTGGCTGTTCTGCCTGCTTCATAACCACAGAGGGAATTGTAGCATATACTAGGCATGGCTCACAGGAATTATGACTCTCATATGTGGGCTCAGCCAATAGAAAATATTTTGACTCATAACTAACTTTAGGGACATGCGTGATGTCTTGGATCTCCTTTTTCTGCAAAGATCACAAGAGATTACAACACTCCACATATTTTACAAGGTCTTTAGTTTATACAGACAGCATCAAAGCAGGGCTTGGCACACAGGTGAAATTGTGAGTCCTGTATACACACCGAGCCGTGTGTAAGGACTGTCATTATTTCACAAGGATTAAGCCAGTTGTCACACATAAAAGCAAGATGTGTGGTATTGTAAATCTCACCTTTGGAATTTTCTGAAAATGTGATTTTGATATAAATTTTTGCCAAGCTCCTGTGTAATTTGAGTCTCCAGGGTGGTCCTAGTCCATATATGGGATTCTGATATCTACTTAGGCCAAACTCTAAGTTATATGACTCTCCTTCATAGGCCCCTCTCTCAGTAAGGATTGTGATATATCACTGGATCTAGCACCCAAGTAATGTTACATTCTTGCCTGTGCCATGCCCACCCAAATTATAGTGACATATTTCTGTGTCCACCTCATAGGTGATGTAACTCCTTTCTCTGGAATGGGCCGTGCACAAAGGAAGGATAGTGACATATTGCAAGGCCAGGCCCACAGGCAAGGATACTCTTTTGGCAGAGCCTTGCCCAAAGGAGGGCATTTTGACATAACTCTGGACCTATCACCTAGGAGATGTGGCTCTCCTGCTTGGGACCTGCCAACCTCGAGGTGAAATATTTCTTGGCCATGCACATAAGTAGTAGTACTCTTTTGCCAGGGCTATGCTTCATAGAGGACATTGTGATATATCTCTGGACCTATCTCCTAGGTGAAGTGACTCCTTTTTTGGGCCCTACCCACATGGAACATTGTGGCATAAGCAGAGAAACTGCACCTAGGTGATGTAGCTCTCTCTGCTGGGGGCTGTTTTAAGAGAGCCTTGTGCTATATCTCAGGACCCAGCACCCAAGTGATGTGGCTATTCTGCCTGCTTTCTGACCACATATTACCTGTGACATATTCCATGGAAAGAACATAAGTGATACGGCTCTTGTCATCTGCCTGAGTCCTGCATCCTGGGGACATTGTGACATATCTCTGAGCCCATGACCTAAGTGATGTGACTCTTTTTCTGCCTGGGCATTCACAGTAGGAGGATTTGGGCACATTACTAAGCCCAGCACTCACAATATGTGACTCTCCCTTTTTTCCTGAATTATGCCACAATAAATGAAATTTTGACCTATTCCAGGGTCCATAGCCCAGATGATGTCACTCTACAACCTTGGTTCTGCATAGAGAGAAAATTATGACATATGGCATATTGCTGGGCCAAGCACCCTTATGATGTGACTCTCCTGCCCGTTCTTGAGCCAATGAAGGTATTTTGACATATCTTAAGTCCATTATCTAGGTGTTTTGGCTCTCATAACTTGACTGGGTTTTTTCTGCATGTGGGATGGTGTCATAATGATGGGTCCAGCACCCAGTTAATTTGACCCAATTTCTTATACCAGACATGGAAAAAGCATTGTTACATATTGCCTGGCAAAGCGTCTAAGTGATGTTACCCTTCTGCCTAGTTTTTTGCTCATATATGGGATTATGACATATGCCTTTCTTCAGTTCACAGGCATAATGATTAAACTTATATTTGGATTCAGCCAATTAAAAAATCTTTTGCCTCTCAGTGTTAGGCTTAGGGCAATAAGTAAGGTCCTGGGTTGCATATTTTTCCAAGCTCACAGAAGTCTACAACACTAACTTATATTGTATAAACTCTGCTGGTAGAGAGCTTTATAACAGGGCCTGGCAAAAAGTTCAGAATGGGACTCTCATTTACACACCCAGATGAAATTAAAAGTTGTCACCATCCCACATTTATAATGCCCACTGTAGAAGTTCTGAGTCTAATGAGGGAATACATCACAAATTTGAAATTGGACCTTTTTTTTTTTTATTTGGATCTGGACACAGATGGGATGGTGACTTATTTCTGAACCGAGCCCACAGGCATAATAATAGGTGTTCCTGGCTGGGTGCGGTGACTCATGACTGTAACCCCAGCACTTTGGGAGGCTGAGGCAGGTGGATCATGAGGTGAGGAGATCGAAACCATCCTGTCTAATACGGTGAAACCCCATTTCTACTAAAAATACAAAAAATTAGCTGGGCATCGTGGCACACACCCCTAGTCCCAGCCATCTGGGAGGCTGAGGCAGGAGAATCCCTTGATCCCAGAAGGCAGAGGTTGCAGTGAACTGAGATGGCACCACTGCACTCCAGCCTTGGTGACAGAGTGAGAATCCATCTCAGAAAAAAATAAATAAATAATAAAAAATAAATTAAAATAAATAAAATAAAATGGATCTTCTCTTTTAACACTGCCTATAGGAGAGATGTTGAGCATCATAACTCAGTTTAGGATGATAGGTAAGACCGTGAGTCCATATGAGCAAATAGGCCTCAGAGAGGTTTGAAACTCTCACACGGGTTTTATAAAGCCCTTAGATGTTTTTGAGAGTGTAATACATTGGTCCAGCACACACGTGAGATTGTGACTCTAATATACATGCTCAGCTAAAGGTTAAAGTCATCCTCAAAGATGAAGGGATGGTGTCATATCACTGGCCTAGTATCGTGGTATTGAGACTTTTTGCCTCAAATTACTTTCCATGGGTGCATTGTTACATATCGCTAGGTCAGAATCATAATAATGTGCCTCTTCTGCCTGGGCCCTGGTAACAGGGGATATAATCACAACTATCTGGGTCTATCAGATGCGTGGTTTGTCTCTCCTGCCTGTGCCCTGCCCCCAGAGAACATTTTGAAATACCACTGAAACTAATGTCCAAGTAATGTAACCCTCCTCTCTTGCCTGCATCCTCAGCCCAAAAGAATTGTGACATACGGCTGAATGTAAAAGCTAGGTGACATATCTCTCCTCTCTATGCAAGAGTATATGTTTGTGCTGCATTCTATTTCATTACTTCGTATTCTACCTTTATTCTACCAGTGCCAAAGTGCTTTGATTACTCTAGATTTTTGTATGTGTGTGTTTGGAAATTATTATGTGTAATGCTTCTAATATTTTTCTTCTTTTTAAAGTTTGTCAGGCTTTCCGTGGTCCCTTAAGATCTTACATAATTTTGTGAATTTTTTTCTATTTTTGGAAAACTCAAATTTAAAACTGAAAAGGGTCATGTTTTATATGTGGGTTACATTAAGCCACGAAGAAGCATGGACACATCACAATATTATGTCTTCCAACTCTTAAGAAGAGCATGCTCAAAATGTGTTGTTGGCCAGGTGTGGTGACTCATGCCTGTACTCTCAGCACTTTGGGATGCTGAGGAGGGTGTATGGAGACTTCAGGATATTGAGACCATCCTGGACAACATGGTGAAACCCTGTCTCTACTAAACTATAAAAAATATTTGTACTTTATGGTTGTGTGACTGTATTCTCAGCTACTCAGGAAACACGGTGGTTTGCATGCCTTTAATCCCAGCTACTCAAAAGGGTGAGGCTGGGGAACTGACTGAACCCGGGAGTTAGAGGTTGCAGTTAGCTGAGATTGTGTCAATGCCCTCCAGCCTAGGGACAGAGTGATACTCCATCTCAAAAACAAACACACACACACACACACACACACACACACACACACACACAAACTTTTCTCTGTTACGAATTTCTAGTTTTATTGCATTTGCACTATAAATACTTGTAAAATTTTAATTTAAAAAATTATGAAGTCTTTTGTGGTGTCACACGTGGTCCACCTCACAAAATGATTTGTTAGCTATTGAAAAGAATGTGTGTTCAGTTTTCTATATATATTTGTTAGGTGTAATTATTGCATAGTGCATTCAACTTGTTCCTTCCCTTATTGATATTCTGTCTTGTTTTATTTATTCCTAAAAGCGGGATATTGATGTACCCTTCCATTATTATATTGCTGTCAATTTTGGCTTCAATTTTGTCAATGTTTACTTAATGTGTTTGAGAAAACTTTCATATATTTATAGATTCTCAGTGAATGATCTCTCTTACTAGAATTGAATGTCCTACTTGGTCTCTTGTAAATTGTCTTAAAGAAAATTTGGGGCGGTTCCAAGTGGCCGAATAGGAACAGCTCCAGTCTACAGCTCTCACATGAGTGATGACAAAGATGGCTGATTTCTGCATTTCCAACTGAGGTACCAGGTTCATCTCACTGGGGCTTGTCAGACAGTGGGTGCAGGACAGTGGGCACAGGTCACTGAGCATGAGCCAAAGCAGGGCGAGGCATTACCTCACCCAGGAAGTGCAAGGGATCAGGGAATTCCCTTTCCTAGCCAAGGGAAGCTATGACAGACATCACCTGGAAAATCGGGTCACTCCCAGCCTAATACTGCACTTTTCCAATGGTCTTAGCAAATGGCACACCAGGAGATTATATCCCACGCATGGCTTGGAGGGTTCCACACCCATGAAGCCTCACTCGTTGCTAGCACAGCAGTCTAAGATCAAACTGCAAGGTGGCAGCAAGGCTGGGGGAGGGGGATCCGCCATTGCTGAGGCTTGAGTAGGTAAACAAAGTGGCACAGAAGGTTGAACTGGGTGAAGCCCACCACAGCTCAAGGAGGCCTGCCTGCCTGTGTAGACTCCACCTCTGGGTGCAGGGCATAGCTGAACAACAGGCAGCAGAAACCTCTGCAGACTTAAAAGTTCCCATCTGACAGCTTTGAAGAGAGTAGTGGCTCTCCCAACAAAGAGTTTGAGATCTGAGAAAGGACAGACTGCCTCCTCAAGTGAGGCCCTGACCCCCAACTAGCCCAACAGGGAGGTACCCCCCAGCAGGGACAGACTGCAGCAGGGACAGACTGACACCTCACATGGCCGGGTATCCCTTTGAAATGAAGCTTCCAGAGGAACGATCAGGCAACAATATTTGCTGTTCAGCAATATTTGCTGTTCTGTCACCTCCACTGCTGATACCCAGGAAAACACGGTCTGGAATGGACCTCCAGCAAATACCAACAGACTTGAGGATCCTGACTGTTAGAAGGAAAACTAACAAACAGAAAGAACATCCACACAAAAACCCCATCTGTACGTCACCATGATCAAAGACCAAAGGTAGATAAAACCACAAAGATGGGGAAAAAACAGAGCAGAAAAGCTGAAAATTCTAAAAATCAGAGCACCTCTCCCCCTACAAAGGAATGCAGCTCCTCACCAGCAATGGAACAAAGCTGGATGGAGAATGACTTTGGTGAGTTGAGAGAAGAAGGCTTCAGACTTCTCCAAGCTAAAGGAGGATGTTTGAACCCTCCACAAAGAAACTAAAAAACCTTGAAAAAAGATAAGACAAATGGCTAACTAGAATAACCAGTGTAGAGAAGTCCTCAAATGACCTGATGGAGCTGAAAACCATAGCACAAGAACTACACAATGAATGCAGAAGCTTCAGTAACTGGTTCAATCAACTGGAAGACAGGGTATCAGTGATTGAAGATCAGATGAATGAAATGAAGTGCAAAGAAAAGTTTAGAGAAAAAAGAGTAAGAAGAAATGAACAAAGCCTCCAAGAAGGATGGGACTATGTGAAAAGACCAAATCTACGTCTGATTGGGGAGAAGGGAACCAAGTTGGAAAACACTCTGCAGGATATTATCCAGGAGAACTTCCCCAACCTAGCAAGGCAGGCCAACATTCAAATTCAGGAAATACAGAGAACACCACAAAGATACACCTTGAGAAGACCAACTCCAAGACACATAATTGTCAGATTCGCCAAAGTTGAAATGAAGGAAAAAATATTAAGGGCAGCCAGAGACAAATGTCGGGTTACCCACAAAGGGAAGCCCATCAAGCTAACAGCTGATCTCTCAGCAGAAACTCTATAAGCCAGAAGACAGTGGGAGCCAATATTCAACATTCTTAAAGAAAAGAATTTTCAACCCAGAATTTCATATCCAGTCAAATTAAGCTTCATAAGTGAAAGAGAAATAAAATCCTTTAGAGACAAGCAAATGCTGAGAGATTTTGTCACCACCAGGCCTGCCTTACAAGAGCTCTTGAAGGAAGCACTAAACATGGAAAGGAACAACTGGTACCAGCCACTGCAAAAACATGCCAAATTTTAAAGACCTTCGATGATAGGAAGAAACTGCATCAACTAATGAGCAAAATAACCAGCTAACATCATAATGACGGGATCAAATTCGAGCATAACAATATCAACCTTAAGTACAAATGGGTTAAATGCTCGAATTAAAGACAGAGACTGGCAAATTGGATAAAGAGTCAAGACCCATCAGTGTGCTGTATTTAGGAGACTCATCTCACGTGCAGAGACACACGTAGACTCAACATAGATGGATGGAAGAAGATCTACCAAGCAAATAGAAAAAAAGGGGGGTGGAAGGGTTGCAATCCTGATTTCTGATAACACAGACCTTAAAACAACAAAGATCAAAAGAGACAAAGAAGGCTGTTGCATAATGGCAAAGGGATGAATTCAATGAGAAGAATTAACTATCCTAAATATATATGCACCCAATACAGGAGCACCCAGATTTATAAAGCAAGGCGTTAGAGACCTACACAGAGGCTTAAACTACTACACAATAATAATGGGAGACTTTTTAACACCCCACCATCAACATTAGACAGATTAATGAGACAGAAAGTTAAAAAGGATATCCAGTAATAGAACTCAGCTCTGCACCAAGCGGACCTAATAGACATCTACAGAACTCTCCACCCCAAATCAACAGATATATGTTCTTTTCAGCACCACATCACACTTATTCCATAATTGACCACATAGTTGGAAGTAAAGCACACCTCGGCAAATGTAGAAGAGCAGAAATTATAAAAAACTGTCTCTCAGACCATAGGGCGATCAAACTAAAACTCCGGATTAAGAAACTCACTCAAAACTGCTCAACTACATGGGAACTGAACAACCTGCTCCTGAATGACTACTGTGTACATAAGAAAATGAAGGCAGAAATAAAGATGTTCTTTGAAACCAATGAGAACAAAGACACAACATATCAGAATCTCTGGGATACATTTAAAGCAGTGTGTAGAGGGAAATTTATAGCACTAAATGCCCATAAGAAATCATGAAAGATCTAAAGCTGACACCCTAACATCACTATTAACAGAACTAGAGAAACAAGAGCAAACACATTTAAAAGCTAGCAGAAGGCAAGAAATACCTAAGATCAGAGCAGAACTGAAGGAGACAGAGACACAAAAAACACTTCAAAAAATCAGTGAATCTGGGAGCTGGTTCTTTGAAAATATCACCAAAATTGATAGACTGCTAAGCAAGACTACTAAAGAAGAAAAGAGAGAAGAATCAAAGAGACACAATAAAAAGTTATATAGGGGATATCACAACCGATCCCACAGAAATGGTAACTACCCTCAGAGAATACTAGAAACACCTCTATGCAAATAAATTAGGAAATCTAGAAGAAATGGATAAATTCCTTGACAAATACACCCTCCCAAGACTAAACCAAGAAGAAGTTGAATCCCTGAATAGACCAATAACAGACTCTGAATTTGAGACAATAATTAATCCCTATGAACAAAAAAAAGTCAAGGACGAGACAGATTCACAGCCGAATTCTGCCAGAGGTACAAGGAGGAGCTGGCACCATTCCTTCTGAAACTACTCCAATCATTAGAAAAAGAGGGAATCCTCCCTAATTCATTTTATGAAGCCAACAACATCCTGATACCAAAGCCAGCCAGAGACAGAACAAAAAAGAGAATTTTAGACCAATATCCCTGATGAACATCAATGGAAAAATCCTCAGTAAAATACTGGTGAACCGAGTTTAGCAGCACATCAGAAAGCTTATCCACCACGATCAAGTTGGCTTCATCCAGGGGATGCAAGTCTTGTTCAACATATGCAAACCAATAAACGTAATACAACATATAAACAGAACCAAAGACAAAAACCACATGATTATCTCAATAGGTGCAGAAAAGGCCTTTGACAAAATTCAGCAGCCCTTCATGCTAAAAACTCTCAATAAATTAGGTATTGATGGGACGTACCTCAAAATAATAAGAGCTATTTATGACCAACCCACAGCCAATATCATACTGAATGTGCAAAAACTGGAAGCATTCCGTTTGAAAACTGGCACAAGTCAGGGATGGTCTCTCTCACCACTCCTGTTCAACATAGTGTTGGAAGTTCTGGCCAGGGCAATCAGGCAGGAGAAAGAAATTAATGGAATTCAATTAGTAAAAGAGGAAGTCAAATTGTCCCTGTTTGCAGATGATATGATTCTATATTCAGAAAACCCCATTGTCTCAGCCCAAAATCTCCTTAAGCTGATAAGCAACTTCCACAAAGTCTCAGGATGCAAAATCAATGTACAAAAATCACAAGCATTCTTATACACCAATAACAGACAAACAGAGAGCCAAATCAAGAGTGAACTCCCATTCGCAATTGCTTGAAAAAGAAGAAAATACCTAGGAATCCAACTTACAAGAGATGTGAAGGACCTCTTCAAGGAGCTCAAATCACTGCTCATTAAAATAAAAGAGGACACAAACAAATGGAAGAACATTCCATGCTCATGGATAGGAAGAATCAATATCGTGAAAATGACCATACTGCCCAAGGTAATTTATAGATTCAATGCCATCGCCATCAAGCTACCAATGGCTTTCTTCACAGAATTGGAAAAAATTACTTTAAAGATCATATGGAACCAAAAAAGAGACTGCATTGCCAAACGATCCTAAGCCAAAAGAACAGAGCTGGGGGCATCACACTACCTGACTTCAAACTATACTACAAGGCTACAGTCACCAAAACAGCATGGTACTGGTACCTAAATAGAGATATAGACCAATGGAATGGAACAGAGCCTTCAGAAATGATACCACACAACTACAGCCAATTGATCTTTGACAAACCTGACAAAAACAAGAAATGGGGAAAGCATTCTCTATTTAATAAATGGTGCTGGGAAAACTGGCTAGCCATATGTAGAAAGCTGAAACTGGATCTCTTCATTACAGCTTATACAAAAATCAATTCAAGATGGATTAAAGACTTAAATGTTCTACCTAACACCATAAAAACCCTAGAAGAAAACCTAGGCAGTACCATTCAGGACACAGACATGGGTAAGGACTTCATGTCTAAAACACCAAAAGCAATGGCAACAAAAGCCAAAATTGACACATGGGATCTAATCAAACTAAAGAGCCTCTACACAGCAAAAGAAACTACCATCACAGTGAACGGGCAACCTACAGAAGGGGAGAAATTTTTTGCAATCTACTCATCTGACAAAGGGCTAATATCCAGACTCTACAAAGAACTCAAACAAAGGTAAAAGCAAAAACAAACGACCTCATCAAAAAGTGGGTGAAGTATATGAACAGACACTTCTCAAAAGAAGACATTTATGCAGCCAACAGACACATGAAAAAATGCTCATCATCATGGCCAAAAAAGAAATGCAAATCAAAACCACAATGAGATACCATGTCACACCAGTTAGAATGGTGATCATTAAAAAGTCAGGAAACTGCATGTGTTGGAGAGGATGTGGAGAAATAGGAACACTTTTACACTCTTGATGGGACTGTAAACTCGTTCAACCATTGCGGAAGACAGTGTGGTGATTCCTCAAGGATCTAGAACTAGAAATATCATTTGACCCAGCCATGCCATTACCGGGTATATACCCAAAGAAGTATAAATCATGCTGCTATAAAGACACATGCACACGTATGTTTATTGTGGAACTATTCACAATAGCAAAGACTTGGAACCAACCCAAATGTCCAACAATGATAGACTGGATTAAGAAAATGTGGCACATATACACCATGGAATACTATGCAGCCATAAAAAAGGATGCATTCGTGTCCTTTGTAGGGACATGGATGAAGCTGGAAACCATTATTCTCAGCAAACTATTGCAAGGACAAAAAAAACAAACACCACATGCTCTCACTCATAGGTGGGAATTGAACAATGAGAACACTTGGACACAGGATGGGGAACATCACACACCAGGGCCTGTCGTGGGATTGGAGATAGGGGGAGGGATAGAATTGGGAGATATTCCTAATGTAAATGATGAGTTAATGGGTGCAGCACACCAACATGGCACATGTATACATACCTACCAAACTTGCACGTTGCGCACATGTACCCTAGAACTTCAGGTATTAAAAAAAGTAAATTTTATGAAATATCAGAGTTTTCAACTTAATAACTTGTTTCCTCTTTTCCACTCATTGGGTTAACACTTACATGGAATGTATTTCTCATCCTGTCATTTTCTGTCTTTTTTTAAATTAGATCTGAAGTGATTCTCTTGAAGACATGACATAGTTGATCTTAATATACATCATGATATAGTGAGAATTTTTTTTTTTTTTTTCGTTTTGAAGGTTACTTTTGCTGGGTGTGGTATTCTTGCTTAGACTCTTTTTTTCAGTGTTTTAACTATGTCATCCTGCTCCCATCTTGCCCAAAAAATTTATGTTCATAAATTTACTTGTAATCTTGCAGAAGCATGCATACAAATAACACATCTCTTTTATCTTCTTGCATTCCAGATTCTCTTCTTGTCTGTGAATTTCAAAATATTGTTTATGTTGTGTCTTATTAGAAATATTTTTGTGTTAATCTTCATTGTTATTTGCTGAGCTTCTTGATTTCTTATATTTTTTACTAATGTTGAAGTCCATGTTAGTTTTTTTTTGGTACTTCTACTCTACAATTTTTATTTCTTTTTGTGATCTTTATCTTTGGTGAATTCCTTTTTGTTATTTCATTTTTTATCTTTATTCTCATTTTCTCTTTCAGATGGTAATATTGATTTTTAGGGTAATTTTTTTCTTTTAAATATAGATCTAGACTTCAATTCAAATTATCACAGCTAATTTTTAAAACTCCATCTTTAAATAATTGTTTTCTGTATATTCCTTTTTATGTTTGATTGATCCATATTATCTTGATGTATTTCAATGTTTGCCTCACTGTCTAGGTGGGGAAGTTATCATGGATGATATTCCAAAATATGTATTTCAAGTTGTTTTCATTCCCCCCATCACTTTCAGGCACTCTCTTTAATCATGTATTTGGTTACTTTACATAATTAAATATTTCTCAGAGGTTTTGTTCATTTCTATTTATTCTTTTTTTACTATTCTTGTCTCTATTATTTCAGAAAGCCAGTCTTGAAACTCTGAAATTCTTTCTTCTGCTTAGCCAATTCTGCAGTAATATGTGTGAATAAATTATAAAGTTTTGTATTCTGTTTTTCAGCTTTATCACACTGGCCACATTTTCCTCCAGATTGTTTGTTTTATCTGTCAGTTTCTGCAATTTTCCCTTCCTTGCATTGGTTTGCAACTTACTTTTGTAGCTCAATGAAGCTTATTTCTATTCACATTCTGAATTCTATTTCTGTCTTCTTAGGTCTTGCTGGAAATGTAGGTTGGTTATTTGGATTAAATAAGTCACTCTAGCTTTTTTTTTTTTTCCCCAGCAGTTTTGCATTGATTTTGTCTCATCTTTGTAGGCATATATTTGAGGTTGCTGAACTTTGAATGAAGATTTTTTAATCATATTTTGATGTTCTTGAGTATCTGATTGTGGCATAAGGTGCTTTCATCCAACAGGCTTTGTTCTTGGGAGAAGTTTTTATTTTTTTATTTTTATTTTTTATATTTTTTGTGGAGGGGTTGGGGGAAGTGCTCAGCTCACAACTCAGAGGCTTCATACTCAGCGGGAATTGTATTGAGCCCCAACTCTCTCCCCTGTCTCTTTGATATTTGGAGTCTGCCACCCTGTTGGACTAAGTTTCTGCAGCTTCAGCAGAGTGCTAGTGGATATGGAGTTTCTGCCTGTCTTCACTTATTCATCTCAGTAGCAGGAGCAATGTAGCTGGGATGGGAGTAGGTGCACCTGCTGGAGACTGTGTGCTGTTGCAATAAATGTGGTGTTAGCATGTGGTAGGATGCTGACCAATGAAGGTTTGAAGCCTTCTTTTTGCCCCCTAAAGAAGAAGTGATTGTTCAGAATGTGGGAGGATACACTGTTCTCTGCACAGTGTTAGCATAAAGGTAGCAGTGAGTCTTTTTGGCTCTCTGCCCACCAAAGCTTTATCTACAATGGCAGCTGCTGGGTTGGCAGGAGCATACTGCATTCCCGTTTGCTAGTGGGCCAAGCAAAGCCAAATCTGCCTTTGAAGACATGTGCCAGTAAAGTAATATGAGGAGTTGCCATGTTTTCGAGGGAAAGTGCAGTGTGGGAAAGAAATATGTGGGCTGCTGCAGTCATAGGGGCTGCCTAGCTGTTGCTCTTCAGGAGTTATATGTGACCTACCAGTGCAGATGGTATGGTATGGGCTCTCAGTGTGCCTGAGACTGGCCTGTAAGGATCTGGGTGCCTGGGAGAGGCGGTAAACCACGGAGTGCTCAGTTAGACAAGCTTCTGATTTTCAAAGCTATAGTACAGTAATTAGGTCCAACACTTCCCTAGGGCAAAACTCTCTTATGTGAAAAAGTTGCTGGTAGAGAAATGGCCATCACTGGCCACACCTTACTACAGATGCCCTTGCACCAAACCCTCTGGTCACCACATAAGCTGGCTTGCTGCCCTACCTCTTTGCTGGTTTTCTGAAGGCTGCATCTAAGAGAGATGTAGGTCAGCAATCCCTCAGTACAGTCAGCCCATGATGAAAGATCTGTGATTTTGGTCAAGTTAGGGGTCAACTGTCTGGTGAGGAGCAGTGGGTAGTTTGTGGGACCCATGGTGAATGAACTGGCCTCCTCTCCTTGGGTAAACTGCAGCTTGTTTGATGTTTGAATAAGACACTCAGGGTTTTGGATTTTTCACTAGTCTAAGGGTAGCAAGGAAAGTTCTACTATAGAGGCAGTGGCAGAAATATTTTCAGTCGTTACTGGGGTCCCTGTCCAGGGAGTCGCTAAGTTGCTACTATCTCAATACCTCTGGCAGTGATTGGCTAGTGGCCCAGGCCTGGAGAACCTGTCCAGTGAGAATATATGAGAACAGGCACTCACATAACAGTATGGCCACTTTTCTGAAGGGCTGCCTCAGTATGCGAGGTGTCCATTGCCATTCCTAGTCACCTAAGATTTTCCAGTACTTGAAGTTACCACCACTGAATGTTGCTAAACTAAATAATTGCAGCGTGCCTTTTTTTTTCTGGGTGCTCAATCCCAGGGAGGTATAGACCTCTTTCCAACCCAATAGCACCTGTAAGAGGTAGCTGGAATCCCTTGTTGAAATTTCTTACTCAGTAAAGAGAACGTAATTGGGGAGCCACTTAAGAAAGCAGTCTAGCAACATTTTCATAGTACGTCTCTGCTGTGCAGAGGTACCACTTCCATCCACAGTTTATTTGGATTCTCCAAAGCCAGAAGGCTGGAACAGCCAAGTCACACACATAGGAAAAATTGCTGCTCACTCTTCCCTCTAGCAATTATATCACAAAGAGGTTTCAAAATTCCATCGACCAAAGATCGTGGTCTTTGATCACAGCTACTACCAGTGGTGGTAGCTGCTCACTCTGGTTAGGAAGTCCTTTCCAGTTGCAAGAAATGAGATTGGGTACCTGATTTAACAGGCATTCTGGCCATGTCTTTTTAGAGCACCTATACTGTGCTAGGAGATTCTTTATTCCCCACGTTAGCTTGGGCTTTTTAAAGCCTGAAGGCTGGAATGCCTAAGTTGCCCAAGCAGCTAAGGTGGTGTCCCACTCGACTTTCTGATAGCTCCATGCCAGGGAGGTCCAGTGCTGCTACCAATGGGCTGACCAGAATGCTAAGCCAATAAGTCTTACCCTGTGGGGCACTGTGGGCATGGGTCCTAAGACCTAAGACCATGACTGGTCAGCCTCATGGATTCTGCCTCTTTTCTATGAATACTTACAGAAGTACAGATTCCTGCTTTACTGGAGTTGCAACTACTTTTTCTGGGAAGCCTGGAAAAACTGAGTACCTAAAGTTCTTGAATCTCTGCACAGGCCTCAGCAGCTGATCTCTGAGACTCCACGTAGCTCTGTGTGTTCAACTGAAGGCCTTGATGAAGCAGGTTCATGAATAGATCTCCTCACCTGAGGGTTGCAAAGATCTGTGGGAGAATCGTGGGTTCCCAGGGTCACACTTATACCCACTGCTTTATTGAGTGGGAATGTTTTCTTGGTTCCATGTTGTTCCCAGGTGGTTCACTGTCCTGCCTTGCTTTATTCCATTCTCCATAACTTAAGTTGTTTGATTTTTCCCAATGCAAGCACCTGGGTGTTTCAGTTGAAGGTGATGTATTTATGCACAACTTGCATTCCTCTCTATGAGAACTACACAGACTAGCTGCTTCTCATCAGCAGTCTTGATCACTTTCCTATAACAGGGACCTAGTTTTTAATATTAAAATAATTTAATATTTTTCAAAAGCAAATATTGATGTAATTTAACTCTTACATTTGTTGCTATGTCTTCATATCTAAAATATATGGGAAAGAACATGGACAATTGTTGCTCCACCAGAGTTATGAGAGGTTCTTCCATATTAGATGGACAGATTTATCTATTTTGCAATGGAAGACTAAGAAAACTGAAATCTAATATACATGAAAAATTTCTAAGTGAAAAGGGCAAGTACTGGTTGGTTTATAACAGTATCATAGTGACAGGATGATAGGAGTGTGGTAAGTGCTCAGGATAATATTATGCATAGTAATAGGAACAATTTGAATTTTAAACAAAAATTGCTTTACCATTTGCAAATTAAGGTAATTAAAATACAGTGAATTTAAAAATACTTTTTAATGACAATGTGTGGACTTAATTTTTTTCAAATTAACCAGAATTGTTGTTATTGTGTTAAGGCTATTTTATATTGAATGTGTGTCTTGCCACTGATGTTATCGTATCTTACTCAAAGCTGTAACAGATGGTGACAATTTGCTATAGGGTCACAGTGAAATAACGTCTGTAGTCATTCTTTTGTCAGTGGTCTTTAACTTAAAATAATTTGGAAAATATGGTTTTTACAACTTACATTTATGTTTTTCTTGTAACTAAAGGTGATTATGATGGCTCTAATGGAGATTATATGAGTATAATGGAGCTACAGTCTTCTGAATTCTGAACAAGTGTTTACAAAATTTTATCCTACTTTTTTCTATTAAACATATGACTTCTCTGGTCTGCTAAACACATAAAGACCTTTAGCTTTAGTTTACATGAATTTAAATATAAGAGATATATTACTGTAAAATAAACTTTAGGTGTGTAACAGATCTATAGCAAGTAATGAGAGTTATTTATGGCTGTGTATCTACTTTGAGAAGGAAAGAAAAATGTTAGAATGCAACAGATAATTTTACAAGTGTTGATAACTTATCACCAAATAAAAAACTTCAACAATTTTGAAAGCAAATCTATTTTCTCAGCTTTGTGTTAAACTCATTTATTTAAAATATTATTGCTCCTGGCTTAGAAAAATCTTGGGCAAATTCTGCTTTTTATGTTTGTCCCTTTGCCTGTTGCTAACTGTAGACATAATGTATAATTCTCTTTTCAGAAAATTCCGCAAAACATTCTTTGGTGTGGGTGCAGTGGCTGACATCTGAAATCTCAGCACTTTGTGAGGCTGAGACAGGTGGATCACCAGAGACCAGGGGTTCAACACCAGCCAGGCCAACATACTGAAAGCCCATCTGTACTAAAAATACAAAAATTATCTGGGTGGGTGCGTGTAATCCCAGCTACACAGGAGGCTGAGGCAGAAGAATCACTTGAAACTGGGAAAGAGAGGTGGCAATGCACCTTCTGGAGCTGCAGGGTGGGCACTGCGCAGTGGCTTGGTAAAAGGAGGGTGAGCAGCCTCTCACTGAGGGGATTTCATTGCCCCTTATTCTGATGGGCAAATTGAGCCCCCAAAGCCACAAGCCAAGAGGGGCAAAAGCACTCATCTGAGGCAAGAACCTTTTTCTTTACAGGCTCCCTTAAGTTTCAGACTTCCCTGGGCTTGCCTGAATCCTCTCTGGGCTTGCCTTTAGAAAAAAGATTCTTCTTCCTTCTGATTGTAGGCAGAGAAGCAACCAGTCAGTTGTGGTAAGCCCACCCACAGCTTCTTTTGTGGGCCAACCTGGGCCTCTACACTCTACTGGACTGTAAAACAGAAATTCTAGAGTCCAGAATTCACATTTTGTTCTAGAACAAGAGTTAAGCACCCAGGCCAGAGCAAAAGTGGGCCTGTTAATTCCGTGGCACAAATCCCAAATCAGAGAACTGGCTTGACTGTCCAGCTACACCCAGGCAGGGTTTGTACTGTTTCAAGTTGGTCCCATTCTCTTCCTGCCTCCTCAGCTACACCCAGGCAGGGTTTGTACTGTTTCAAACAGGTCCCATTCTCTTCCAGCCTCCCGTAACTTGCCATCTGTATCAGCTGTTTCTCTACCCTCCACACCCTATAATTTTTGAAATTCCTCTGAAGACTGCCTGAGCCAAACATCAAGGGTCACAGAGCTCTAGCCTACTCAGGCTGTGCCAGGAAGGGAGAGCTCACAACCTACCTTGACACTTAAGAGTCATGTACAAATAGTAGCAACTCTAGGAGGAGGACTGTCACATACTCAGATCCTTTTCTGGTCTCCATAACAAAAGATATGTCAGAATGGCAAGGATAATAATACACAACCCTGGCAGTTCTCCCTTTTAAAGGGCAGCCTCAGCCTGGTCATTCTGAACCACAATTTTAGGGTTTATTTCAGCATGTCCCACCTTGTAAAATAGTACTGGAGCCCCAGAATGATATGATTGAGTGAAATTCTGGAGAAGGAGCACCTCAGCAGCCTGAATGAACCTATAATAGGAACAGATCCTACCAGCTAAGAAGCCATCTCATTAACTTAGATATCCATACCAGCAACGTGCACACACATCAGCCCCTTAAATAAAATCCTGTCAATGGAGTGATTCAGGTAAAAGCAAAAATTTGTTTATCTAGAGTCTCAGGAAGAAGAACCTCTGTTGTCTGAATCAGAATATATGATGGATGCAACTGACAGTGTTAACTTTACTTGGGGATAGCTGGACATTAACCTTACATTAAAAGTGCTTCTGAGTGTTAAAACTTCCAAGTGACAAAAATCAAATTGTGGCCTGGCTGGGAGCAGTGGCTAATGCCTGTAATCCCAGAACTTAGTTAGTCCAAGCCAGGTGGATCATCAGAGGTCAGGAGTTCAAGATCAGCCTGACCAACATGGAGAAACCTCTTCTCTACTAAAAATACAGAGTTCAAGATAAGCCTGACCAACATGGAGAAACCTCTTCTCTACTAAATATACATCAGCCAGAGATTGTGGAACTTGCCTGTAATCCCAGCTACATGGGAGGCTGAGACAGGAGAAGATCATGCCATTGCACCCCAGCCTGGTCAACAGAGTGAGATTTTGTCTCAAAGAAAAAAAAAATCTAGTAGTGGCCAACCTAGAAGTTATTCTTTACCTATGAGGAACGTCTGAGACCCTGGTCTGTCCTATCCTGTGGCATGGAACACGGGCCACACAGAGGATTGAAGCCCTTTCATTTTTTGTTAAATAAAGGCTGACAGATGAAAGGTTGTTCAGACAAATGTGTTAAATAAAAATACTATACTAACTATAGGCTTTTTGCAAGTGGCTGTTGTTATCCTACTAAGCCCACTGACACTGGACTTTCTCCACTTTATGTAAGTCCAAAGTAAAACTCCATATCTCATTCACTGGTTCTGAGTCTATTCTTTGACATCTTGAACCTCAAAACTCACCAAAGCATCAGCTATAGATGCAATTGTTCTCTTTACTACTCTCATTCAAGCCTCTTTTTTCAGATGAACTTTCAGTGGAATACCAAGAAAGATGAACATGAAACACATCGTGGTCAGATGTAAGATTGATGCCAGAATAGGCAGTGACCACTTTCAAAGCAAAAGGGAGCATTTTTCTTTCCCCATGAGCAGCTCTCAACTTCTGTCATCATTTTCTGGTTTCAGTAATGGTTACATCCTGGCTCTGGAGGAACCATTGGCCCTGGGTAATAAACATCTTCACTTAATCCTGGTGCAAAAAAGCTTTCTTTTGACAAATATGTCCTCTGTGATCACGAGCTTCTAAGCAATCTGGACAATGCCCAAACCAAAAAAAAAAAAAAAAAACTATGAAAGAGAGATGAGTAGGTGTTAGGGAAACAACTTTCCACTTTTTTCTTTTGGCAAATTCAAACAATTTTGATGGTAGACAGATGTGCAGAAGAGGACAGCATAGTATAATTCCTCATCACATGAGTTTACAACCAAGAGTTTTCAGTCCTAACTATGAGAGCTCCAGATGAAAACCAGAAGTTACTTCACTGTACATCTATTAATGTCTGATTGCACAGCTTTTTTTTATCATACTGAGGAGCCTTCACTGAGTATTTTTCCATTGAACATGTAGAGATAAACAGGAAAAGATAAAATAACAACTCCATAAATTTATTAAACAAGGTGTAGAAATGTTTATCTTCTCATATTATTACCATTTTCACACACACATAATTGCATGTATATCTACCCATAAAGCTGAAATTTTCATAATAAATCTGTTATATGTCAAGTTTAAATTCAAAAAATATTTTTCAGTCAGTCGTGGTGGCTCACACCTGTAACCCTAGTACTTCAGGATCCTGAGGTGGATGGATCACTTGAGGTCAGGGGTTTCAAACCAGCCTGGTGAAACTATGTCTCCACTAAAAATCCAAAAAAAAAAAAAAATTTTCTGGGGATGGTGGTACATGCCTGTAATGCTACTTGGGAGGCTGAAGCCAGACAAGTTCTTGAATCTGAGATGTGGAGGCTGCAGTGATCCCAGATTGTGTCACCACACTGCAGGTGGAGTGACACCGCAAGATTCTGTCTCAAAAACAGACAAACAGAAAAATATTTTTTCTTTCTTACAACAAAAAGACACACATGTGTTCTAGATATGCCCTGGTGGAGTGGAGTGGGTGTGGAGCCTGTCTTTGTAAAGAAGGAAGAAGGGCCAGTACCCAGGATTATGTGTGAAGGATGAATTGGCACACAAATAAAGGGGCAGCCAGGCCCTTGGCCTAGCAACACTGAAGCTTACAGGTGGCTTCGGAAAGCAGGATAAATAGCCCGTGGACTTAATGCTAGATGGCTCTGTAACAATGAAACATCTGCCCAGGGATCTTAGCAATCCTGCTAGAAGGCCCTGACTATACCCTGGATTGGAGATACCTGAGGTAGAGTGGCTGCCAGAGAGCCTGAGCAAACACCAGTTTTGACCACTATGGCTGGGTCAATCTAAAATAGCTTATCTCTTCTGATTTACAATACAAAATATAGAAAAATAAAGTGAAAAAAGTAAAATCAAGAGAAAAAAATTAAAAAATAAGTTTAAAGTAATTAAAAATAGTAAAGACAAATAAACTGAAACAAAATAGAGAAAAATAAAGAGAAATGTAATTAAGATCAGGGAAAGTAAATAAAATGAAGATGAAGAAAATAAATACAATAAAATTAAGAGAAATAAACAGAAATGAAACAATTTGCAATAGAATAAAATAAAACTTTATGAATCAGGAGAAAAAATAAAAGTAAAAATAAAGATAAATATGGAGAAATAAAATAAAATAATATAAAGGGATAAGAATGGGAGTAAATAAGATAAAAAAGAAATTAAATAAAATGTTTCAAACAAGACACAAATTGGAGAACATTTGAAATGAAGAGACAATAATATAAAAAATAAAAGATAGAAACAAATTTAAATGCATAGAAAAAATGAAAGTAAATACAAAATAAAAAAGAAAAAGAAAAATATATAGAAAAATAAAAGTTAAAGAGCAAAATAAGACCTGGGGATAATCTACAAAATGTTTCACCCAACAATTGCATAGTACATATTTCTATATACATTTGGCATGTTTTCTTAGATAGGCAAACTTTTAAGCTAGAATGCAAGTTTTAGCATATTTAAACTGACGGTAATCACAAAAAATATTATTTCTGACTACAATAAAATATAACTGGAAGTAAAAACCAAAAGAAAACTAGTATATCTGCATATACATGAAACCTAGACAAATTCTTGAGCATACTATTTTTCAAGAGTTAGAATAGGCAAGTTTCTTTAGATGTTAATTGTTTGGATTCACTCAGGCCGCTGGCAGAAATATTACAGGGAAGTATTAGGAAAAGTTATAAGGAATAGTAACAAACCTTTTTGGCAGGCTAAAAGGCTAAAATTATTATATAGCTTGTAATAATTGAACAGGCTGAAGGCAACCTCTTCTTACCTTAAAGCATTAGGTCATAGGGTAAATACTAGGGACAACTGAGGCTTCTCCAGTTAAGTCTGTTTACTCTACCTCCACTAACTAACATGGCTCTCTCCAGGGAGTTCGACCAGAGAAATTGCCCCCAATGGTATTTACTTTAGACTGTGGTAACTGAGGTTTAATCATTCACAGAACTATTCTCTTAACAATGTTAATTATCCACAAGTGTGTTTACTCAAAGCTTCTGTGATTAATTCTATACTAAATAAATGCCTGGAGGGTGAGTTGCTCAGGGTGGGCTTCCATTCTTTACAGGACTCTCCGTGGAGTCTGGGAGTGGCCTCGGACCCTCTGCTGCTGGCAAAGCAGGATATCTGTGTGTCAGGTAGTTTATTCACCCATCGCCAGGTCTGCAGTTGGAGCCCATTGTGTGAGGCAGTCTGTGAAGGAAGTGTGAGAACCACCCTCATGAGGAAAGCTGTAGAGGAAGAGTGAGGAATGCGACAGACTCCCTGAAAGCAAAGGTGGAAAAAGAATTCACGTGGTGAAGTCAGTGACTAATCAGTAAGTCATTGGTGCCCACTCGAGGTTACCAAGTTCTGGGAGAAGTTGGGTCAAGCTGAGGTATTCTCATGGGACAACATTTATCAGCTCAACAGAAACAGTATATAAAAGTGTTGAAACAGTTGCTTAAGGCTAGTGGAGCATCAGTTTTGCAGGCTCAATTAGGGGACATAATGCAAACTGTTGTAATCCTGAGAGGTAAAACTGGCTGGGCTTTGGGTGGGGTGGGGACTTGGAGAACTTTTCTATCTAGCTAAATGAATGTAAATGCACCACTCAGTGCTCTGTGTAGAGCTAATCAGGTAAGGGACTTGGAGAGCTTTTCTGTCTAGCTAAAGGATTGTAAATGCACCAATTGGTGCTCTGTGTCTAGCTAAATGTTTATAAATGCACCAATCTGCACTTGCTAAAAACAGACCGATCAGCACTCTGTAAAATGGAACAATCGGCAGGATGAGGGTGGGGACAAATAAGGGAATAAAAGCAGGCCACCTCAGCCAGCAGTGGCAACCCACTCAGGTCCCCTTCCACACTGTGGAAGACCTGTTCTTTTGCTCTTTGCAATAAATCTTGCTGCTACTCAGTCTTTGGGTCCACACTACCTTTATGAGCTGTAACACTCACCATGAAGGCCTGCAGCTTCACTCCTGAAACCAGCAAGACCACAAACCCACCGGGAGGAACAAACAACACTGGATGCACCACCTTTAAGAGCTGTAACACTCACTGTGAAGCTCTGCAGCTTCACTCCCGAAGTCAGCGAGACCATGAACCCACTGAGAGGAACAAACAACTCCAGAAACACCAACTTTAAGAGCTGTAACACTCACTGTGAGGGTCTGCAACTTCACTCCTGAAGTCAGCGAGACCATGAACACCTGAAGGAACAAACTCTGGACACACTGTCTTTAAGAACTGTAACAGTCACCGTGAGAGTCCATGGCTTCATTCTTGATGTCAGTGAGACCAAGAACCCATGGGAAGGAATCAATTCCAGACACACTTTGGTGACCACAAAGGGACTATTGCCTATTGCCAAGCAGTGAGTACCATCGACCCCTTGTGCTTGCTATTCTGTCCTATTTTTCCTTAGAATTCTAGGGCTAAATAGCAGGCACCTGTCAGCCAGTTAAAAGCAACTAGCTTGGTCACTGAACTAAAGACATGGGTGCCAGGCTTTCTGGGAAAGGGCTCTCTAGCAACCCCAACTCTTCGGAGTTGGGAGTGTTGGTTTGCATGGAACTAGCTTCCACTTTCCCTGTACTTCTGGGCTGAGATGAGGGTTGATAGGAAAACCATTCAGCTCCATGGTCCCAACAACAAATTGGTTGACCCTGCAGCCATGGCGGAACTCTTAGTCATGTCGCCCAAGCGAGACTCTCCCATCTATCCTATCTATCCTGAGCCTTGCCTCCTGGGTCCTAAAGCCTGTCAGACAATCTTCCTCTTGCTTCTGTTCTCTGAGGCTAGTCCTGCTTCTAAAAACCACTCCCTGTCTCTGGTGCTTTTCTAGTTTCTCCTGTAAGAACTATTTCTGGTATAAACTCCAGGACTCTATTCCCTTCTCCTGGCACTCAGGCTCAGCAATCAGAAAGAGAGAATTTTTGCCCAAAGCCCCATTTTAAGGGGGACTATCTGGAATTTTAGGATCCCTCCTCAGACAAACAGGCTTAACAAAACCTATTCCTGAAGCTAGGATATGGGACGCCTCAGAAATTGTATCTTTCTTATTCATATAAGTGAGGACAAAAGGCATCACTCTTCTGACTCTGGTGATCTCTTCCCTCCCTCAGGGTATGGCCCTCCACTTCATTTTTGGGGCATAACATCTTTATAGGACAAGGATAAATTCCCAATATTAACAGGATAATGCTTAGGACTCTAACAGGTTTTTGAGAATATGTCAGTAAGGGCCACTAAATCCGATTTTTCTCAGTCCTCTTTGTGGTCTGGGTGGACAGGCAAGGCTGCAGGTTTTGTTGTGGTCCAGGAGGAAAACCAGTGTTTCTGCTGCTGCATCAGTGAGCACAACTATTCTGATCAGCAGGGTCCAGGATCCATTGTGGGTTCTTGGGCAGGTGGAGAAACAAACAAACAAAAAGAGTGGGCCGTTTTCTCTTTCGGATGGGAAACACTCAGGCATTAACAGACCCACTCTTGCAATGCATCCTAAGCCATTGGGACCAATTTTACCCACAAACCCTGAAAAAGTGGTGGCTTATTTTTTTCTGCACTATGGCCAGGACCCAATATTCTCTCTCTGATGTGGAAAAATGGCCACCTGAGAGAAATATAACTTACAATACTATACTGTAGCTTGACCTTTTCTGTAAGAGGTAAGGCAAAAGGAGTGCAATACCTTAAGTCCAAGTTTTCTTTTCATTGAAGGAGAATACAAAACTATGCAAAGCTTGCAATTTACATCCCACAGGAGGAACACTCAGCTTACCTGCATATCCTAGCCTCCCTATAGCTCCCCTTCCTATTAATGATAAGCCTCCTCTAATCTCCCCTGCCCAGAAGGAAACAAGCAAAGAAATCTCCAAAGGAACACAACCCTTCCCCGGGCTATCGATTACATCCCCTTCAAGCTCTAGGGAGAGGGGAATTTGGCCCAACCTTGGTACATGTCCCCTTCTCCCTCTCTGATTTAAAGCAGATCAAGGTAGACCTGGGAAAGCTTTCAGATGATCCTGATAGGTACATAGATGTCCCACAGGATCTAGGGCAAAGCCTCGATCTCACTTGGAGAGATGTCATGCTATTGGTAGATCAAACCCTGACCTTTAATGAAAAGAATGTGGCTTTAGTTTTAGCCTGAGAGTTTGGAGATACCTTGTATCTTAGTCAAGTAAATGATAGAATGACAGCTGAAGAAAGGGAAAAATTCCCTACGGGTTGGCAAGCCATTCTCAGTGTGGATCCCTATTGGGACCTTGACTCAGATCATGGGGACAAGAGTCATAAACATCTGTTCACCTGTGTTCTAGAAGGACTAAGGAAAATTAGGAAAAAGCACATGAATTATTCAGTGATATCCACCATAACTCAGGGAAAGGAAGAAAATCCTTCTGCCTTCCTTGCGTGGCTAAGGGAGGCCTTAAGAAAATATACTGCCCTGTCACCCAAATCACTCAAGGGTCAATTGATTCTAAAAGATAAGTTTATTACCCAATCAGCCACAGACATCAGGAGAAACTCCAAAAGCAAGCCCTGGGCCCTGAACAAAATCTGGAGGCATTACTAAACCTGGCAACCTTGGTGTTCTATAATAGGGACCAAGAGGAACAGGCCCAAAAGGAAAAGTGAGATCAGAGAAATGCTGCTGCCTTAGTCATGGCCCTCAGACAAACAAACCTTGGTGTTTCAGAGAGGACAGAAAAGGGAGCAGGGCAATCACCCGGTAGGGCTTGTTATCAGTGTGGTTTACGAGGACACTTAAAAAAAAAGATCATCCAGGCCGGGCGCGGTGGCTCACGCCTGTAATCCCAGCACTTTGGGAGGCCGAGGCGGGCGGATCACGAGGTCAGGAGATCGAGACCATCGCGGCTAAAACGGTGAAACCCCGTCTCTACTAAAAATACAAAAAATTAGCCGGGCGTAGTGGCGGGCGCCTGTAGTCCCAGCTACTTGGGAGGCTGAGGCAGGAGAATGGCGTGAACCCGGGAGGCAGAGCTTGCAGTGAGCCGAGATCCCGCCACTGCACTCCAGCCTGGGCGACAGAGCGAGACTCCGTCTCAAAAAAAAAAAAAAAAAAAAAGATCATCCAATAAGAAACAAGCTGCCCCCTTGTCCACGTCCACTATGTCAAGGCAATCACTGGAAGGTGCACTGCCCCAGAGTACAATGGTTCTCTGGGCCAGAAGACCCCAACCAGAGGATCCAACAACAGGACTGAGGGTGCCTGGAGCAAGTGCTAGCTCATGTCGTCACCCTCACTGAGCCATGGGTATGCTTATCCATTAATGGCCAGGAAATTGGCTTCTTCCTGGACACTGATGCGGTCTTCTCGGTGTTAATCTCCTGTCCTGGACGACTGTCCTCAAGATCCGTTACCATCTGAAGAATGCTGGGACAGCCTGTAACCAGGTATTTCTCCCAACTCCTCAGTTGTAATTGGGAGACTTTGCTCTTTTCACATGCCTTTCTTAATATGCCTGAAAGTCCCACACCCTTATTAGGGAGGGATATATTAGTCAAAGCTGGAGCTATTATCTACATGAATATGGGGAGCAAGTTACCCATTTGTTGTCTGTGGCTTGAGGAGGGAATTAACCCTGAAGTTTGGGCATTGGAAGGACAATTTGGAAGGGCAAAATGCCTGCCCAGTCCAAATCAGGCTAAAAGATCCCACCACTTTTCCTTATCAAAGGCAATTTCCCTTAAGGCCTGAAGCTCATAGAGGATTACAGGATACTGTTAAACATTTAAAATCTTGAGCCTCAGTAAGGAAATGCAGCAGTCCCTGCAGCACTCCAATTCTAGGAGACCAAAACCCAGTCAGTGGAGACTAGTGCAAGATCTTAGACTCATCAGTGAGGCAGTAATTCCTCTATATCCAGTTGTACCCAACCCCTATACCCTGCTCTCTCAAATACCAGAGGAAGCAGAATGGTTCACAGCTCCGGACCTCAAGGATGCCTTCTTCTGTATTCCTCTGCCTCTGACTCCCACTTTCTCTTTGCCTTTGAGGATTCCACAGATCACACGTCCCAACTTACATGGAACGTCTTGCCTCAAGTGTTTAGGGATAGCCCTCATCTGTTTGGTCAGGCACTGGCCCAAGATCTAGGCCACTTGTCATGTCCAGGGACTCTGGTCCTTCAGCTTGTGGATGATTTACTTTTGGCTACTGGTTTGGAAGCCTCATGCCAGCAGGCTAGTCTAAATCTCTTGAACTTTCTAGCTAATCAAGGGTACAAGGTGTCTAGGTCAAAGGCCAAACTTTGCCTACAGCAGGTCAAATATTTAGGCCTAATCTTAGCCAGAGGGGCCAGGGCCCTCAGCAAGGAATGAAAACAGCCAATACTGGCTTATCCTCACCCCAAGACATTAAAACAGTTGCGGGGGTTCCTTAGAACCACCCACTTTTGCCGACTATGGATCCCCAGATACAGCAAGATGGCCAGACCACTCTGTACGGTAATCAAGGAGACCCAAAGGGTAAATACTCATCTAGTAGAATGGGAACTAGGGGCAAAAGTACCCTTTAAAACCTTAAAGCAGGCGCTAGTACAGGCTCCCGGTTTAAGCCTTCCCACAGGACAAAACTTCTCTTTATATGTCACCAAGAGAGCAGGGATAGCTCTTGGAGTTCTTACTTAGATTTGTGGAACAATCCCCCAACCAGTGGCATACCTAAGTAAGGAAATGGATGTAGTAGCAAAAGGCTGGCCTCACTGTTTATGGGTAGCTGTAGCAGTGGCTGTCTTAGTGTCAGAGGCTATCAAAATAATACAAGGAAAGGATCTCACTGTCTGGACTACTCATGATGTAAATGGCATACTAGGTGCCAAAGGAAGTTTATGGCTATCAGACAACCACTTTCTTAGATACCAGGTGCTACTCCTTGAGGCACTGGTGCTTCAAATATGTACATGCATGGCCCTCAACCCTGCCGCTTTTCTCCCAGAGGATGGGGATCCAATCAAGCATGACTGCCAACAAATTATCGTCCAGACTTATGCCGCACAAGATAATCTCTTAGAAGTCCCCTTAGGTAATCCTGACCTTAGCCTATATACTGATGGAAGTTCATTTGTGAAGAATGGGATACAAAGGGCAGGTTATGCCATAGTTAGTGATGTAACTATACTTAAAAGTAAATGTTTTCCCCTAGAGACCAGAGCCCAGTAAGCAGAAATACTGGCACTTACCCAAGCCTTAGAACTGGGAAAGGGAAAAAGAATAAATGTGTATACAGATAACAAGTATGCTCATCTGATCCTACATGCCCATGCTGCAATATGGAAAGAAAGGGAGTTCCTAACCTCTGGGGAAACCCCCATTAAATGCCACAAGGAAATCATGGAGTTATTGCACACAGTGCAAAAACCCACGGAGGTGGCATGGCACTCTTACACTGCCAAAGCCATCAAAAGGGGAAGGAGAGGGGAGAACAGTAGCATAAGCAGCTGGCAGAGGCAGGGAAAGACCAGCAGAAAGGAAAAAGAGGAAGAGACAGAAAGTCAGAGGGAGAGAGAGAGAGGAAGAGACAGACAGACAAAGAGGGAGTCAGAAAGACAGAAAGAGAGAGATGAAGGAGAAGTCAAAGAGAATGAAAGAGATATGGAAATAGTAAAGAAAAAACAGTATACCCTATTCCTTTAAAAGCCAGGGTAAATTTCTAAATATCTACCCAGCCAAGGCATATTCTTCTCCTGTGGAATGTCAAACTATATCTGCCTCCCCACTAACTGGACAGGCACCTGCACCTTAGTCTTTCTAAGTCCCAACATTAACATTGCCCCAGGAAATCAGGCCCTATCAGTGCCCCTCAAAGCTCAAGTCCATCATTGCAGGGCCATACAACTAATACCCCTACTTATAGGGTTAGAAATGGCCACTGCTACAAGAACCAGAATAGCAGGTTTATCTACTTCATTTTCTTACCATCACACACTCTCAAAGGATTTCTCAGATAGTTTGTGAGAAATAACAAAATCTATCCTTACTCTACAATCCCAGCTAGATTCTTTACCAGCAGTGACACTCCAAAACTGCAGAGGACTAGACCACCTCACTGCTGAGAAAGGAGGACTCTGCACCTTCTTAGGGGAAGAGAGTTGTTTTTACACTAACCAGTGAGGCATAGTACGAGATGCTGCCTGGTGTTTACAGGAAAAGGCTTCTGAAATCAGACATCTTTCAAACCCTTATACCAACCTCTGGAGTTGGGCAACATGGCTCCTCCCCTTTCTAGCTCCCATGGCAGCCATCTTGCCATTACTTGCCTTCGGGCCCTGTATTGTTAACCTTCTTGTCAAATTTCTTTCTTCTAGAATTGAGGCTATCAACCTAGAGATGGTCTTACAAATGGAACCCCAAATGAGCTCAACTAACAGCTTCAACTGAGGACCCCTGGACCAACCTCCTGGCCCTTTCCGTGGCCTAAAGAGTTCCCCTCTGGAGGACACTACAACTGCAGCATAATTCTTTGCCCCTATCTAGCAGGAAGTAGCTAGAGAGGTCATTGGCCAATTCCCAACAGCAGTTGAGATGTCCTGTTTAGAGAAGGGATTGAGAGGTGAAGCTGGCTGGGCTTCTCAGTCAGATGGGGACTTGGAGAACTACTTTGTTTAGATAAAGGATTGTAAATGCACCAATCAGCACTCTGTGTCTAGCTAAAGGTTTGTAAATGCACCAATTAGTGCTCTGTGTCTAGCTAATTGGGTAGGAGACTTGGCGAACTTTTCTGTCTAGCTAAAGGATTGTAAATGCACCAATCACGCTCTGTGTCTAGCTAAAGGTTTGTAAACACACCAATCAGCACTGGATAAAAATGGATCAATCAGCACTCCGTAAAACAGACCAATCAGCACTCTGTGAAATGGACCACTCAGAAGGATGTGGGTGACACCAGATAAGAGAATAAAAGCAGGCCACCCGAGCCAGCAGCAGCAACCTGCTTTGGTTCCCTTCCATGCTGTGGAAGCTCTGCTCTTTCACTCTTTGCAATAAATCTTGCTGCTTCTCGCTCTTTGGGTTCGCACTACCTTTAGGAGCTATAACACTCACTGTGAAGGTCTGCATCTTCTTCTTGAAGACAGCAAGACCAATAACCCACTGGAAGGAATCAATTCTGGACACAATCCCAAGATCATGGTTCCCAGAAAAAGGAACACTGGATGTAGTACTCTGAGAACAAGTGGGGATAAATCTTCAACATCAGACACAAAGGCAACAGGTCCCAGCTGTTATGGGCTTTCATTACAGCAGCCCTGTCTCCATTATACACAGAACAGACTATAAAGGGGAACGAGGAGGAAATGTCACCTGCCTTATCACCTCCTCTTCCGTCAGCCCTAATATTACTGAGCCAAAATAACAAAGAAGAAACAGATATTTTACCTGAGCCTTTTTCTTCAATACGTAAGAAAAAGGACCAGGAATACCCTCCAGTTATTAGTCCCTGTCTTCAGCTGGCAGCAATAAAAGGAGAGTTATTAGCCTGCCCGGTAATGCAAAATCAGCCAAGTAATCAGGTACATAAAGGGTTAAGAATAATCACTAAAAGCCAGAGCCACAGGGCCAGGACAAGGAAGCAGTAAGTAGAAAGAAAAACTCCACCCACACTGTGACAGAAGCAACAAAGAGCCAAGCTGCAGCCAGAGCTAGCCTGCTGCGAGTGGAACAGAAGCACACGTGACAAATTCCACCCAGGCCACATGTGTCCCACAGCTGGGGAAGGGAGCCAGCACAGGCAAAAAATGGCACAGGCAAAAATGGCGACTTTATAAATGTAAAGCAGTCACAGCGCCGGGACCTGCCTGCTCCTTTCTCTAACTCCACAGGCTATCCAAGACAAAATCTCATGTGCTGCTTGTTTACAAGCAACATCACAGATTATAGTTCTCAGCTAAAATTTAAGTAAAATGTAAGAATTAGAAAACCTCTTTCTAATAACCTCCACTGTTGTCATCTCTCTTCCACCCTGATGAAGCTCACCAAATTCAAGTAAAACAGTAACGTTTAAAGGTTGAGAAATTACAAACAACCCATGAGTTAGTTTAGAAGTAGTTAAAAGCAAACTTTGTTTTTTAACTAGTAGAAAAAAAATTCCTGATTACATGATTATTCATTTTATGGATGATATTTTACTAGCAGCCCCAACGGAGCCAATACCTTTAAATTTGTTTACCTCTGTCATAAGGAATACACAACTGAAAAGTTTAGTCACTGCACCTGAAAAAGTACCCATGTTCCCTCCTTGAAAATATCTTGGATATCTGTTAATCTCCTGGTCAGTAAGACCTCAAAAGTTTAACCTAAGTACTAACAACTTACACACATTAAATGATTAGCAGAAATTATTGGACAATGTTACCTGGATTTCTCCCATTGTTGGAATTCCTACCAATAAACTACAAAACCTGTTCTCTATCTTAAAGGGCAACCCAGCCCTCAATTCTCCCAGATATTTAACCCTTGCAGCAAAAAGGGAAATCAAGGAAATTGAGCAAGCCGTCTTTCAAAGGAAGCTAGATCGCATTGATCCACCGTATTCCAATCAGCTATTTATTTTTTCCACCTAACACTCCCCTACAGGGTTACTAGGACAAATGACTCCCAGGCTATGTTTCCTAGAATGGGTTTTTTGCCCCCATACCGGGACTAAAACACTGTCTCCTTATACTCAGTTAATTACTAAAGTCATCTATTCAGGTCACAAACGTTAAAAATCAGTTGCGACATAACCGATATCATCATGATTCCTTTAAGTAAAGAGCAATTCAAAGCTTCATTATCTTTGTCAATACACCCACAAATAGTTTTATCTCATTACACAGAGCAAATAAAGCACATCCTCCCTGCTGATAAAGTCTTTCATTTCTTATCTCATACTCCGGTAATAATGCCTACAAAAAGAGTTTACTCCCCTGTAACTAATGCTTTAACACGGTTTACTGATGGGTCCGCAAACATGGAAAAGCAGCAGTCTGGTAGAGACCATATAATTCAATCATGCAATCTGAGTTTACTAGCAAACAGAAAGCTAAGGTTACTCTGTTTATTTATTAAAGAAGTTTTACAGCCTTAACTCTATTCTGGAGCCAGGACGGTTTACTCTTTCTCCAACTTCAGCAATTGGCTAGATCAACATACAAGTCCCATTTTTATTACACATATTTGAGCCCACAGCTTACTTCCTAGCCCATTGGCTTATGAGCAGTGATCAAGCAAACCTACAGGTTAAGCCATCACTGCTAGACCAAGCCACCCAATCGCATGAATTTTTCCATCCAAATTGAAGAAACTTATCAACTTACTCAGAGACTGGCTAAATAAATTATCCTACAATGCCCAGATTGCCAGCTCACAGGTAAGTCCCCTCCTTCAACAGGTGTTAACCCTAGGGAAACAGAACTTAACCTGCTATAGCAAACAGATGTTACACCCATACTTGAATTTGGAAAACTTAGATATGTACAAGTATCTATTGATACCAACACTCATTTAATTGCTGTCCAAGATCAGAGAGAAACAGAAAGGTTAAAGAGAGAAATAGAGGGGAAAAAAAAGAAAGACTAGAAAAACCAGAGGTCAAAGTCACAAAAAGTAAGACAAAGAAAAGACATAAAGAGAAAGAAATGTTAAGAAAGTTATAACCATTAGACTGCACCTTTATTAAGGAAGGTTATGAAAGAAATAAAGTTAAGGCATGTTGAAAATTGTCTGTGGAAGTCATAAAAACATTATAAAAAGAAAACTATTCAGGACATGTTGTATAATTTTGTTTTGAAAGTCTAAGCAAGTTTTAAAATGTTAATTGTTAACAAAATTCTCTGAGTAAACATATTGACTAAAGTTAAAGATGTGTCATCCAACAATCATAGACTGGATTAAGAAAATGTGGCACATACACACCATGGAATACTATGCAGCCATAAAAAATGATGAGTTCATGTCCTTTGTAGGGACATGGATGAAATTGGAAATCATCATTCTCAGTAAACTATCGCAAGAACAAAAAACCAAACACCGCATATTCTCACTCATAGGTGGGAATTGAACAATGAGAGTACATGGACACAGGAAGGGGAACATCACACTCTGGGGCCTGTTGTGGGGTGGGGGGAGGCGGGAGGGATAGCATTGGGAGATATGCCTAATGCTAGATGATGAGTTAGTGGGTGCAGCACACCAGCATGGCACATGTATACATATGTAACTAACCGGCACATTGTGCACATGTACCCTAAAACTTAAAGTACAATAATAAAAATAAATTAATTTAAAAAAGATGTGTCATCCAGTTTTTCTGTAAACAAGACATTAAAAGCACAAGTTTTTCTTAAAGCACTAACCTGCTCTTTAACAAAGATTATGAGAGATATCTTAGCACAGACACAATCTCTACAATTTCCAATACACAAGCACCAGCCAAGACACTGCATCCTCATCAAAGGATTAAAAGAAGAAAAAACTCGAGCCAGCCTAGGAGAGACCCTGCAAGATGATGCAGCTTTATCAGAGAAAGATGACTCAGAAGGCTATGCAAATCCTGCTTCTTTTTTATTCTCTCACTTTGTCTACTACCTGTATCTGCCAAGCTCTATTAAGCCCATCTTGTAACCTCCTTTGTTCTACCCTAGTACTTAGACTAACACCCCCTTTCCAGCTTCTAACAACATCACTGCTTAAATAAAAGGAAATCAACATTCCCCCAGTGAGGTTCCTCATTAATAGCACAGAGTGAACTCAGATGGCAAGTAACTCTGCAAGTCACTCTGACTGGAAGAAGTGTTGTTAATTATACTCATGATTGTTTTGTGTTATTTGCTATTTATATGATGCAAAGCTGGAATAAGATCAGTGACCACCTCGCCTGACAAACCTATGACTGCACATATCTGTGCTCTGCAATCAAAAACCTGATGCAGAAAAGAACAGAGAGGAGGATTTTGAGATTCACTCAGGAGGATGGCAGAAATATTAAAAGAAAATAATTAGGGAAAGTTATAGGGAATAGTCACAGACTTTTGGAAGGCTGAAAGGTTGCATAGCTTGTAATAATTCAAGGGGCTGAAGGTAGTCGGTTTTAACCTTAAAGCATTTGGTCATAGGGTAAATGCTAAGGACAATAGAGGCTTCCCCAATTAAGTTTTTTTACCCCACCTCCATTAACTAACCTTTAAGCCAGATGGTCCTTTCTGGGGAATGTCAACCAGGGAAATTGCCCCCACTGGCATTTACTTTAGACCGTGGTGCCTGAGGTTTCGTTATTCACAGAACTATTCTCTTAACCAGGTTAATTATCCACAAGTGTGTCTACTCAAAGCTTCTGTTAATAATTCTATACTAAATAAATGCCTGGAGTGCAAGTTGCTCAGGGCACAGCTGCCACTCTTTACAGGACTCCCTTTGGAGACTGTTAGTGGCCCCAGACCCTCAGCTGGACTTGAAAAGCAGAATATCTGTGTGACAGGGTACTTTATTCATCTGTCGCTCGGTCAGGGGTCTGCAAGGGACAGACTCCCTGCAGCTAATGCCCTCATGAAAAGAGTGGTGCCTCAGTTAATGGTATTAGAAATGATCTACAGGTCAATGAGAACTCTTTCAAAGAGCCAATAGTTTTTTTTGTTGTTGTTGTTTTTGTTTTTGTTTTGCAGAAGTAGTAAAATATTCTAAAATGTTTGAGTCAATATTTAGCTGTGTCACCCAGGCTGGAGTGCAATGCTATAATCATGGCTCACCATAGCCTTGACACATCAAGCTCAATTGATCCTCCCACCTCAGCTCCAGAAGTAGCTGAGACTGCAGGTGCATGCCACCATGCTCAGCAAGTTCTTGTATTTTTTGTAGATACAGGGTTTCACCATATTGCCCAGGCTGGTGTCAAACTACTGGGGTCCTGCAATCCACCTTCCTTGGCTTCCCAATGTATTGGGATCACAGGAGTAAGCCCTCAAATATTGCACTATAATTTATGTAAACACTCAAAAACAAACAAAACAAAAAAAGTAGCAAAACAACTTTGGAAAAAAAGAATATACTTAGATAAATATTTTTTATTTCAAAACATATTGCCAAGTTACAGTAATCAAAATAGTGTGGTGCTGGCATAAAGACAGTTAAATCAATGTTAAGGCAAATAACAGAGGCCAGAATGAAACCCACATGCATAAAATTCAGCTTATCTTAAACAAACGTTCTAATTCCTCATGTTGCAGAACGTTCTCCTTCAGCAAAATTGGGTTCTTGTCACATGACTAGGAAAGATTAGGCTCAGGGACACTCCTGAAGGATAAAGAGTAGAGCTGATTGGGTAAAAGAAAAGAAAAAAAGAAAAACTCTCAACGAAGTGAGTGGGAGTCGTGTTTACCAGGCCCCCACTTCACGGATTGCTGAACACCAGACCATCACACAGGAACTGATGAAGCCAGGCTCCTCCTCCTTGCACAAGGGGTAAAGTTTCCATGGCCTTCCAAGCCTCCACTCCCTTCCCCCAGTTTTCAGATGGAAATTATTCAAAGAGAATCTGTTGGAAAAAGGCAGGCTTCATCTAGCACAAGCACTCGATTTTTCAGCCTTCAGGCTGTTTTAGGCTTGAAGATGGGGTTTTGTCCAAGACACTTGGCTGTTTTCTAACTCTGTTATTTTCCACTGTCAATAAGTATATCTAACTGCTGTTAGAATAAGGATAAAGATGAGGACAAAAACCACTTTTAAGTGCTTCCTGATGACAGGGGGCACTGTTGTGAAATAAATGGCAGTCAGTTATTCCTTAGAGGCCTAAGTGTCTCCAGTGAAAGGGGCCATTGTCTCAGCCTATGGTAGTGTGACTGTTTGAAGTTTGATAGCCTGAAGGTGAGGAGAATCAAACTGTGTTACTAAAAAGCACGTATTAAAATGAACCAAGGGAAATGTGGAAGAGACAGCTCAAAAAAAATCCAGGGTTTTCACCAGTTTGCATAGGTAGAGGGAGGCCAAAAGCCCAACAGGAAAAAATAAAAGAAAGAAAGAAAAAGAAAAGAAAGAAAGAAAGAAAGAAAGAAAGAAAGAAAGAAAGAAAGAAAGAAAGAAAGAAAGAAAGAAAGAAAGAACTTTTACCCTTTTGACAGCATATGAGACTTCTGGGTTCTTTTCTCCTGGGTCCAATCCTAAGCTGTCCAGTTTAATGTTTGGGAAATTAACTCTTCCAAACTTGGAGGATGCATTGAAGAGGAATGTCCCAAAACATGGAGATGTGATTACCTATCTCTAAACAGCAAACGGAGGAGAAAAAATGAAAAGTTAGCATTTTTTCAAAGGAGTTCCAAGGGTTCAGGATGCATTCAAAATGGGTCTAGACTAAAAATGAATGGTTACTTATCTTGAAAGAGATAGAGGAGCAGGAGTCCCTGGCTCCTTTCTCTTCCTAGCAATTTCCCAGGGTGTGTTGAGCTATAGGAGAAAGAATATTCTTTTTCCCACTTCAATCCTTGTATCCCCAAGTCCCACTGATTGTAACAGGGTGCCTCCCATGGGTGTCGAGGCAGCTTTCACCAATGTTAACAGGGAGGCCTAAGGGGGTGGATATATCTGCTCTTACACATGTGTACCCTTTCTTCCCTGCTGTCAGTAGCTCTGGAGTTCACTGGACCTCATTTATGGCATGGATAGTAGCATAATCTTTATCCATGAAATCGGGGGCTTGGCTTAATCCCTGGGAATTAGTTATGCTCACCAGCATTGTGCTTTTTTACCTCCATTATCACCTGCCTCTGGATTTCTCAAATTTTTTACTTTTTTCTATGGTGTCAAACAGAAGCTTAGAATTGAGGCTGGGGCAAAAATGTGTCTCAGGGCATTGCATGGACTCTTTATCATGAGCTGAATGCTAAGATGAAGCTGTGGAATTGAGTTCTTCTTCTACAAGGGTGAGAAAAGAATGACTGTGACATACTGAGGAAACTAGTGGCTATAGTTGTGCTTCATAAAATTTAGGTGGGCACCCTATATATTCCCATCACTCTGCAGAATTTGCAGGATAATTGTCCAGAATTATAATGTTAATCCAGATTTTCATGTGTACCAATTCATTTTTGTTTATTGTGGGCTGCAGTTGAAGATCATTAGTGGGGTCACAGAAATAAGCAAGATTGTTCTAAAAAGTAGGCAACAATGCAAAACTTGTGAGTTTAGAATTTAATGACAAATATATAATAAGTTGTGAAACATAAACTTTATCCAGTCCTCTTCTATTAAAAAATAAATCATGATAGGACTGAGTTGTTTGTAAAATAAACTTTATTCTGATACTGGGCCTGATTATTTGCATAAAATGCAGCAAGAATAATTATTTCTAGATAGGTCTTTTACATTGGCTTTGATGGAACTCTGTTCCACAAGAAATTTCAGATGGGACTTTCTAAAGTCAAGCCCAGCCACGGGTTTGTACAATCAGATAATTTTTAGTTGGGTGATTCTCTGCTCTTATGGTCCCAAGATAAACTTGGAGCTCCTGGGCCTGTCAGAAAGTGTCATTATTTAGTTACCACAGATCAGGAACCCTGCTAAAGGACTGTTTAGATGAGGTATAAAGCCAATTTTTCCACTGGGATTTTCTTGGTTCTGCAAGTTGATCTTGACTCCTTAAAGGGAAGCTTATTTTTTAGTCAAGGCCTTGTTCAAACAACCAGTTTCTCCAGTTGTGTTCTGTTGGAAGAGAAATTGGACTGTTATTGCACTGATACAAACACCTATATTGCCACAAGTTAAGAACACTCACAACTATTTTTCGAATTCAGGAGAAGTCCTGCCGAGAAAGGCAAACGTGATCCAAATTGTGCACACATGAGTACACCTTGCTCACATATTAAAGGCTGTAAGTATCTCAAGATGTTTCCTTGACTCTGGTAAATAATACAAGAATGAGTAATGTCTCAAACAAAAGTCAGAAGGGCTACTTCAATTTTCTATTAGTCCGGTCCATTCAGTCAACTCTTCTTTTGTTTGATATTCATACATATTTTAGCTCTTTGAGAGTCCTGTAAGTTTTTCCTGTATTTCAATGTCACAAGCTCCAAAGTTATCGGAAGCCTGCAATTGAGAGCACCTATTAAAGATCTATAGCTGATTAAAAAGCACTTCATAAAAAAATCAAAAAAGGAATAATTATCTGTGTATTACAAAGTGTGCAAGGTAGTTACAGTCAGAAATATGACAAAAATTTTCGTTATCTATATGGTTTGCAATAAATTAACCTAACAACCTTAATTGTGGATGATAGCATATACTTCAGACATTAGAATTTTAGAAATCCCATATAATTTTAGAACATGTATTAGTATTAGTCACCAAAATATCACCTAAAAATATTGAACACCATTTGGCAATTCCGTGTAACTAATCATGCCATATAATCCTGTTTATCTCTCTTGTTGATACTCTATGGGCCCTCTGTAGCATCCAAAAGCTAGAAATAAAGAAAGATAATTTTGTAACTACAGTGTGGTTTTGAGAAGGATGTTACAACTTAGAGGTTTAAAAATCCTGAAATAAAATTCCAGATTTTCCTAAATTACTTATTTAACAAAAATGATGACTTAGAAATGGAAAAGATATAATTTTTATAAATTATTTTATAATTCTTTACAAATGTTGGTAAGGAACAGATTAGTGCCTTAAGAGTACCTTGTTGGGCTTTTATTTCAATGTTCAATTTACAAGCATCTCACAGACATGGTAATGACTGTCATATGTGGGCCTCACACATAGAAGTATTTTCAACTTCCATAAATTGCTTTTGAAACATGAATGATTAAATCTCTTTCTGGTAATAAAAAAGTTCAAAGAAGACTATAGCAGCCTCAAGTATTTTATAATGTCCTCAGCTTGTACAGAAATTGTTATGATGGAATGCAGCAGAAAGGCATAATTCTGAGTCTCATATGCACACTGATCTGACAGTAAGGAATGTCACCATCTTAAATATATGAAGCCAACTGTCACTCATAAAAACAACTAATGTGTGGTATTGTAAATCTTACCCTGGGAGTTTTCCGCCAGTGTGCTTGTGATTTAATATTTTGTGAATCACCCATATGATTTGACTCTCTGGAAGGGTTTCAGCCCACATATGTTATTGTGGTATCTACCTGGGCCAACCTTGAGGTGATGTGACTCTCCCATCTGGGACCTACTCCCAGTAAAAATCACGAAAAATCACTACCTCCAGCACACAGGTCATGTTATATTTTTGCCTAAGCTATGCCCACAGAAATTATTGTGACATATCACTGTGTCAGCCCTGTAGGTGATGCAACTCTCCTCATTAGATTGGGCTGTGCACAGAGTATGGTATACTCACATATGGCTGCACTAGGGTCACAGATGATGGAACTCCTTTGCTGGGACCTTATCCTAAAAAGGGTATTGTGACAAATCTCTTGGCCTATCCTCTAGGTGATATAACTTGCTGCTTGAGTCCTGCCACATGGAGCATTGTGACATAAGTGTGAAAACTGTAACTATTTGTTGTAACTCTCTCACCCATGTCCTGTCCTAAGGGAGCATTGTGACATATCTCAGGAACCAGCATAAAGGTGAAGTGACTCTTTTGCCTGACTTCTCCTGATATGTTAGATTGTGTTATAAACCTAGGGAAGCACCTAGGTGATATGACTCTTCTCTTCTGCCTCAGCCCTGCCTACTTGAGACATTGGGTCATATATCTGAGCCTGTGTTCTAAGTGATGTGTCTGTTTTCTTCTGCCTGAGCCCTTACCGTGGGATGCTGTGACATATTGCTAAGCCCAATACTTAGATTAAATGACTGTTCTTTTTCCAAATCATGCCAATAAAATAAATTTTGCTGTATTGCAGGGTACAGCACCCAGATGATGTACCTTTTCTGCCTGAGTCCTGCAGAAAGAGATAATTATGGCACATTGCTGGGCCCATCACCCTGAAGATATAACTCTCCTGCTTGTACCAGAGCAACTGAAAGTATTTTTATATATCTTGGGCCCATCCTGTAGGTGTTTTTGCTGTCCTTATTTGTTTGGGCTTGTTTTTCCACATTTGAGATTGTGTCATATTGCTGGGTCCAGCACTCCAGCACCCAGTTAATGTAACCCTCATTTCTAGACCCTGCCTAGAGAGGGTATTGTGACATATTGCTTGCCACAGCATGTAAGTTGTGCTACTTTTCCACTAAGTTTTTTTTTCTACAAATGAGATTATGATACTTACATTGCTTCAACTCAGTGGCATCATGATCAAACATAATTGGCATTCCACCAATAGTAGACTTTTCCCTCTCATAGCTGTGCTTAGGGCAATAGTTACAGTTATGAGATGCATATTTGCACAAAGCTCACAGAAATTTACAACACTAACTCATAGTCTATAAACTTGGGTGGTACACAGAGTTTTATAATAGAGCTCAGCAAAAGATTAAAATTGTGACCCTTGATTACAAATGCAGGTGAGAGAAAAAGTTTTTAGCATCTCATATTTATAAAGCCCACTGTTGAAGTTCTGACTCTAAGAAGTAAATAAAGTACAACGATGGAATTGTGACTCTCATATGTGGATCTTGCTACAGATGAGATGGTGACTCATTTCTGGACCCAGATTATAGGCACCATAATGGGTTTTCTGTCTGAACCCAGCCTATAAGAGAACTGTTGATTATCATAACAGGGTTTACATCAATATGTATGTTTTGGGTCAAACGAGCATGTAGGCTTCAGAGTGGTTTGTAACACTAAGGTATTTTGCATAAAGCCTTCAGATGTTGTAGAGTGTCTCATAAGATGACTGAGAACACACTTGAGATTGTGACTCTTACATACATAACAAACTAACAGTTAAATGTGTCACCTAAAGGATAAATTGATAGTGTCATATGACAAAGCCCAGCACCCCGGTGTTGAGAGTCTTGGCTTAGATTCTTTCCCATGGGTGTATTGTGAAATATTGCTGGGTTAGAATCATAAAAAGGTGACTCTTCTTCACGGATCCAGCCAACAGGGGATATTGTAACATATCTCTGGGCCTATCAGCTAGGTGATATGTCTCTCCTCTCACAGTGTTCTCTCACAGGGGACACCGACATTTTGCTGGATATAGTATCTAGGTAATGTGCTCTCCTCTCCTGCCTGGATCTCACCTACCTAGGAAATTGTGACATACCACTGAGTGCAAAACCTAGGTGGTGTGACTCTCCTCTTTGTGCTGGAATCTGCTATAAGAGGGAATTATAACATATTGCAGAGCCCAGCACCTAGGGAATGTGACTACCCTCTATTTTTTCAACCCTGTATACAATGGTCAAGATGATATATTATTTGAGACTGTACCCAGGAGATATGAGCCTTCTGACTGGATCCTGCCTAAAAAGAAGATATAATGTATTTCTGGCTAAGGACACAGATGATGTGACTTTTCTATCTTGTCTATGTCCAAAGATGAAATTCTAACATATACCTGGATTCAGCTGATATGCACAATAATAACTCATGCATGACCCATCCAAGGGAGATATTGTGAATCTCAGAGCCAGTTTATGGCCATGAGTAAAGTCTCAGATCTCTGTAAAATTAGATGTCTGTAAAAATTCAGACAAATGTATCCTACTCAGGTGTATCATTTAAGGTCTGTGTGGTACAAAGTGTGTCATAACAGGCACCAGCAACCAGGTGTTACACACATCGAATTGTCACAGTTGTCATTTTCACACATGAACAGAGCCTATGAATGAGTTAAAAAATCTCACACACATAAGCAGTTGAAGCTGGAATTTGTTACCGTCATATATGAATCTGATCCACAGATGCTGTGGTGAAATTTACCCACGATTCTCCAGACCAGTGGTGCTTTGACTGTCCTACTGGAACACAACCTTCAATGTGATTGGGGCTGTTACACATGTATCTTGCCCATTGTTGAGATTATGACTTCTTTACTTCGACCCAACTCATAGGAGGTGTTGACTCTCATACCCGAAGCCAGAAGTTGTGTGGGCCTGTAAAATTTATTTCTGAACATTTTCAAGTGTGTGATTGTGAAGTTTGACTTTGTCCAGCATCTGAGTATTTTGACTCTCCTTTCTAGGCCAAGCCTAGAAATTGTGACATACATGCACCAGCACCTAAGCAATGTATAATAACTTTTTGTCAATGCAACTAGGGGCCCTTTTACATGTTACTGGTACCAGCAACCAGCTGGTGTGAAATGTTGGCCTAAACCCTGCCTACAAAGAGCATTATGGATTTTATCCAGATCCATCATGTAAATAATGTGAGTTCCTTCTACTGCCTTGGCCCTGCAATTATGCTGTATTGTGACACACTGCATTCAGGTGATGTGAGAGTTTTTGAGGGGAGTTCTGCCAATAGAAAGCTATGTAACAAATCACTTGGCTCAGCCCCTAGGTGCTGTTTCTCCTCTCTTGCCTTGACCCTGACCACCAGAGAGACTTTGACATATTGCTTAGCCCAGCACCAAGGTGAGTTCACTCTCCTGTCTTGATCCTGCACACAATGGCCATTGTGACATATATCAAGGCCAATTGCCCATGTGCAGTTTGTCTCCTCTCTTGCCTAAGCCTTGCCAACAGAGAGGATTTAGATATGTCACTGAAGCCAGCATCCAGGTGATTGACTCTTCTCCAAGAGTCCCACCCACAAGGAGAATTGTGAAATTTCACTGGACGTGCACACACTTAAATGATGTGACTTTCCTTACTTTCTTCTCCTTCCCCACAAGTGGTAATGTGCCATATACTTGAGAACAAATAAAAGGTCTAATAATGACTCTTGTACCAGGAACCAGGTCACGTGCAGGATTGTGACTCTCAACACTGAACCTTTTCACAGGTGTTATTCTGACGTTTATTTTTGCCCAGCTCTTGAGTCACTTAATAATCCTGCCTATTTAGAGTCCAGATGTGACATTTTTACATACAATTGGGCCAAAACCTTGGGGATTTGACTTTTGTCTTAACAGTGTTCTCCGAAGGGATCATAACATATCTCTGGACCTATGATCTAGGTTATGCGACTTTCCTCTCCTGACTGCACGCTGATTAAAGCAAAGAGTGTGGCATTTCTAAGCACGCATCCAAATGATATGACCCTTTTTCCTGGGCCATTACAACAGAAGGCATTATGATATATCTCTGCACCCATCATCTAGGTGATATGACTCTCCTCTCCTGCCCGGACACTCTTCACAAGTAACATTACAGCATAGAGCTTGGCATAACACCTAAGTTCTGTTACTTCTCCGTTAGGGCCTTGCATACAAAGAGAATATTGGAATATTTCTGGCTTAGGATTTAGGTGATGTAGTGTCCTGCCTATTTAGTAACCACAGAGGGCATGGTGACATATACCTAGGCACAGCTAACAGGCATGATAATGACTCTCATATGTGGACACAGCCAATAGGAGAAATTTTGACTCTTACAACTAGGTTTAGAGACATGAGTGACATGAAGCATCTCCTACTGTTAACAATGTCACAGAAGATTACAACACTCACACCTTCTTATAACACCTGTAAGTAGTATAGAGAGTGTCATAGCAGGGCCTAGGATAAAGAGGAAATCGTGAGTCTCGTTTGGACACCCAGCTGACTGGAAGGATTTTCACAATCACAGATGTATAAAAGCTACTGTTCTACATGAAAACAAGACACATGTGGCATTATAAGTCTAATCCCTAGAAATTTATTTTATCATGACTGTGATCTAAAACTCTTCCATGCGCTTTTTTGATTTCACTCTTTGGACTGGTTCCAGCCTACACATGGAATTTTGATATCTACCTGGGCCAACATTGAAGTCTTGTGATTCTTCTGCCTGGCCTGCTCTCAGGAAGAATTGTGACATCATTGGATCCAGTACTTAGGTGACGTTACATTCATGCTTGCCCCATGCCCACACACATCCTTGTGACATATTATGTTGTCCATCACTGAGGTGATATAACTTTCCTCTCTGAAACGGGCCCTGCACACAGGGCAGGAGAGTGACATATTCATAAGCCAGGCACACAGGTAATGATACTTTTCTTTGCCAGGGCCATGCACAAAAGATAAGATTATGACATGTTACAGGGCCTATTGTATAGGTGATATGGCTCTCCTGCTTGAAAACTGCCCACTGGAATAGTGACATATTGCTAGACCAGGTGACAAAGGTGATTGTACTCTTTTGCCAAGACCATGGTTTCAGGAAGGTTATGTGACATATATCTGGGCCTATCACCTAGGTGATGTGAATTCCTTCATAGGCTGCCCACATGGAGCATTGTAACATAAGGGTGGAACCTGTTCCTAGGTGATGTAACTCTCTTGCCTAGGTCCTTTTCTAAGGGGGATTTGTGAATATCTCAGGACCCAGGACCAGGTGATGTGATTCTTCAGCCTGGCTTCTTCCCACATACTAAATTGTGACCTATACCTAAAGAAGCACCTAGGTGATACGACTCACTTTTTTTGCCTGAGCCCTGCCTACAAATGACTTTGGGTCATATCATTGAGCCCATGACCTAAGTAATTTGACTCACTTCTTCTGTCTGTAGTTTTACAGTGGGAGAATTGTGATGTATTGAGAAGCCCCGTACTTAGGTTGTGTGACTCTCATGTTCTTGCTAAAGAGTGCCCATGAACAGGGCTTTTGCTGTATATCAGGACCCAACACCCAGATAATATTACTCTTCTGCCTAGCTCATGGATAAAGAGGGAATTGTGGCATATTGCTTGGCCCAGGACCCTAAGAATATGACTCTTCTGTCCATGCCAGGGCCACAGAAGGTATTTTGACATGTCTTTTGCTCATTCTGTAGGTACTTTGGCACTAACCAGTTTGCTGGGTTTCTTCCACGTATTTTTGTGTCACATTGTGGGTTCCAGCCCCCGGTTAATGTGACCCCATTTCTTAGGCTCTGCCTAGGGAGGGCACTATGATATATTGCTTGGCACAACACCTAAATGGTGTTAACCTTCTGCCTAGTTTTTTGCCCACAAATGGGATTATGACATACACTTTGCTTCAGCTCCAAGGCATGATGATCAAGCTTATTGTGGGATTAAGCCAATAGGGGACATTTTACCTTTTACCCCTAGGTTTAGGTCAATAGTTAAGGACCTTCATTTCATATTTGTTCAAAGATCACAGAATTTTACAACATTAACTCATATCCTACATTCACAAAGCTTATTGCTGAAGTCCTGAATTGATCAAGTCAATAGAACCGAAAGTTTGAATTGTGACTCTCATAAGTGAATCTGACTACAGGTGAAATGGTGGATCATTTCTACACCCATCTCACAGGCCTAATAATGGTCTCAACCCTGATGCCAGCCTGTAGGAGACATGTTGCCTGACATACCTCAGTTTAGGGCAATATGTAAGATTATGAGTCCATATAAACATGTAGCCCACAGAAAGTTTTGCAACACTCATGCCTGTTGCGTAAAGTTTTCAGATGTTGTAGAGAGTATCATACAATGGCAAGCACACTTGGGAGATTGTGACTGTCATATACACAACTAGATAACAGTTTATGATGTCATGCTTAAAGATGAGGAGATTATGCCACATCCCTTGGCTTAGTATACCGGTATTGAGACTTTTTGGTTTAAATTCTTTTCCATGAGGTCATTGTTACATATCACTGGATCAGAACCATGACAATGTGACTCTTCTATCTTGGCCCTGCAAAGAGCAGATATTTTCACATATCTCTGCATCTATTGGCTAAGTGACATTTCCCTCCTGCCAGTGCCCTGCCCACAGGGGACACTGTGACATATTGCTACATATAGCATCTAGGTAATGTGACCCTCCTCTCCTGGATGGATCCTGTTGACTGAAGAAATTGTGACATACCACTGAGCACAAAGTCTAGGTGACATGGCTCTCTTCTTTGTTGTGTACTCTGCCAAAAGAGGGAATTATTACATATTATTGAGCCCAGCATGCTCGTGGTCTAATTCTTTTTTTTTTTTTTTTCTTTGAAGATGTCTACATTGGGCATGGTGACATATTACTTGAGGCTATACCCAGGTGATGTGGCTCTTCTTCCTGGTTTCTGCCCACATGTTAGATTGTGACATATAACTAGAGAAGAATATAAGTGATATAACTCTTCTTTTCTACCTGAGCCCTGCATACAGGGGCACCGGGATGTTTCTCTGAGCCCATGACCTAAGTGAAGTGACTCTCTTCTCCTGCCTGGTCTTTACAATGAGAGGATGGTGACATTGGTGACATATGGCTGAGCCCAGCACTCGGGTTATTAGACAAACAAAGATTTTGACCTATTGCAGGGCCAAGCATGCAGATAACATTACTCTTTTGCCTGGGTCCTGCACATATGAGGGATTATGGCATATTTCTGGGCCCAGCACCCTAATAATGGCTCTCATGGCTGACCCAAAGCCACAGAAGGTATTGTGATATATCCTGGGCCCATTCTGTTGGAATTTTGGCTTTCATTTCTAGGTTGTCTTTTTCCACATATGGGATTTTGTCATATTGCAGTTCCAACACCCAGTTAATGTTACTCTAATCCCTATACCCTTCTTAGAGAGGACATTGTGACATGATGCTTGTCACAGCACCCAAGTGATGTTACCTTCCTGACTCACTTTTTGACCACAAATGGGACTATGTCCTACACCTTACTTCAGTTCACAGGCATGATGGTCAAACTCATGCTGGGATTCAGCCAGTAGGATACATTTTGCCATTCATTACTAGGCTTAGGGAAATAGATGAGGTCCTGGGTTTCATATTTGCATCAAACTCAAAAACTTTACACTAACTCATAATGTATACATTTCTTGGGTTGTAAAGAGAGTTTTATGAAAGAGATCATCAAAAGTTTAGATTAGGACTCTCCGTTAGACACCCAGGTGAAAGCAAATGTCGTCACCATCCCACATGTACAAAGCCCACTATTAAGTTCCTAAGTCTAAAAGTGAATAGAGAACAAAATTGGAGTTGTGATCTTCATATGTTGATCTGGCCTCAAATGGGAGGGTGACTCACTTCTGGATCCAGCTTACAGGCAAAATAAGGGGTCTCATCCCTGAACCTAGCCTACAGAAGATATGTTGACTATCGTATCTGGGTTTATGGCAGTATATAAGATAATGAATCCATACAAGCATGTTGGCCTCAGAGTGGTTTGCAACTCTCACGAATGCTGTATAAAGCCTTTGAAAGTTGTAGAGTGTGATACAATGATCCAGGAAACACATGAGATTGTGTTTCTCATATTCACACCCAGCTCACAGTGAATCATGTCACTCTGAAAGACAAGGAGTTCTGGCATATTACGAAGCCTGTTACCAAGATGTTGAGACTTTTTGGCTTAAATTCCTTCCCATGGATTCACTGTGACATATCACTGGGTTAGAATCATAATAATGTGACTCTTCTGCCTTGACGCTGCCAAGAGGGAATATTATCACATATCTCTGGGTCTATAAGCTAGGTGATTTGTCTCTTCTTTTTGTGCCCTGTCCCCAGGGGACATTGTGAAATATCGGTTTACATAATATTTAGAAAATGTGACTATCCTCTCCTGCCTGGGCCCTGCTCACCATAGAAGTTGTGACATACCGCTGATTGCAAAATCTAGGAGATGTAGCTCTCCTTCATATTCTAGACTCTTCCAAAAGAAGGATTATTACATATTGCCGAGCTCAGCATCTAGGTGGTGGAACACTCCTCTTTTTCTTCTTTCCTGTCTTTAGTGGGCTTGGTGACATACTGTTTGAGGCTGTACCCAGGTGATGTGACTCTTCTGACTAGGCCCAGCCAAAAAATGAGTATATACTGTATCACTGGCTCAGCACTCAGGTGATGTGATGTTACCCTTCTGATTAGCCCCAGACTACAAACAAGATTATACTATATAACTGGCTCAGCACCCAACTGATGTGACTCTCCTGGCATTTTTTCTGCTCACAGATCCAGCTGTGACATGTACCTTGTTTAAGCACACATGCACAATAATAATTCTCATACCTGGACCCATCCAGTAGAGATAACTGACTCTCACAGCCAGTCTCACAGCCATTGGTAAAGTCCTGGGCTTTTCACTTGTATAAATTTCACGAAGGATTATAACACTCAGGTATATCACATAAAGCCTTAATGATACAAAGAGTGTAATAACAGAAAGCAGCAATGAGGTGAGAACACTTGTATGTACACCTAGCTGACACGATTGACATTCTCCCACATGAACAGGGCCTAGGAATGAGGTAATAAATCATGCACATAAAAAGCAGTCAAAGATTGAAATAATTACTCTTATACATGGATCTGATTCACAGGTGGTTTGGTAACATACGAACCATGATTCAACACACCTGTAGTGCTGACTCCCCTACTGGAAAACCATCTTCAAGTGAGATTGGGGCTCTTATACATGAATCTTGCTCGTTGCTGAGATTGTGACTCCTCTGCTTCAACCCAACTCACAGAAAAATTGAATCACTTACACAAAAGAAATACTTGTGTGGGATGTGGAACTTATTTCCAAATCTTTCTGAGAATATAAAAGGGAGAGGTAACTTTGCCTAGCACATGAATCGTCTGACTCTCTTTTCTAATCCCAGACTAGATTTTGCCATATGTGAAACAAGCACCTAAGAAACATATAATAGTTTCCAGAACTCCCACTGCAAAGGTCACTTTTATATATCACTGGGACAATCACCTAAGTGATGTAAATTATCTGCTGAAAACTGCCTACAAGAATTGTGTCTTAAATCTAGGTACATCACATAAGTGTAGTGAGTCCCTTCTACTGTCTTGGCCCTGCACTTACACTGAAATGTGACACATAACTGGGTGCTGCACCCATGTGACATGATTCTCCTTTTTGAGCTCTGCTAACAGGAAGCATTGGAACATATCACTTGGCTCAGCACCTAGGTGATGTTTCTTCATATTTTCTCTGGGCCCTGACCATGGGGAAATTGTGACATATTGCTGCACCCAGCACTAAGTTGTGGTCACTCTACAGCCTTGGTCTTGCACATGAGGGTCATTGTGACATATATCTGCACCAGTTGCCTAGGCTAAGTGGTTCTCCTCTCTTGCCAAAGTTCTGCCCACATAGTGAGTTTTGATATGTCACTGCAAGCAGCATGCAGGTGATGTGGCTTTTCTGCCAGGGTCCTGCCCGCAAAGTGTATTGTGACATTTTACTGGACCCGCACACACATAGCTGATGTGACTTTCTTGGCTACTCTCTGGCCACAGGTTACATTCTTGTCTGCAGCATGCCCACAAAAATTATTGTGACATATTTCTGTGTCCACCTCATAGGTGATGTAACTTTCCTCTCTGGAATGGGCCCTGCTCAAAGAAAAGGTAGTGACATGATTCAAGACTGAGAACACAGGTGAGGCTACTCTTTTGCCAAAGCCATGCCCAAAGGAGAGGATTCTGATGTATCTCTGGTTATGTGGCTCTCCTGCTTGGGTATTGCCAACCTGGAGCGTGACATGTTTCTAGGCCAGGCACACAGGTGATGGTACTCTTTTGCCAGGGCCATGCCTCATAGAGGACTTTGTGACATATCTCTGGCCCTATCACCTAGGTGTAGTCCATTCCTCCTTAGGCACTACCCACATGGAGCATTGTGGCATAGGCAGAGAACCTGCATGTAGGTGACGTAACTCCATTGTCTGGCAGCTGTTCTAAGAGAGCCTTGTGAAATATCTCAGCATGCAGAACCCAAGCTATGTGGCTCTCCTGTCTGTTTTCTGCCCACATGTAACATTGTGATATATTCCTCAGGAAGCACCTAGGTGATATGAATCTCCTTGACTGCCTGAGCCCTGCCTACTGGGGTCATTGGGATATATCTCTGAGCCCATGACCAAAGTCATATGGCTCTCTTGTACCAGGGCCTTTAAAATGGTGGGATTGTGACATGTTTCTGAGCCCAACATTTACATCATGTGACTCTACTCTTTTTTCTGAACCGTGACCGCAAAGAAATTTTGACCTATTGCACTCAGATGATGTTATTTTTCTGCCAGAGTCCTGAATAAAGATAAAATTATTGCAGATGGTCAGCTGAGCACCCTGATGATGGTACTGTCCTATCTGTGCCAGAGCCACAGAGAGTATTTTTGACATGTCTTCGGCTTTTTCTGTAGGAGTTTTGGCTCTTATCCCTTGGCTAATATTTTTCACATGTGGAATTCTGTAATATTGCTGGGCGCAGCACCCAGTTAATGTAACACTCCTTCCTAGGTTCTGCCTAGAGAGGGCATTGTGACATGTCGATTGCCATATCGCCTATGTGATGTTACTCTTTTTCCTAATTTTTTGCCCACAAATGGTATTATGACATATACCTTGCTACAGCTTACAGGTATGATGGTCTCTTATATTAGGATTCAGGCAATAGAAGATATTTTGCCTCTCATCGCTAGGCTTAGGGCAACATGTAAAATTCTGGGTTGGAAATTTCTTCAAAGCTCACAGAAGTTTACAACACAAATTTGTCTTGTATAAACTACTTGGGTGATACAGGGTTTCATAACAAGGCCCAGCAAAGAGTTAAGATTGTGACTGTCAATTACACACCTAGGTGAAAGTAAAAGTCGTCACTATCCCACATTTACAAAGCCCACCGTTGATGTACTGAGTCTAACAAGTGAAAAGAATATAAAGATAAAATTGTGGCTCTCATATATGGATCTGGCCACATGTGCGATTGTGACTCATTTTTGACCAAGCTCACAGACATTCCTGACATCAGCCTAAATAAGAGATGTTGGCTATCATACCTGTGCTTAAGGCAATATATAAGACTGTGATTTCATATAAGCATGTGGGCCTCAGAGTAGTTTGCAACTCTCACGCATGCTATATAAAGCCCTCAGACATTACAGAGGGTGTCATAGCATGGCCCAGCACACACGTGACATTGTGACTCATATACACACCAAGCTAACAGTTAAAGGTGTCACTCTCAAAGATGAGGAGATTGTGTCTTATCGCTGGTCCTAGTACCCAGGTGTTAAAACCTTTGCATAAATTGTTTCCCTTGTTTGCATTGTGATATATCCTGGGTTCAGAATCATAATAATGTGACTGCTCTACCTGGGCCCTGCCAAAAATGTATATTATCACAGATCTCTGAGCCTATCAGCTAGGTAATTTGTCTATTTTGCCCATGCTTTACCCTCAAGGAACATTATGACATATCTTGAAGTAACATCTGGAAGTGTGACGCTCGTCTCCTACCTGGGTCCTGACCGCAGAATGAATTGTGACATACGACGGAGTACAAAACCTAGGTAATGCAACTCTCCTCCTTGTTCCAGAGTCAGCCAAAAGAGGTAATTACTACATATTGCTGAGCTCAGCACCTAGGTGGTGTGACTCTCCTTTTTTTCTTCAAACCTGTCTACAGTGGACATGATGCCGTAGTACTTGATACGGTACCCAGGTGATGTGACTCTTCTGACTTGGCCCTGCCTTTGAAGGAGTTTATAATGTATCCTGAGCTCAGAATCCAGGTGATGAGACTCTCCCACCTTGCTTCTGCTCACAGGTTAAATTGTGACATATAACTGGGTTCAGCTCACATGCACAAATAAAATTGTCATACCTAGAACCAGAAAGGAGAGATTTTTTGACTCCTATAGCCAGTCTTATGGCCACAAGTAAAGTACTGGGTCTCCTAATGGTATAAAGTTCACAGAGGATTATGACACTCTGGCATATTATATAAAGCCTGAGTGGTAAAAACAGTGTTATAACAGGGAACAGGAAGGAAGTATCATTGTGACTCTTGAATGCACAGCCAGCTGACCCGGTAGTCATTCTCTCACAAGAACAGGGCCTGCAAATAAGGCATTAAACCTCACAAAGAGAGCAGTCAAAAGTTAAAATTGCTCCTCTTCTATATGGGTAGTTTGGTGATGCACGATTGAGCACATCTGTGAGGCTGTGACTCCTCTGCTGGAACACATTCTTCAAGTGGAATTGGGCATCTTATACATGAAGCTTGCCCACTGTTGAGACTGTGACTCCTCTGCTTTGACCCAACTCACAGGAAGTGTTGACTCACATACAAAAATCCAGAACTTGTGTGGGACTGTGAAACTTATTTCTAAATATTTACTATCATGTGGTCAGGACATAAAAGTTAGCTGATCCCCTGAACAATTTGACGACCAAACACCTAAGTATAGATGCCTGGGTGTGCATACAAAGGGCAATTTTACATATTACAGGGATCAGCACCCATGTGATGTGAAATATTTGCCTTATCCCTGCCTATAAAAGACTTTGTGGCTTATATCTAAGTTCATCATGTAAGTGATGTGACTGCTTTCTACTGCCTTGGCCCTGCACTTATAGTGCATTGTGACACATAACTGGATACTGCACCCAGGTGATGTGAGTCTGCATTTTGGGTTCTGCCAACAGAAAGCTTTGTAACATATCACTTAATTCAGCACCTAGGTGATGTTTCTCCTTTCTTGTATCACCCTGACCGAAGGGGAGATTGTAACATTGCTAAACCCAGCACCAGGTGAGATCACTTTTATACCTTGGTTTTGCACATAGCGGCCAGTGTGACATATGTCTAAGCCAATTGCCTAGGTAAAGAGGGTCTCCTCACTTACCTAAGCCCTGCCCACATGGGGGATTTTGATATATCACTGCAACCAGCATCCAAGTGATGTGACACTCTTTCCAAGGCCCTGCTTACAAGAAAGATGACTACATCTCACTGGACCAGCACCCACCCAGGTGATGTGACCTTCCTCCTTGCTCTCTGTTTACAGGTGATATTGTGCCATATACCTGAGACCAGACAAAAGGACTAATCACGACTCTTAAATCTGGACCCAGGTCATATGCAAGATGGTTATTCCCATTCCTGGAACTTTCAACCAGTGTTATTGTTATATATACTTTTGCCTAGCTCCTGAGTGATTTAATAATCCTGCCTAGGTGTAGCCCACAAATGAGATTTGGAAATATACCTCGGGTGATCACCTTGGTGATTTGACTCTCCTGTCTTAACAATATCCTAAGGAAAGATTGTAACATGTCTCTGGACCCACCATCTAGTTACCTGACTCTCCTCTCCTGCCTGGACCCTGCTTCCACTGGGGATTATAGCTTTTCTAAGCACTGCATCTAAATGATATGACTCTCTTGCCTGGTCCTTTCAATGGGACACATTGTGAAATATCTCTGGGCCTATTATTTAGGTGGTATGAGACTCCTCTTCTGTCTAGACACTGCCCACAAGGGGCATTATGCCATACATCTGGGTGTAACACCCAAGTTACAAAACTTTTCTGCAAGGAACTTGTCTACAAGAAAAATAATGGAAAATTTCTGGTTCAGCATTTAGATGACTTAGCTGTCATGCCTATTTCATTACCACAGAGTAAATTGTGACCTATACATAGGCACAACTTACAGGTATAATGACTCTTTTATGTAGACCCCACAAATAAAAATAACTTTGACATTTCTAACTTACTTTAGAAACACGAGTAAATTATCTGGTCGTGGTGGCTCAGGCCTGTAATCCCAGCACTTTGGGAGGGTGATTCAGGTGGATCACAAGGTCAAAAGATCGAGACCATGCTGACCAACATGGTGAAACACCATCTCTGCTAAAACTACAAACAGTAGCTGGGTGTGGTGGTGTGCGACTGGAGTCCAAATTAGTCAGGAGGCTGAGGCAGATGAATTGCTTGAACCCAGGAGGTGGAGGTTGCAGTGAGCAGAGATTGCAGCACTGCACTCCAGCCTGGGTGACAGAGCCAGACTCTGTCTCAACAACAACAAAAACAACAACAAAAACAAGAGTGAATAAATCTCATAAATCTCTTTCTGGTAAAAAAGAAAAAAAAAAGGTCAAAGAAGATTATAACACCCTCAGATATTTTATAATGCCCTTGGCTTGTACAGAGAGTGTAAAAACACTATTCAGCAGAAAGGTGAAATTGTGAGTCTCATATACACACCCAGCTGACAGTAAATACTGTCACTGTCTGAAATATGTGAAGCCAGCTCTCACTCATGAAAACAAGACATGTGTGGTAGTGTAAATCTCATTTCAGGAATTTTCTCCCAGTGTCATTTTGAAAAAACATCCTTGCTGACCATCTGTGTGACTTGACTCTCCAGACTGGTTCCAGCCTGAGGTTGTTATTGTGATTTCTACCTGGTCCAACATCTAGGTGATGTGACTCTCCTGCCTGGGTCCTGCTCTCGGTAAGGGTCATGACATATCACTAGGTCCACCACCCAAGTCATGTTAAATTTTTGCCTGTGCCATTCCCACAGACATCATTGTGACATATCACTGTGTCGTATGTCATACAACCACTTAGGTGATGTAACTCTCCTCATGACAATGGGCCCTGCACACAGTGGGGGATAGTATCATATGGCTGGGTCAGGCACGTAGATGACAGTAATCTTTTATTAGAGCCGTGTCCTAATGAGGGCATTGTGACAAATCTCTGGTACTATCACTTAGGTGATTTTGCTCTCCTGCCTGGGCCCTGCTTACCTTGATAGTGACACATTACTAGGCTAGGCAAACAGGTGATGGTACTCTTTTGCCCGAGCCATGCCTTAAGAAGGATATCGTAACATATCTCTGGCCTATTACCTAGGTGATCTGACTATCTTTTTGAGCCCTGCCCACGTGGAGCATTGTGACATAATGGTACAACCCGCACCTATTTGTTATAACACTCTTGCATGGGTGCTGTCTTAAGGGAGGCTTGTGTGATATATCTCAAGAGCCCACATCAAGGCGATGTGGCTCTTTTGCCAGCTTTCACCTCATATGTTAGATTGTGTTATATACCTAGGGAAGCCCCTATGTGATATGACTCTACCCTTCTGCCTGAGCCCTCCTTACTTGAGACATTGGGTCATATATCTGAGCCTGTGTCTTAAGTGATGTGAATCTTTTCTTCTGCCTGAGTCTTTGCAATGGGGTGATTTGACATACTGCTAAGCCCAATACTTAGGTACTATGACTCTTTTTTCCCCAACCATGCCCAAGAAAAAGATTTTTGAGGTATTGCAGGGCCCAGCACCCAGATAATCTTTCAATTCTACCTGGGTTCTGCATAAAGAGATAATTATGGCATATTGCTGGGCCCCTCACCCTGATGATGTAACGCTCCTTCCTGTGCCAGAGCAACATAAAGTATTTTTACATATTATAGACCCATTCAGTAGGAGTTTTTGGTGTCATCATTTGTCTGGGTTCTTTTTTTTTTCCACATTTGGGATTGTGTCATATTGCTGGGTCCAGCCCCCATTTAATGGATCCCTCACTTCTATATCATGCCTAGAGAGGGCATTGTGACATATTGCTTGACACAGCACCTAAATTGTGCTACCCTCCTGCCAAGTTTTTTTTTCTACAAATGGGATTTTGAAATTTACCTTGCTTCATTTCAAAGGCATAATAATCAAACTTATATTGGGATTGCACCAATAGTAGACACTTTGCCTCTCATTGCTACACTTAGGGCAATAGGTAAGGTTATAAGTTGCATATTTGCATAAAGCTCACATATGACAACACTAATTCAAATTCTGTAAACTTTTTGGCTGGTACACAGAGTTTTATAACAGGGCCTAGCAAAAGGTTAAGATCGTGACTCTTGATTACACATGTCATGCAGGAGAGAGATGAAGATTTCATTATCCCACATTTAAAAAGACCACTGTTGAAGTCCTCAGTCTAACAAGTAAATAAAGTACAAAGATGGAATTGGGACTTTCATATGTGTGTGTTGCTACAGTTGAGATGGTGATTCAGTTCTGGACTCAGATCACAGACATAATAATGGGTCTCCTGTCTGAACCCAGCCTATAAGAGAGATGTTGTCTATCATAACTGAATTTAAAGCAATACATAAGATTGTGAGTCAACAGGAGCATGTAGGCCTCAGAATGGATTGCAAATCTCATGCATGTTACATAAAGCCTTTGAATATTGTAGAATGTGTCACACAATGACCCAGAACACGTTACATTGTGACACTTACATACATACCAGTAAAAAGTGTCACCCAAAAAGATAAGGAGATTGTGTCATATCACTATGCCTGGTAACCCTAGGTGTTGAGATTAGTGGCTTAAATTCTTGACCATAGGTGGATTTTGAAATATCGCCGGGTTAGGATCATAATAATGTGTACTCTTGTTCTTGGACCTAGCAAACAGGAAATATTATCACATATCTCTAGTCCTGTTTGCTAGGTGATGTGTCTCTCCTGCCAGTGTCTTGCCCACAGGGAACACTATGACATACCACTAGATATAGCATCAAGGTAATGTGACTCACCTCTTCTGCCTGGATCCTGCCCACTGATGAAATTGTGACATACCCCTGAGTGCAAAACACAGGTGATGTGACTCTCCCCTTTGTCCTGGACTCTGTTAAGAGCAGCGATTATATCATATTGCTGAGCCCAGCACGTAGAGGATGTAACTATCCACTATTTTTTCAACCCTGTATGCAGTTGTCAAGATGACATATTATTTGAGATTGTACCCAGTGATATGACCCATGTCACTGGCTCCTTACCACAGAGGAGATTATAGTGTATCCATGGCTCAGTATGCAAATGATGTGACTCTTATGCCTTGTTTCTGTCCAAAGGGAAAATTGTGATACATACCAGAAATCAGCACACTTGCACAATAATAACTCTCATACATGAACCCAGCCAGGGGGAATATTTTAACTCTCATAGTCTGTCTTACAGCCACGGATAAATTCCAAATCTCCCACCTATAAGAAATCACAGAAAAGTAGCCTAGTCAGGCATATCATATAAATCCTGAGTGGTACAAAGGGTGTCATAACAGGCACCAGTGACCACGTGCTATTGTGACTCTTGGACGCACACCCAGCTGGCATGTTTGTTATAAACAGGGCCTATGAATGATTTACTAAATCTCCCTCCCATAAGCAGCTGAAGCTAGAAATTGTTACCTTATATATGAATCAGATCCATAGGTGGTTTGGCGATGTTTGAACCACAACTCAGCAGACCTTTGGTGATTTGACTCTTATCCTGACACACAATCTTCAAGTGGGATTGGGGCTCTTATACATGCATCTTGCCCATTGTTGATATTGTGACTCCTGTACTTTGACCCAGTCATAGGAGATGTTGAGTCTCATGCATGAAGCTCAGACTTGTGTGGGACTGTGAAACTGATTTCTGAACACTTTTTAGTGTGTGAATGAGAAGTGTGACTTTGCCCAGCATCTGAGTGTTTTGACTCTGCTTTCTAGGCCCAGAGCAGAGTTGAAATTGTGACATACATGCAACAAGCAACATATAACACCTTTAGCAACGTGACAGGGGGCACTTTTACATGACACTGAAACCAGCATTCAGCTGATGTAAAATCTTGGCCTGAGCCCTGCCTGCAGACAGCACTGTGGCTTTTTTCTAGGTCCATCACATAAGTGATATGACTTCTTTCTACTGCCTTGGCACTGCACTTATGGTGCATTGTGACACATAACTGGGTACTGCACTCAGGTAATGTGACTCATTTTCCTGTGGCGCTCTGCCAATAGGAAGCTTTGTAACATAACACTTGGTTCAGCACCTCAGTGATGTTTCTTCTCTCTTGCCTGAGCTCTAACCACTAGAGAGATTATGAAATGTTGCTGAACCCAGCACCAAAGTGAGGACACGCTCCTGCCTTGGTCCTGCACATAGGGGCTATTGTGACATATCTCCAGGCCAATTGCTTAGGTGAATTTTGTCTCCTTTCCAGCCTAAGCTCTGTCCTTAGGGTGGATTTTCATATATCACTTAAACCAGCATCCAGGTGATGTGACTCTTTTCCAGGAGTCTTGCCCACAAGGAGGATTGTGACATTTCACTGGACCAGCACCCACTGAAGTGATGTGACTTTCCTTTCTTCTCCTTGCCCACAGGTGAAATTATGCCATATACCTGAGACAGATCAAAGGAATAATAACAACTTTATACCTGGAGCCAGGATGTGCAGAATGGTGACTCTCATTCCTGAACATTTCCACCAGTGCTATTGTGACATACACCTTGGTCCAGCTCCTCAGTGATTTAATAATCCTGCCTAATTATAGCCTGCATATGACATTTTGACATATACCTGGACCTAGAACCTTGGTGATTTGACTCTCCTGTTGTAGAGGGTCCTCAGAAAAAACTATAACATATCTATGGGCCCATCATCTAGGTAATGTGATGTTCCCCATTTGTCTGAACCTCCTTTCAGTGAAGAGTGTGGCATTTCTAAACACTGCATCCAAATGACATGACTCTCTTGCCTGGGCCATTTCAACAGGAGGCCTTGTGACATATCTCTGAGCCCATCATTTTGGTGATATGACTCTCCTCACCTGCCTGGACATTGTCCACAAGAGGCATTATGCGATAGAGCTGGGACTGGCACCAAAGTTTTCTGACTTTTCGGTTAGTGCCCTGCTGACAAAGAGAACGTTGTAATACTTCTGGCTTAGAATGTAGGTGATGTGTTTGTTCTATCTCTTTTATAACCAAAGACGGGATGGTGACATATAACTAGGCACAGCTAATAGGCATGATAATGACTCTCTTATGTGGACCCAGCCAATAGAAGAAATGTTGCCTCTTATAACTAGGTTTAGGGACATGAGTGATGTAGAATCTCCTTCTGGTAAAAAGGTCACAGAAGATTGCAACACTCACACATATTTTTTAACACCCTTGTGTTGAATAGAGGGTGTCACAAAGCACCTAGCACACAGAATAAATTGTGAGTATTGTATGCACACCCAGCTGACAGCAAGGAATTTCACCATCACAGGTGGATGAAGGCATCTGTCCTACATGAAAACAGGACATGTGTGGTATTCTAAATCTAATCCCCAGAATTTTATTTCTTCAAGACTGTGATATAAATCTTTGCCAGTTACCGGTGTGATTTCACTCTTCAGACTGGTTCAAGCCTACATATGGCATTTTGATATTTACCTGGGCCAACCTTGACATGATGTTACACTTCTGCCTGGGCCCTGCTCTCAGTAAGAATTGTAACATCACTGGATCCAGCATCCAGGTGATGTTACATTCTTGCCTGTACCATGACACACACGTTATTGTGACATATTACTGTGTCCATCACTTAAAAGAAGTAACTCTCCTCTCTAGAATGGGCCCTGCACACAGGGCAGGATAGTGACGTACTCCTAGGAGTGGCACAGAGGTGATGATACTATTTTGACAGGGCCACGCCCCAAAGAGGGCATTTTGAAATATTGCAGGGCCTATCATAGAGATAATATGTCTCTTCTGCTTGGGACCTGCACACTTGAATAGTGACATATTGCTAGGCCACACACAAAGGTGATGGTACTCTTTTGCCAGGGACATGCTTTAAGGAAAGCTTTGTGACATATTTCTATGCCTATCACCTAGGTGATGTGACTTCCTGCTTGGCCCTGCCCACATGGAACATTGTGACATATATGTGGGACCTGCACCCAGGTGATGTAACTCTCTTGACTGGGACCTTTTCTAAGGAGGGCTTGCAAATGTCTCAGGACCCAGGACCGTGTGATGTGGCACTTCAGCCTGGATTCTGCCCACCTATTAAATTGTCTAGGTATGTGAAATATACCTAAACAATTGACATATTGTGACATATTGAGCCCACCACTTAGGTAATGTGACTCTCGACTGGTTGCCGAACAACGCCCATGAACAGGCCTTTTGCCATATTTTAGGGCTCAGCACCCAGATGATGTTACTCTTCTGCCTAGGTCGTGCATAAAGAGGGAATTATGGCATACTGTTTGGCCCAGCACCGTAATGATGTGACTCTCCTCCCTGTGCCAGAGCCACAGAAAGTATGTTGACATATCTTTGGCCAAATCTGTAGGTATTCTGGCTCTCATCACTTTGCTTGCTTTCTTCCATGTGTGGTTTTATCATATTACAAAGCTCCATCCCCCAGTTAATGTGACCCTCTTTACTAGCCCCTGCCTAATGAGGGCGTCATGATATATTACTTCACACAGAACCTAGGTGATGTTAAACTTCTGCCTAGGTTTTGCCCCCACAAAAATTGGATTATGACATATACCTTGCTTCAGTTCAAAGGCATGATGATCAAGCTTATATTCAGCCAATAGGACATATTTTTCCTCTCATCACTAGGTTTAGGTCAATAGGTAAGTTCTTTCATTGGATATTTGTACAAAGCTCACAGAAGTTTACAGTATTAACTCGTATCATAAATACTTCTTGTGTGGTACAGGGAGTTTCATAACAGGGCTCATCAAAATATTAAGATTGTGACTCTCAACTACACATTGAGGTGAAAGTAAAAGTTGTGACCATGCTATATTTACAAAACTCATTGTTGAGGTCCTCAGTCTAACAAGTGAATACAGTACAAAATTGGAATTGTAATTTTCGTAAGTGAATCTGGCCACAGGTGGGATGGTGACTCATTTCTGGAGCCAGCTCACAGGCATAATAATGGTCTCATTCCTGAAGCCAGCATATAAGACAGATGTGGACTGTCATACCTTGGTTTAGGAAAATATCTAATATTGTGAGTCCATAGAAGCATGTAGGCCTCAGAGTGGTTTGCAATGCTCATGCATGCTGTTTAAGGCCTTCAAATGTTGTAGAGGGTCATACAGTGGCCCAGGAAACATGTGAGATTGTGACTATCAGATACACAACCAGCTCACAGTTAATGGTGTCACCCTCAAAGACAAAGAGATTTGGCATATTGCTAGGCAGAGTACCAAGGTGTTGAGACATTTTGGCTTAAATTTCTTCCCATGGGTTCATTGTGACATATCGCTGGGTTAGAATTCATAAAAATGTGACTCTTTTGCTTGGACCCTGCCAAAAGAGGATAGTATCACATATCTCTGGACCTATAATCTTGGTGATTTGTCTCTTCTGCCTGTGCCCTGCCCCCAGAGGACATTGTAAAATATCATTTGGCTTAACATCTAGGTCATACTACCTACCTCTCCTGTCTGGGTTCTGCTCACCAAGTAAATTGTAACATACTGCTGATTACAAAACCTAGGGAATATGACTCTCCTTCATATTCCTTGTTAAGAGAGGGGATTATTACATATTGCAGAGTGCAGCACCTAGGTTGAGTGACTCTTCTCTTTTTCTGTCAATCTCCGGATTAATGACATACTATTTCAGTCTGTATCCAGCTGATGTGACTTCAGACTATGCCCAGCCTACAAATGTGATTATACTGTGTAATTGGCTAAGCATCCAGGTGATGTGACTCTTCTGGCTTCTTCCTGCTCATAGGTGGAATTGTGACAAATGCCTGGGTTAAGCAATCCTGCACAATAATAACTCTCATACCTGGACAGAGCCAGTATGTTGTGATTCACTCAGGTTTGTGGCAGAAATATTAAAAGGAAATACTGGGGAACGTAATAAGGAAGAGTCACAAAGCTTTGGAAGGCTGAAAAGTTACATAGCTTGTAATAATTGGACAGGCTTAAGGTGGCCAGTTCTTACTTGAGAATATTAGGTCATAGGGTAAAATGAGGGACAATATAGGCTTCCCCAGTTAAGTCTGTTTATTTTACCTCCATTAACCAGTCTTTGAACCAGATAGCTCTCTCAGTGGGGAGCTCGACCAGGAAAGTTGCCCCCTAATAGTATTTATTTTAGACCATGGTACCTGACCTTAATCATTTGTAGAACTACTTTCTTAACCATGTTAATTATCCACAATTGTGTTTACTCAAAGCTTCTGTTGTTAATTCTATATTGAAGAAATGCCTGGATTGCAAGCTGCTTAGTGCCAAGTTTGTCATTCTTCACAGGACTCTCCTCAGAGTCTGAGTGGCCTGGGAGCCTCAGCTGGACTGGCAAAGCAAAATATCTGTGTCATTCTCACACATGCACAATTGTCATTCTCACACATGCACAGGGCCTACTAATGTAGCCCTTGAATCTCACACATAAAGAAGCACTCAAAAGCTGAAATAATTACTCTCATAAAGGAATCTGATTCACAGGTGGTTTGGTAACATATGAACCATGATTCAGCACACTGCGGTGATGTGACTCACCAACTGAAACACAATCTGCAAGTGAGAATGGGCTGTCATATATGAATCTGGCTGATTGTTGAGATTGTGACTCCTCTGCTTTGACCCGGCACATAGATAGTGTTTACTCACATACAGGAAACCAGGACTTTGGTGAGACGTGAAACTTATTTTCAAACCTTTTTGAGAGTGTGATTGGGACAGGTAACTTTGCACAGCACATGAATAATTTGGATCTCTTTTATACACCCAGATCACAGAAGAAATTGTGCCATATGTCGAACAAGCATCTGAGCAATATGTAACACATCCCTTGGCTCTTTCTATGAAGGGCACTATTACATATCACTGGGACCATTACCCAGATGATGCGAATTATCTGCCTGAAAACTGCCTACCAAGAGAATTGTGTCTTATATGTAGGTCCATTATGTAATTGATGTGACTCCCTTCTACTCCTTTGTCCCTGCATTTACAGTGCATTGTGACACATAACGGGTACTGCACGCAGGTGAAGTGATTCTTCTATTACGGTTCTGTCAACAGGATTTATGTGACATATTACTTGTTTTACCAGCTAGGTAATGTTTCTTTGCTTTTGCCTGGGCCCTGACCAAAGGGAGATTGTGACATATCGCTGGGCCCAGCACCAATGTGAGGTCACTCTCCAGCTTGGGTACTGCACGTGAGGGCCATTGTGATAAACATCCAGGACAATTGCCCAGGTGAAATGAGCATCCTCTTCTGCCAAAGTCCTGCCCACATAGGGAGTTTTCTAATGTCACTGATGTGAGCATCCAGGTGATGTAACACTTCTGCCAGGATCCTGCCTGCAAGGGGGACTGTGACATCTCACTGGACCCCCACCCACATAAGTGATGTAACTTTCTTTCCTTCTCTCTGGCCACAGGTGATATTGTGCTCTATAACTGAGGTCATAACAAAAGCCTAATATCAACTCATCTATCTGGAGCCAGAATATGTGCAGTATGATAAGTCTTATTCCTAAACCTTTCCACAAGTTTAACTGTGACATATACTTTTGCCCAGCTCCTGAGTGATTTAATAATTTTGCCTAGGTATAGCCCCAAAATGAGATTTTGACAAATATCTGTGCCAGCCACCTTGGTGATTTGACTGTGCTATCTTAACAGTCTCCTCAGAGGGAATGTCACATATTTCTGGACTCATCATCTAGGTTACATGACTCTCTTGTTTGGCCTGTACCCAGCTTCCTTTAGTAATTGTAGCATTTGTAAACACTGCATCTAAATGAGATGACGGTCTTTTCCGGATCCTGTCAACAGGAGGCATTGTGACATATTTCTGGGCACAGGTTTTAGGTAGTATCTCTCTCCTCTACTGCCTGGTCACTGCCCACAAATACATTGTGCCACAGAGATAAATCTAGCACACAAGTTTTGAGACATTTCTGAAAAGACCTTGCCTACAAAGAGAATATTGGAATGTTTTTTGCCCAGCCTTTAGGTGACATTGCTCTTCTGCCTGCTTCATAACCACAGAGGGAATTTTAAGATATACCTAGGCATGCCTATCAGGAATGACAATGACTCTTATATGTGGATTCAGCCAATAGAGGATATTTTGACTCTTATGACTAGGTTTAGGGAAATACATGGTGTCCTGAATCACCTTCTTGCACAAAGGTCACAAAAGATTACAACATTCACACATACTTTACAAAGTCCTTGGGTTATACAGAAGGAGTCAAAGCAGGTCTCGGAATGCAGGTAAAATTGTGAGTCTTGTGTGCACATCCAGCTGACAGTAGGACTGTTATCATCTCACGTGGATGAAGCCAACTGTCACACTCGAAAAAGGATGTGTGGGGTATTGTAAATCTCATATTTGGAATAGTTGGACAGTGTGATTGTGATATCAATCTTTGCCATGCACCTGTGTAGTTTGCCTCTCCAGGCTTGTTCCAGCATGTATATGGGATTCTGATATCTACCTAGGCCCCAATCTCAAGGTGATGTGACTCTTCTGCCTGGGCCATTCTCTAAGTAAGGATTGTAGTATATCACTGGATCTTGCCTCCGGGTGATGTTACATTGTTGCCTGCACCATGGCCACCACAATTATTGTGACATATGCCTGTGTCCACCTGACAGATGATGTAAGTCTCTTCTCTGGAATGTTCTCTGCACAGAGAAAGAATAGCGACATATTGCAAGGCCAGGCACAAAGGCATAGGTGCCTTTTGCCAGCGCCATGCCCAAAAAGGGCATTGTGACATATCTCTGAGCCTATCATCTAGGTTATGCTGCTCTCCCACTTGGGCCCTGCCAATCTGGAGACTGATATATTTCTAGGCCAAGCACACAGGTGATGTTACTCTTTTGCCTGGGCCATACTTCATAGAGGACATTGTCACATATCTCTAGGCCTATTACCTAGGTGAAGCGACTTGCTCCTTGGGCCCTACCCCTATGAAGCATTGTGGCATAAGCAGAGAACCTACTCTGAGGTGACGTAAGCCTCTTGCCTAGCTGACGTCCTAAGAGAGCCTCATGACATATCTCAGGACACAGCACCCAAATTATGTGGTTCTTCTGCCCGGTGTGCGTCCTTATGTTATGCTGTGACGTATTCCTAGGGAAGCACCTAGGTGATATGACTCTCCTAATCTGCCTGTGCCATGCCTAGAGGGGCTATTGGGACACATGTCTGAGACCAAGACTGAAGTGATGTGACTCTTTTTTTCTGCCTGGGCCTTCAAAATAAGGATATTGACTCATTGTTGGGCAGAGCACTCAGGATATGTGACTCTCCTCTTTTTCCCGAATGATGCCCACAGAAAGGAATTTTGACCTATTGCAGGGTCCAGCACCCAGGTGATATTACTCTTCTGCCTGGGTTCTGCATAAAAAGAAAATTATGGCATATTGCACATTGTTGAACCCAGTATTTTTAAAATTTGACTCCCTGCCTGTGCTGGAGTCAAATATTTTGATGTCTCTTGTGCCCATTAGGTAGGTGCTTTGGCTCTCATGTATGACATATACTTAGGTCCACTTCACAGGCATTATGACGAACTTTATATTGGGATTCACCCAATAAAAGATATTTTGCCTTTCATCATTAGGCTTAGTGCAATAGGTTAAATCCTGGGTTGCATATTTGTACCAAGCTCATAGAATCTTTCAACAATAACTTGCATTGTATAAACTCTTTGTTGGTAGAGAGTTGCATAACAGGGCCCAGCAAAAAGTTCAGATTATGACTCTCGCTTACACAACCAGTTGAAAATAAAAGTTGTCACCATTCCACATTTACAGTGCCCACTGTTGAGATCTTGAGTCTAACAAGGGAATACAGCGCAAAGTGTGAACTGTGACTTTTATATGTGGATCTGGCCACAGGGAAAATGGTGATTCATTTCTGGACCCAGCTCACAGGCTTAATCATAGGTCTTCCCCCTTAACCCTGTCTGCGGGAGAGATGTTGACTACCAAACCTAGGTTTAGGATAATATGTATGACTGTGAGTCCCTATGAGCATGTAGGCCTCAGAGAGGTTTGCAATTCTCACGCAGGTTTCATAAACCCCACGGGTATTTTACAGAGTGTAATATATTGGCCCAGCATACACATGAGATTGTGACACTAATATACATGGTCAGCCAAAATTTACAGGTGTTACCCTCAAAGATGAAGATATTGTGTCGTATCACTAGGCCTAGTGCCCAGGTTTTGATACTTTTTGCGTCAAATTCCTTTTCCTGAATGCCTTGTTACATATCACTGGGACAGAATCATCATAATGTAATTCTTCTCCTGAGCCCTGCAAACAGTGGATGTTATCAAACATCTCTGTGTCTTTCAGCTAAGGAATATGTCTCTCCTGCCAATGTCTTGTCCACAGGGAACATTTTGACATATTGCTAGATATAGCATCTATGTAATATGACTCTACCCTCCTGACTGGATCCTTCCCATTGAAGAAGCTGTTGCAGAACACTGAGTGCAAAACCTAGGTGATATGACTCTCCTCTTTGTTATGGACTCTGCCAAAAGAGGGAAATGTAACATGCTATTGAGCCCAGCACCTAGGGGATGTGACTGTCCACTATTTATTCAATCCTGTATACGGTGGGCATATTGACATATTATTTGAGACTGTACCCACCTGATATGACTCTTATGACTGGGTCCTGCCTACAAGGAGATTATACTGTTTCCCTGATTCAGGACCCAGGTGATGTGACTCTTCTCTTGCCTCTGTCCAAAGGTGAAACTGTGACATAGACCTGGATTCAGCTCATATGCACAATAATAACTCTCATGCCTGGACCCAGCCAGGGGATTTATTTTGATTCCCTTAGACAGTCTGACTACCATGGTTAAATTCCTCAATCTCACATATGTAAGAATTCATAGAAAAGTACGCTACTCTGTCATATCACATAAAGTCTGAGTGGTACAAAGGATGTCATAACAGGCACCAGTGACCAGGTGCTATTGGGAGTCTTGGACACCCACCCAGCTGACACAGTTGTCATTCTCACACATGAACAAAGCCTACAAATCAGATATTAAATCTCACACACATAAGCAGTAGAAATTTTTCTTACTCTCATACATGAATCTGATCCACAGGTGGTTTGGTGACATTTGAAGCATGACTCAGCAGACCTGTGGTGCTTTGACTCTCCTACTGGAACGAAATCTTCAAGTGGGAGTGGGGTTTTTGTTATTGTTGTTGTTGTTGTTGTTTTGAGACAGAGTTTTTCTCTTATTGCCCAGACTGGTGTGCAGTGGTGCCATCTCAGCTCACTGCATCCTCCACTTCCTGGGTTCAAGTGATACTTCTGCCTCAGCCTCCTGAGTACCTGGGACTACAGGCACCTGCCACCATGCCCGGCTAATTTTTTCTGTGTTTAGTAGAGGCGGGGTTTCACCATGTTGGCCACTCCTGACCTCAGGTGATCCACCCACCTCGGCCTCCCAAAGTGCTGGGATTACAGGCATGAACCACAGTGCCTGGCCAGAGTTGGGGCTCTTATACATGGATCTTGCCCATTGTTGAGACTGTGACTCCTGTACTTCGACCAAACTGATAGGAGATGTTAACTCTCATACCTGAGGGCAGGACTAGTATGGGACTGTGAAACTTACTTCTGACCATTTTTGAGAGTGTGATTGAGAAATATGGCTTTGCCCAGCCTATGAGTGTTTTGCATCTCTTATCTAGGCCCAGAGGACAGTTGAAATTGTGACATACATTCGCCAAGCACCTAAGCAACGTATAACACCTTTTTGGGAATGCGACAGAGGGCACTTTTACATATCTCTGGGACCAGCGCCCAGCCGATGTAAAATCTTGGCCTGAAACACGGCTACAAAGAGCATTATGGCTTTTATCTAGCTCTGTCATGTAAGTGATGTCATTTCTTTCTACTGCCTTGGTCCTGCACTTATGGTGCCTAGTGACACATAACAGGATACTGCACCCAGGTGATGTGACTCATTTTTGGGTGGAGTTCTGCCAATAGAAAGATTTGTAACATATCACTTAGCTCAGCACCTAGGTGATGTTTTTTCTCTCTTGCCTGAGCCCTGACCACCAGAGAGATTGTAACATATTGCTGAACTCAGCACAAAGGTGAGGTCATTCTCCTGCATTTTCCTGCCCATAGGGACAGTTGTGACATATATCCAGGCGAATTGCCTAGGAGCAGTTTTTCTCCTCTCCTTCCTACGCCTGCCTTGTCCACAGAAGGAATTTAGATATATCACTGAAATCAGCATCCAGGCGATGTGAATCTTCTTCCAGAGTCCTCCCCACAAGAAGGATTGTGACATTTCACTGGACCAGCACCGACTCTGATGATGTGACTTTCCTTTCTTCTCCCTGCCCACAGGTGATATTGTGCCATATACTTGAGAGAAGATAAAAAAATTATAACAACAACTCCTGTACCTAGAGCCAGAACATTTGCAGGATGGTGACTCTCATCCCTGAACCTTTCCACAGGTGTTGTTGTGACATACACCTTTGCCAAGCTCCTGAGTGATTTAATAATCCTGCCTATTTATAGCCCAGAGATAACAGTTTGATATATACATTGGCCAAAAACCTTGGTGATTTGACTTCCCTGTCTTAGCAGTGTCCTCAGAAGGGATCGTAACAAATCTCTGGACCCATCATCTAGGGTATTTGACTTTTCTCTCCTGCATGAACCCTGCTTCCAGTGAAGAGTGTAGCATTTCTAAGCACTGCATTTAAATGACATGACCCTCTTGCCTGGGCCCTTTCAATAGGAGGCATTGTTACATTTCTCTGGGCCCATCATTTAGGTTATATGACTCTCCTCTCCTGTGTGGACACTCTCCAGCAAGGACATTATGCCAACGACCTGGGCCTATGACCAAATTTTGTGGCTTTTCTGTTATGGCCCTTCCTGCAAATAAAATATTGGAACATTTTTGGCTCATGGTTTAGGTGATGTGGTTTTTCTGCCCATTTAATAACCACAGAGAGCATGGTAGCATATACCTAGGCGCAACTAACGGCCATGATAGTGACTGTCATATGTGAACCCAGCCAATAGGAGAAATTTTGACTTTTATAACTAGGTTTAGGAACATAAGTGATGTCAATGATCTCTTCCCGGTAAAAATGTCACAGAAGACTATAACACTCACACATGTTTTGTTACACCCTTGTGTTGTATAAAGAATGCCATAACAGGGCCTAGCACACCGAGAAAATTGTCAGTCTCATATGCAAACCCAGCTGACAGCAAGAACTTTCACCATCATAGACGGATGAAGGCAACTCTTCTACATGAAAATAGGGCATGTGTGGTATTGTAAATCTAATTTCTAGAATTTTATTCCATCATGACTCTGATACAAATCTTTGTCATGCACCATTGTGATTTCATTCTTAAGACTGGTTGAAGCCTACATATAAAATTTTGAGATCTCCCAGGGCCAACCTTGAAGTGGTTTGACTCTTCTCCCTGGGCCCTGCTCTCAGTAAGAATTTTGACATCACTGGATGCAGTAACCAGGTAATGTTATATTCTTGACTGCACCATGACACAGACATCATTGTGACATATTACTGTGTCCGTCACTTAAAAGATGTAACTCTCCTCTCTGGAATGGGCACTGCACATAGGATAGGATAGTCACATATTCATAGGCCAGGCACACAGGTGATGATACTTTTTTTTTTTGCCAGGGCCATGCCCAAAAGAAGGCATTTTGACATATCAAAGGGCCTATCATGCAGGTAATATGACTCTTCTGCTTGGGATCTGCCCACCTGCATAGTGACACATTGCTAGGCCAGACACAAAGGTGATGGTACTGTTCAGCCAGGGACAGGCTTTAAGAAAAGTTTTATGGCTGGGCATGGTGGCTCACACCTGTAATCCCAGCACTTTGGGAGGCCGAGGCGGGTGGATCACGAGGTGAGGAGATCGAGACCATCCTGGCTAACACGGTGAAACCCCATTTCTACTAAAAATACAAAAAAATAAGGCAGGTGCCATGGCAGGTGCCTGAAGTCCCAGCTACTTGGGAGGCTGAGGTGGGAGAATGGCGTGAACCCAGGAGTCGGAGCTTGCAGTGAGCCGAGATCGTGCCACTGCACTCCAGTCTGGGCAACAGAGCGAGGCTCCATCTCAAAAAAAAAAGAAAAAAGGAAGAAAGAAAAGAAAAGCTTTGTGACATATCTCTATGCCTATCACCTAGGTGATGTGACTTCCTGCTTGACCCTGCCCACATGGAGCATTGTGACATATGTGTGGAACCTGCACTTAGGTGATGTAACTCTCTTGACTGGGTCCTTTTCTAAGGGGGGCTTGTGAATATCTCAGGACCCAGGACCATGTGATATGGTATTCAGCCTTGTTTTTTCCCACATATTAAAGTGTGACATATACCTAAAGAAGCACCTAGGTGATATGATTCTCTTTTTCTGCCTGATCCCTGCCTACTGGTGACATTCGGCCATATCTCTGAGCACATAACCTATATGATGTGACTCTCTTATTCTGTCTGCGCTTTGACAATAAGAAGACTGTGAAATGTTAATGAGCCCAGCACTTAGGTAACGTAAGTCTTGTCTGGTTGCTGAACAACCCCCACAAACAAGACTTTTGCTGTATTTCAGGGCCCAACACCTGGATGATGTTACTCTTCTGCCTAGGTCATGCGTAAAGAGGGAATTAGGGCATATTGCTTGGCCCAGTCCCGTAATGATATGACTCTCCTGCTTGTGCCAGAGCCACAGAAGGTATTTTGATATATCTTGTTCCCTTTCTGTACGTGTTTTGGCTCTCATAACTTTGCTGGTATTCTTCCACGTGTTGTTGTAGCATATTGCTGGTTCCAGCCCCCAGTTAATGTGACCCTCTTTCCTAGGCCCTGCCTAGGTAGAGTATTGTGACATATTGCTTGGAACAGCACCTAAGTGATGTTAACCTTCTGCCTAGATTTTGCCCACAAATGGGGTTATGACAGATACCTTGATTCAGTTCAAAAACATGATGATCAAGCTTATATCGGGATTCAGCCAACAGGAGATATTTTGCCTTGCATTGCTAGGTTTACATCAATAAGTTAGTCCCTTCATTGCATATTTATACAGAGCTCAGAGAAACTTACAACACTGATTCATATCATAAAACCTTCCTGGGTGGTACAGAGATATTTATGACGGATCCCAACAAAAAATTGAGATTGTGAATCTCCACTACACATTCAAATGCAAGTAAAAGTTGTTATCTTCTCACATTTACAAATCTCATTGTTAAGGTCCTGAGTCTAACAAGTGAATACAGGACCAAGTTGGAGTTGTGATTTTCAAAAGCTAATCTTGTCACGGGTGGGATGGTGACTCATACATATCTGGTCCCAGGTCACAGGCTTAAAAACAGTCTCATCTCTGAAGCCAGCCTAGAGAAGAGATGTTGAGAGTCATACCTTGGTTTAGGGCAATATGTAAGATCATGAGTTCATATAAGCATGTGGGCCTCAGAGAGGTTTTCAACTCTCAGGCATGTTGTATAGTGTTCTCAGATATTGCAGAGAATGTCATACAAGGGTCAGCACACACATGAGATTGTGACTGTCATATAAACAACTAGCTAACCATTAATTGTGTCACCGTTAAAGGTGAAGAGATTGTGTCATATCACTTGGCGTCATACCCCAGTGTTGAGACATTTTTGTTTAAATTCCTTTCCAAAAGGGCATTGTCACATATCACTGGGTCAGAATAATGATAATGGCCTTGAAAACAGGGGATATTTTCACACACCCCCAAGCCTATTGGCCAGGTGATATGTCTCTCCTGCTAGTGCATTGCCCACAGGGGACATTGTGATATATCACTAGATACAGCATCTAGGTAATACTCCTGCCTGGAACCTGTCCACCAAATAAATTGTGACATACAACTGAGTGCAAAACCTAGGTGACATGACTCTCCTATTTGTCCTGGACTCTGCCAAGACAGGGAATTTCTACATATTGCTGAGCCCAGCACCCAGGTGTTGTGATTCTTTTTTTACTTTTATTTTTCATCAAATCTGTCTACATTGGGCATGGTGACATATTACCTGAGGGTCTACCCAGGTGATGTGGCTCTTCAGCCTGATTTCTGCTCACATGTTAGATTGTGACATACAACTAGGAAAGCACCTAGGTATATGACTCTCCTTTTCAGCCCATGCCCTGCCCTACTGGGACAGTGGGATCTATCTCTGAGCCCAAGACCTAAGTGAAGTGACTCTCTTCTTCAGTCTGGTCTTTGCAGTGACGGCATTGTGACATATTGCTGAGCCCAGCACTCAGATTTATTGACAGCTATTTCTCTTGAACCATGCAAACAAACAGAAATGTTGACCTATTGCAGGGCTCAGCACACATATAATGTTACTCTTTTGCCTGGATTTTGCGTACACGGAGAATTATGGCATATACTAATATATAATAATAGCACACTAAAAATGTGACTGTCATGCTTTCCTGCAGCTACAGAAGGCATTTTGACATATACTGAGCTTATTCTGTAGATGTCTTGGCTCTGATTTTTTGCCTGTTCTTTTTCTACATATGGGATTGTGTCATATTGCTGTGTCCAGTACCCAGTTAATATGACTTAATTCCTATACGCTGCCTAGAGATGGCATTGTGGCATGATGCTTGGCACAGCACAGTGATGTTACACCCCTGCCTAGTTTTGGCCCACAAATAGGATTATGACATATACCTTACTTCAGTTCACAGGCATGATGGTCTAAATTACACTGGGAATCAGCCAAAGGAGATATTTTGCCTTTTATCACTAGAACAAGGGAAATAGGTGAGGTTGTGGGTTGCATATTTGTACCAAACTCAAAGACCTTTACAACACTAACTCATAATGTATAAATGTGTGGAGTACAGAGAGTTTCATGACAGGGAGTAGCAAAAATTCAGATTGGGACTCTCGATTACACAACCAAGTAAAAGCAAACGTTGTCACTATTCCATATGTCCAAACCTCACTGTTAAGGTCTTGAGTCTAACAAGTGAATACAGTACAACATCAGAATTGTGACCTTCATATGTGGATCTGGCCACGGGTGGGATGGTGACTCATTTCTGGATCCAGCTTACAGGCATAATAAACTGTCTCATCCCTGAACCCAAACTGCAGAAGAGATGTTGACTATTATACCTGAGTTTAGGGTAATATGTAAGATCATGAATCCATACAAACATGTAGGCCTCAGAGTGGTTTGCAACTCTCACGCATGCTGTATAAAGCCTTCAAATGTCACAGAGTGTCAATCAACAGCCCAGGAAACACATGAAATTGTTATATTCATGTAGACAGTCAGTTCACAGTTAATGGTGTCACCCTCAAAGGCAACAAAATTTGGTATATTACTAGGCCATGTACCCACCTGTTGAGACATTTTGGCATAAATTCTTTCCCACAGGTGCACTGTGACGTATCACTGGGTTCATATCATTGTAATGTGACTCTTCTGTCTGGACCCTGCCAACAGGGGATATTATCACATATCTCTGGACCTATAAGTAGGGGAATTTTTCTCTCCTGCATGTTCCCTGCCCCCAGAAGGCATTGGAAAATATTAACTTAACATCTGGGTCACGTGATTCTACTCTCCTGCCTGGGTGTGGCTCACCAAAGAAGTTGTGACATAGCACTGATTGCAAAATCTATGTGATGTGGCTTTCCTTCATATTCTAGACTCTTCCAAGCCAGCAGATTATTACAGTTTGCAAAGCCCAGCACTGAGGTAGAGTAGAGTGACACTCCTCTTTTTCTTTTTTTCCTGGCAATAGTGTGCTTGGTGACATAATCTTTGAGGCTGTCACATCACCAAGATTATATTGTATCACTGGACCAGCATAAAGCTGACACTTCTGACTATGCCCAGCCTTCAAATAATACTACACTGTATAATTGGCTCAACACCCAGGTAATGTGACTTTCCTTTCTTGTCCCTGCTCACAGGCCAAGTTTTGACATATATCTGGGTTAAGCACACATGCAGAATAATAACTCTCATACCTGGACCCAGCCAGTAGAGATAATTGACTCTCATAGGCAGTCTCACGACAATGGGTTATGTCCTGAGTTTTTCAACTGTATAAAGTTCACAAAGGATTATAACACTCGGGTATATCATATACAGCCTTAATTGTACAATGAGTGTCATAAGAGAGGCCAGAAATGAAGTGAGAATGGGACTTTTAAATGCACACCCAGCTGACATGATTGTCATTCTCACACATGAACAGGGCGTAGGAATGAGATACTAATCTCACACATAAAAAAACAGTCAAATGTTTAAATAATTACTCTTACACATAGATCTGATTCACAGGTGGTTTGGTAAAGTTTGAACCATGATTCAGCACACCTGTGGTGTTGTGTCTTCCCTACTGGAACACAGTCTTCAAGGGGGATTGGGGCTCCTATACATGAATCTTGACCATTGTTGAGATTGTGACTCCTCTACTAAGATCTACCTCATAGAAAGAGTTGGCTCAGGTACAGGAAACTAGGTGTTGTGTGGCATGTGAAACTTATTTCCAAGCATATCTGAGAGTGTGATTTGGACAGGTAACCATGTCCAGCACATGAATAATCTGACTCTCTTTTCTAGGCCCAGAACTCGGATGAAATAGTGCCCTATGTTGAACAAGCACCTAAGAAATATGTAATACCTTCTTTGGCCTTGTCTGCAAAGGGCACTTTCATATATCACTGGGACCATCACCCAGGTGATGTGAATTATCTGCCTAAAACCTGCCTACAAGAGGAATTGTGTTTTATATCTACATCCACCATGAATTGAAGTGACTCCCTTCTACTGCCTTGGCCCTGCCCTTACAGTGCATTTTGACACATAAGCAGAAACTGTGTCCAGGAGATCATTGTCCTTTTTGCGTTCTGCCAACTGGAACATGGTAACATATCACTTAGCTCAGAATGTAGGTGATGTTTCCTCGCATTGTCCTCGCCCTGACCACAGGGAGATTGTGACATATTTCTGGGTCCAGCACCCTTGTGAGGTCACTCTCCAGCCTTGGTAATGCACATAAGAAGCATTGTGACAAATAGCTAGGCCAATTGCCCAAGTGAAGTGAGTGTCCTCTCTAGCAAAAATCCTGCCCAGAGAAGAGGTTTTGATATTTCACTGACACCAGCATCCAGGTGATTTGACTCTTCTGCCAGGGTCCTGTCCACAAGGTAGACTGTGACTTCTCACTGAATCCACACCCATGTAGCTGATGAGATTTTCTTCTCTTCTCTCTGGCCACTGCCGATATTGTGCCTTATACAAGAGACCATAAATAAAAGCCTAATAACAACACATATATCTGGAGCCAGGACATGTGCAGCATGGTGACTCTTAGTCTTAAAGCGATACACAAGTGTAACTGTGACATATACCTTTACCCAGCTCCTTAGTGATTTAATAATTCTGCATAGGTATAGCATCAAAATGAGATTTTGACAAATCCTTGGTATAAGCATCTTCATGATTTGACTGTGTTATCTTAATAATATCCACAGGCGTGACTGTAACGTATTTCTGGCCCATCACATAGGTTACATGACTGTTCTCTCCCACCTGTACATGATTTTCTTTGGTAACTGTATCATTTCTAAACACTGTATCCAAATGATATGACTCTCTTGCCTGGGCCCTGTCAAGAGGAGGCATAGTGACATATTTTGGGTTCCATCATTTACCTGATATGGCAGCTCTCCTCTCCTGCTTGGACACTGCCAATAAGGGACACTGTGCCACCAAGCTGGATCTAGCACACAATTTATGTGGCATTTCTACAGGATCCTGCCTACAAAGAGAATATTGGAATATTTCTGGCCAAGAATTTAGGTGATGTGATTGTTCTGCCTGCTTCATAACCACAGAGAGTAATATTTGTACACAGAGAGTTGCATATTTGTACAAAGTCCAAAGATTACAACACTAACTTATATTGTATAAACTCATTGGTGGTAAAAACTTTCATAACAGGGCCCAGTAGAAAGTTCAGATTTGGAGTACTGATTATACACCCCAGTAAAATTAAAAGTTGTCACCATCCTACATATACAATGCCCACTGTGGAATACGGCACAAAGTTGCAATTGTGAATTTATATGTGGATCTGTCTGGAGGTGGGATAATAATGGGTCTTCTCCTTTAACCCTACATATAAAAGAGATGCTGACTATCAAATCTGAATTGAGGGCAATGTGTAAAATTGTGAACCCATATGAGCATGCAGGTCGCTGAGAGGTTTACAACTCTCATGCAGGTTTTATAAAGCCCTCGGATGTAAAGAGTGTCATACATTGGCCCAGCATACATGTGAGATTGTGATTCTAATATTCAACCTTAGCTGAAAGTTAAAGGTGTCACCCTAAAAGATGAGGAGAGTGTGTCTTATCACTAGGCCTGGTAACCAAGTGTTGAGAATTAGGGCTTAAATTTTGCCCATAGGTGCATTGTGAATTATCACTGGGTCAGAATCCTAATAATGTGAAACTTCTTCTTGGACCCAGCCAACAGGGGATATTATCACGTATCTCTGGGCCTATCAGCTAGGTGATGTGGTGTCTCTCATGCCAGTGCCCTGCCACAGTGGACACTGGGACATATCACTATAGTATCTAGGTAATGTGACTCTCCACTCCTGCCTGGATTCTGGCCACTGAAGAAATTTTGACATACCACTGAGTGCAAAACCTAGGTGATGTGACTCTCTTCTTTGTCTTGGACTCTGCCAGTGAGCTTTGTCTTGAACTCTGCTAATGAGGAAATAATAAAATATTGCTGAGCCCATCACCTAGGGGCGTGACAATCCTCTATTTTTCAATCCAGGGTTTAGTGGTCATGATAATATTATCTGAGACTGTATCCAGGTGATATGACTGTTCTGACTGGGTCCTGACTAAAAAGGAAATTATAACGTATCCCTTGCTCAGCAACCAGATAATGTAACTCTTCTCTCTTGTCTCTGTCCAAAGGTGAAATTGTGATGTATACCTGGATTCAGCTCATATAATAACTGGATTCAGCACAATAATAACTCTCATACCTAGACCTAGCCAGTGGGAGATATTTGACTTTCACAGGCAGTCTTAAGGCCATGGGTAAAGTCCTAGATCTCCCACCTGTAATAATTTACGGGAAATTATACTACTCAGGCATATCATATAAAGCCTGAATGTTACAAAGAGTTTCATAACAGGTACCTGCAACCAGGTTCCATTGTGACTCTTGGATGCATAGACAACTGACATGATTTTCATCTTCACACATGTACAGAGCCTACAAATGAGGTAGTAAATCTCACACACATAAGCAGTTGAAGCTTGAAATTGTTACTCTCATACACGAATCTGATCCATAGGTGATTTGGTGATGTTTGAACTATGATTTAGTCAAACTGTGGTACTTTGACTTTCCTACTGGAACACAATCTTCAAGTGGGATTGAGACTCTTCTATGTGGATCTTTCCTATTTTTGAGATTGTGACACCTGTACTTCAACCCAACTTATAGGAGGTGTTGACTCTCATACCCAAATCCAGGACTTGTGTGGGACTGTGAAACTTATTTCTGAACATTTTTGAGTGTGTAACTGAGAAGTATAACTTTGCACAGAATCTGAGTGTTTTGACTCTCCTTTCTAGGCCCAGAGCACAGTTGAAATTGTGACTTACATGCACCAAGCACCTAAGCAATAAGTAACATCTTTTTTGGTAATGAAACATAGGGCACTTTTACATATCACTGAGATCAGCACTTGGCTGATGTGAAATCTTGGCCTGAGGCCTGCCTACAGAGAGCACTGTGGTTTTTATATAAGTTGATTACTTAAGTGACATGACTTCCTTCTACTGTCTTGGCCCTGCACTTCTGGTGGTGGATTGTGACACGTAACTAGGTACTGCACCCAGGTGATGTGACTTTTTTGGAGAATGAAGTTTCTGCCAGTAGGAAGCTTTGTAACGTATTACTTGGCTCAGCGACTAGGTGATATTTCTTTTCTCTTGCCTGTGCCCTGACCGCCAGAGAGATTGTGACATGTTGCTGAACCTAGCACCAAAGCGAGGGTTACTCCCCTGCCTTGATCCTACACATAGGGGCCATTGTGACGTATATTCAGGCCAATTGCCTAAGTGAAGTTTGTCTTCTCTCCTGCCTAAGTTCTGCTCACAGGGGGGATCTTATATGTCACTGAAACCAGCATCCGGATGATGTGACTCTTCTATCAGAGTCCTAGCCACAAGGACAATTGAGACATTTCACTGGACCAGCATCCACTAAGGTGATGGAACTTTCCTTTTTCTCTCTGCCCACAGGTGATATTGTTCCATTTACCTGAGACCAGATAAAAAGCCTAATGATGACGCTTGTCCCCAGAGCCAGGACACGTGCAGGACAGGATCATTACTCTCATCCCTGCCCCAGATTTTCACAGGTACTATTGTGACATACACCTTTACCCAGCTCCTGAGTGATTTAATAATCCTGCCTTGTTATAGCCCGCAGATGACATTTGGACCTACACCTTTCCCAGGAACCTTTGTGATTTTACTCTTGTGTCCTAACAGGTTCTCGGAAGTGATCATAACATATCTCTGGAGCCATTGTCTAGGTTACATGACTCTCCTCTTCTGCATGAACCCTGCTTCCAGTGAAGAGTAGCATTTCTAAGCACTGCACCCAAATGACATGAGTCTCTTGTCTGGGCTTTTTAAAGGGGGGGCTTTGTGATATCTCTCTGGGCCCTTCATTTAGGTGATATGACTCTCCTCTACTGCCTGGACACACTCCACAAAGGGCATTATGCCATAGAGCTGAGTCTAGCACCTAAGTTTTGTCATATTTCTGTTAGGGCCCTCTCTACAAAATAAAGTTGGGGTATTTCTGGCTTAGGATTTAGGTGATGTCGTTTTCTGCCTGTTTAATTACCACAGATGAGATGGCGCCGTATCTGTAGACACATCTAAAATACATGATAAGGACTCTCATATGTGAACCCAGCCAATAGGAAACATTTTGACTCTTATAACTAGGCTTAGGGAGATAAGTGATATCCAGCATCTCCTTCTGGTAAAAAGGTCACAGAAGATTACAACATTCACACATATTTTATAACATCCTTGTGTCGTATAGAGAGAGTCATAACAGGGCCTAGCACATGGAGAAAATTGGGATTCTCATATGTACATTCAGCTGACAGTAACGGCTTTCACCATTACAGATGATGAAGGCAATTGTCCCACATAAAAATAGAACACGCCTGATATTGTAAATCTAATCCCTAGAATTTTATTCCATCATGACTGATATAAATCTTTGCCAAGTGCCTGTGTGAGTTCACCCTTCAGATTGGTTCCAGCCTACCTATGGGATTTTGGTATCTACCTAAGCCAACCTTGAAGTGACGTGACTCTTTTGCCTGGGCCCTCCACTCAGAATTATAACATCATTGGATCCAGCACACAGGTGACGTTACATTCTTGCTTGCGCCATGCTCGCAGATATCATTGTGACATATTGCAGTGTCCATCAGTTAGAAGATGTCACTCTCCTCTCTGGAAAGGGCCTTGAACACTGGGCAAAATAGTGACCTGTTTCTAGGCCAGGCACACAGGTGATGATGCTCTTTTCCCAGGGCTATGCCCAAAAAAGGGCATTTGACATATCACAGGACCTATCGTGTAGGTGATACGGCTCTTCTGCTTGAAACTTGCCCAATTGAATAGTGACATACTGCTAGGCCAGGCACAATGGTGATGGAACTCTTTTGCCAGGGCCATGCTTTCAAAAATGCCTTGTCATATATACCTGGTCCTATCACCAAGGTGATGTGACTTCCTGCTTGGTCCTGCCCACATGAAGTATTGAGACATAAGCGTGGAATCTGCACCTAGGTGACATAACTCTCTTGCCTGGGTCCTTTTCTAAGAGGGACTTGTGAATACCTCAGTACCCAGGACCACATGATGTGGCTCTTCAACCTGGTTTTCACCCACATATTAAATTGTGACATATAGCTAAAGAAGCATCTAGGTAATATGACTCTTCTTCTGTCTGAACCCAGCCTACTGGTGATATTGGGCCATATTTCTAAGCCTGTGACCTAAGTGATGTGACTCTATTTTTGTCTAGGGCTTTACAATGGTAAGATTATGAGATATTGATGAGCTCAGCATTTAGGTAATGTGACTCTCATCTTGTAACTGAACAACGCCCAGGAACAGATCTTTTGCCGTATTTCAGGGCCCAGTACCCAGATGAAGCTGCTCTTCTGCCTAGGTTGTGCATAAAGAGAAAATTGTGGCATATTTCTTGGCCTAGAACCCTAATGATGTGACTCTCCTGCTTGTGCCAGGACCGCAGAAGGTATTTCGACATATCTTTGGCCCATTTTCTAGGTGTTTTCACTCTTACCACTTTGCTGAATTTCTTCCACGTGTGGTTGTATTATATTGCTGACTCCAGCCTGCAGTTAATGTGGCCCTCTTTCCTAGGTGCTGCTTACAGAGGGCATCATGACATATTGCTTGACAAAGAACCTAAGTGATGTTAATATTCTGCATAGGTTGCTAAAAAATGGGAATGTGAGAAATACCTTGCTTCAGTCCAAAGGTATGATGATCAAGCTTATGTTGGGATTCAGCCAATAGGAGAGATTTTTCCTCTCACCACCAGGTTTAGGTCAAAGAGTCAGGTTACTCATTGCACATTTCTACAAAGCTCACAGTAGTTTACAACACTAACTCATGTAATAAAAATTTCCTGGGTGATACAAAGGGTTTCTTAACAGTGCCCAGCAAACAGTTAAGATTATGATTCTTGACTGCACACTCAGATGAAAGTAAGTTTTTACCATCCTACATCTACAAAGCCCATTGTTGAGATCCTGAGTCTAAGCAAATACACCACAAAGATGGAGTTGTGACTTTCATAAATGAATATGGCCGCAGGTGGGATGGTGACTCATTTTTGGAGCCAACTCTCAGTCATAATAATGATCTCATCCCTAACACCAGTCTATAGGAGAGATGCTGACTGTCATACCTGGGTTTAGGGCAATATGCATAATCATAATTCTGTAAATGCCTGTAGGCCTCAGAGAGGATTGCAACTCTCATGCATGTTGCATAACGTTCTCAGGTATTATAGAGAGTGTCATACAATGGCAAGCACACACATGAGATTGTGACTCTCTTATACACAGATAGCTAACATTTAATGGTGTCACCCTTAAAGATGAGGAGATTTTGTCATATATCTTGCCCTACTAGCTGGTGTTGAGAACTTTTAGTTTAAATTTCATTCCATTAGGGCATTGTTACATATCACTGGGTCAGAATCAAAATAATGTGACTCTTCTTCCAGGGCCCTGCAAACAGAGGATATTTTCCCATATCTCCAGGCCTATTGGCTATGTAATATGTCTCTCCTGCCAGTACTTTGCCCAGAGGAGACACTGACATATTGCTGGATTTAGAATCTAGGAAATTTGACCCATCTTTACTGCCTGGATCCTCCTCACTGAAAAAATTGTCATATACCATTGAGTGCAGAGCCTAGGTGACAGAAGTCCCCTTTTTTTCCTGGACTCTGTCAAGAGAGGGAATTGTTACATATTGGTGAGCAGAGCACCCACGTGGTGTCATTATCTAATTTTATAAGAAACCTATCTATGCTGGGGATGGTGACATATTACTTGCAGTTGTACCCAGGTGATGTGGCTCTTCTGCCTGGTTTCTGCCCGTGGGTAAGGTTTTTGGCATATAACTAGGGAAACATTTAGGTGATATGAGTCTCCCTTTCTGCCTGGGCCCTGTTCACTGGGTACACTGGACTATATCTCTGAGCCCATGAACTAAGGGAAGTGACTCTCTTTTTCTGCTGGGTCTTTACAATGGAGAGATTGTGAAATATTGCTCAACCTAGCAATCAGGTTATTTGATTCACCTTTTTTTTTTTTAATCTCAAATCATGCCCACTAACAGAAATTTTGGCCTATTGCAGGGCCCAGCACCCAGATAATGTTACGCCTTTACGTGGGTCCTGTATGTAGAGAATATTATAACATACTGCTGGGCCCAGCATCCTGAAAATATAAAACTCATGACTTTGCTGGAGGCAGAGAAGGTATTTTCACAGATCCTGGGCCCATTATGTAGGTGTTTTGGCTCTTATCTTTTTGCTGTTTTTTTTTTTTTTTTTTTCACTTTTGTTTTTGTTTGTTTCCACATAATGGATTGTTTCATATTGCTGAGTCCAGAACTCAGTTAACATGACTCTAATTCCTCTATGTTACCTAGAGAGGGCACTGTGGCATGTTGCTTGGCACAACACCTAAGTGATGTTACCCTCGGGCCTACTTTTTTTGCTCACAAATGGGACTATGACTTCAGTTCACAGGCATGATGGTCAAATTTATACTGAGATTCAGCCAATAGGAGATATTTTACCTTTCATTGCTAGGCTTTGGGCAATACATAAAGTCTGGGTTGCATATTTGTACCAAGCTCACAGAGCTTTACAACACTAACTCATAATGTATGAACTTCTTTGTTGGTATAGAGAGTTTGGTGATAGGGACCAGTGAAGAGTTCAGTTTGAGATTCTTGATTACACACCCAGGTAAAAGCAAGTGCTGTCATCATTCTACATGTCCAAAGGCCATTGTTAAGAACCTGAGTTTTACAAATGAATGCAGTGCAAAGTTGGAATTGTGACTTTCGTATGTGGATCTGGCCACAGGTGGGATTGTGACTTATTTCTAGATCCAGCTCACAGGCATAAAAATGAGTCTCATTTCTAACCCAGCCTATAGAGGAGATGCTGACTATTATACCTGGGTTTAGGGGAATATGTAAGGTCATGAATCCATGTGAATATGTAGGCCTTAGAGTGGTTTGAAACTCTCATGCGTGATGTATAAAGCTTTTGAAAATTGTTGAGAGTCATGCAACGGCCCAGGATACTAGTGAAATTGTTACTCTCATATACACACCCAGCTCAGAGTTTATAATGTCACTCTCAAAGACAAGGGGATTTGGCCTATTAATAGGCATAGTGCTTAGGTGTTGAGACTATTTGGCTTAAATTCCTTTCCTTGGGTGGATTGTAACATATCACTGTGTTAGAATCATAATGTGTCTCTTCTGTCTGGACCCTGCCAAAAGGGGATATTATCACATATCTATGGGTCTATAAGCTAGAGGATTTGTCTCTTCTGACAGTGTCCTGCACCCAGAAGACATTGTGAAATATTGTTTGGCTTAACATCTAGGTAATGTGATTCTCACCTCCTGCCTGAGCCTTGCTCAGCAAACAAATTGTGACATACCGCTGATTGAAAAACCTACATGATGTGACTCTCCTTCATATTCTAGACTCTACCAAGAGAGAGGGTTGTTACATATTGCGGAGTCCAGCACATAGGTGGACTGACTGTCCTCTCTTTTTTCTTCCCTGTCCATAGTGGGCTTGCTGACATATTATGTGAAACTGTACCCGGGTGAAGTGACTCTTCTGACTAGGCCCAGCATACAAATGAGATTATGCTGTATCACTGGCTCAGTGTCGAGGTGAGTTGACTCCCTTTCCTTGTCTCTGCTTACAGGTGAAATTTTGACACGTACCTGGGTTAAGCACGCATGGACAAAAATAACTCTCATACCTGGGCCCAGCCTGTAGGAATATTTTGACTCTCATAGCCAGTCTCACGGCCATGGGTAAAGCCCTGTGTTTTTCACTTGTATAAAAGTCACGAAGGATTATAATACTCAGGTATATCATATAAAGCATTAATGGTGCAAAGAGTGTCATAACAGAGACCAGCAACCAGGTAAGAATATGACTCTTGTATGCACACTTCACTGAAATGATTGTCATTCTCGCATATTAACAGGGTCTAGGAATGAGGGACTAAATCTCACACATAAAAAGCAGTCGATGTTTGAAATAATTACTCACCTACATGGACCTGATCCACAGGTGGTTTGTTAACATTTGAACCAGGATTCAGCACACCTGTGGTGCCGTGACTCCCCTCCTGGACCACAATGTTCAAGGGGGATTGCGGCTCTTATACATGAATCTTGCCCATTGTTGAGATTTTGACTCCTCCATTTTGATCCAACTTACAGAAAGAATTGACTCACATACACAAAACCAGGACTTGTGTGGGATGTGAAACTTATTTCCGAACATATATGAGAGTGTCATATTGGGATAGGTCACTTTGTCCAGCAAATGAATAATTTGACTCATTTTCTAGGCCCAGATCACAGAAGTAATTGTGCCATATGTGGAACAAGCAGCTAAGCAATAGATAACATCCATCGTGGCTCTGCCTTCAAAGGGAAATTTTACATATGTCACTGGGACCATCACCCAGATGATGTGAGTTATCTGCCTGAAACCTTTCTACAAAAGGAATTTTGTTATATATCTAGGTCCATCCTGTAAGTGATGTGACTCTCTTCTACTTCCTTGGCCATGCACTTACAGGGCATTGTGACAAAGAACTGGGTACTGCATTCAAGTGATGTGATTCTTCTTTTTGGGTTCTGCCAACAGGAAGCATTGAACATATCACTTGGCTCAGTACCTAGGTGATGTTTCTTCACTTTCGCCTTGGCCCAGACCACAGGCAGATTGTGACATATTTCCTGGGACAAACACCTATGTGAGGCCACTCTACAGTTTGGTTACTGCACGGAATAGACATTGTGGCAAACATCTAGGCCAACTGCCTTTGTGAAGTGAGTCTCCTCTCTTGCCAAAGCCCTGCCCAGAAGAGAGGCTTTTGATATGTCACTGAAATCCAGGTGCTGTGGCTCTTCCACCAGGTTCCTACCCACAAGGTGAATAGTGATGTCTTAGTGGCCCAGACCCACATAGGTGATGGGACTTTCTTGTGTTCTCTCTGGCCACAGGTGATATTCTGCCATGTACCAGAGACCAAAACAAAAGCCTAGTAACAACTCATATGACTAGAGCATACGACTTGTGCAGGATGGTGACTCTTAGACTTAAGCCTTTCCACAAGTCTGATTGTGACATATACCTTTGCTCAACTCCTGAGTGATTTAATAATTCTGCCTAGGTATAGCAAATGAGATTTTGACAGATACATTGGTCAAGCACCTTGGTGATCTGGCTGATGTATCTTGAAATGTCCTCAGGGGCTCTTGTAACATATTTCTGTGCCCTTCATCTAGGTTACGTGACTCTTCTCTCCTGCCTGTACCCTGCTTCTTTGGTGGATTGTAGTATTTATAATCCCTGCATCCAAATGATATGACACTCTTGCCTGGGACCTGTCAACAGGAAGAATTGTGACAAAATTTTGGGCCCATCATTTAGGTGATATTACTCTCCTCTCCTGCCTAGACACTGTCCACAAGGGATATTGAGCCATAGAGCTGGACATAGCACATAAGTTATGTGATATTTCTGAGAGGGCTCTGACTACAAAAAGAATATTGGAATATTTCTGACCCAGCATTTATGTGATATGGCTGTCAGGCCTCCTTCTTAACCACAGAGTGAATTGTAACATATACCTATGCATGGCTCACAGCCATGATAATGACTCTCATGTGTGGACTCAGCCAATAGAGGATATTTTGCATCTTATAACTCAGTTTAGGGACATGCATGATGTCCTGGATCTCCTTCTTGTACAAAGGTCACAAAATATTACAACACTCATACATATTTTACAAAGTCTTTGGGTCATACACACAAAGTCAAAGCAGGGCTCAGCACACAGATGAAATCATGAGTCTTGTTTGCACACCCAGCTGAAAGTAAGAACTCATTATCTCACATGGATAAAGGTAACTGTCACACATGAAACAGGGCATGTGTGGTAAGATGGTAAATCTCATCTTTGGAATTTTCTGACAGTGTGAGTATGATATAAATTTTTGCTAAGCACTTGTGTAATCTGAGGCTCCGGACTTGTTCCAGCTCATAGGTGGGGTTATGAAATCTACCTAGGCCAACCTCGAGGTGACATGACTTTCCTGCCTTGTCCTATCTCTCAGTAATGATTGTGACATATCACTGGACCTAGCTCCCAGGTAACGTTACATCCTTACTTGCACCCTGCCCACCAAAATTATTGTGACATATTTCTGTGTTTACCTCATAGTTGATGTGAGTCTCCTCTCTGGAATGGGCACTGCACAACAGAATGATAGTGACATAGCGCAAGGACCGGCGCACAGGCAAGGTTCCTCCTTATCCTGTGGATGCCTGGAGGAGGGCAATGTGACATATCTCTGGGTCTATCACCTACATTATGTGGCTCTCCTGCTAGGGTCCTTCCAACCTCGAAAGTGACACGCTTCTAGGCCAGGCACACAGGTGATGGTACCCTTTTCCAGGGCTATGCTTCACACAGTACATTGTGACATATCTCTGGGCCTATCACCTAAATGAAGTGACTCTCTCCCTGGGTCCTAACCAGATGAAGCATTGTGTCATAAGCAGAGACCCTTCACCTAGTATGATGTATTTCTCTTGGCTAGGTGCTGTGTTAAGAGCACTTTGTGACATATCACAGGACCCAGCACCCAAGTGATGTGGCTCTTCTGCATAGTTTCTGCCCCCATGTTAAATTGTGACATATTTTGATGGAAGCACATAGGTGATATGGCTGTCCTCATCTGCCTGAGCTCTGCCTCGTTGGAGTATTAGGACATATCTCTGAGCCCATGACCTAAGTGATGTGACTCTCTTTTCCTTCCTGGGCCTTCATAAAAGGAGGATTTTGTCACATTGCTGAGCCCAGGACTCAGGATATGTGACTCTCGGCTGTCCTCACCTGCCTGAGCTCTGCCTAGTTGGAGTATTAGGACATGTCTCTGAGCCCATGACCTAAGTGATGTGACTCTTTTTCTTCCTGGGCCTTCATAAAAGGAGGATTTTGTCACATTGCTGAGCCCAGGACTCAGGATATGTGACTCTCGGCTGTCCTCACCTGCCTGAGCTCTGCCTAGTTGGAATATTAGGACATGTCTCTGAGCCCATGACCTAAGTGATGTGACTCTGTTTTTCTTCCTGGGCCTTCATAAAAGGAAGATTTTGTTACATTGCTGAGCCCAGGACTCAGGATCTGTTTCTCTTCTCTTTCTCCTGAACCATGCCTACAAAAAAGAAATTTGACACATATTATTGCCCAGCATGCAGATCATGTTACTCTTCTGCATGGGATCTGCATAAAGAGATAATTATGGCATATTGTATATTGCTGGGCCCAGCACCCTTAAGATGTGATGCTCCTGCCTGTGCTGCTGATACCGAAAGTATTTTGACATATATTATGCCCATTATGTAGGTGTTTTGGCTCTCATAACTGGGCTGGGTTTCTTACACATGTGAAATTGTGTCGTATTTCTGGGTCCAGCACCCAGTTAACGTGACCCAATTTCCTACACCCTGCATACAGAAGGCATTGTGACATATTGCTGGGCACAGCATCTGAGTGATGTTACCCTTCTGCGTAGTGTTTTGCCCACATATGTCATTATAACATATACCCAGTTTAAGCTCACAGCCATGATGATCAAACTTATACTGGGATTCAGCCAATAGAAAATATTTGCCTTTCATTGTTAGGCTTGGGGCAATAGATAAGGTCCTGGGCTGCATATTTGTACCAAGCTCACAGAAACTTACACAACTAACTTACATTTTATAAACTCCTTTGTGGTAGAAATTTTTATAGCAGGGGCCAGCAAAAAGTTCAAATTGGGACTCTCGATTACACACCCAGGTGGAATTAAAAGTTGCCACCATCCCACATTTACAAAGCCCACAGTTGAGTCTTATACCTAAACCTTTCCGCAAGTGTAATTGTGACATATATTGTATTTCAGTTCCTGAGTGATTTAATAATTCTGCCTAGATATAGCCTACAAAAGCGATTTTGACAAATATCTTCATCAAGCACCTTGGTGATTTGACTGTGCTATCTAAAAAGTGTCCTCAGGCAAAATAGTCACATGTTTCTGGACCCATTATTTAGGGTATATGACTCTCCTCTTTGACCTGTACCCTGCTTCCTATAGTAATTGTACCTTTTCTAAACACTGCATTCAAATGACATGGCTCTCTTTTTTTGGAGAAACTCTCCTGTTGAGAGGCATTTTGACACATGCTTGAGCCCAGCTTTTAGGTCCTGTGACTCTCCTCTCCTGCCTAGACACAGCCCAAAATGAACATTGTGCAACAGAGTTGGATTTAGCACACAAGTTATGTGATATTTTGGACAAGACCCCTCCTGCAAAAAGAATACTGGAATATTTCTGGCCCAGCATTTAGGTGATGTGGCTGTTAGGCCTGATTCATAACAACAGAACAAATTATAACAAATACCTAGGCAGGGCTTGCAGGAATAATAATGACTCTTATATGTGGACTCATCCAACAGAGAATATTTTTACTCTTATAATTCAGTTTAGGGACATGCGTGATGTCCTGAATCACTTTCTTGTACAAACATCACAAAAGATTACAACACACACATTTTACAGAGTCTTTGGTTTATACAGAAAGAGTCAAAGCAGGGTTCAACTCAGGTGAAATTGTGAGTCTTGTATGCACACCCGCCTGACAGTAAGGACTGTCATCATCTCTCATGGATGAAGTCAACTGTCACACATGAAAACAGGACATGTGTGGTATTGTAAATCACATCTTTGGAATTTTCTGACAGTGTGATTGTGATATAAATCTTTGCTAAGCACCAGTGTAATTTGACTCTCCAGACTTGTTCCAGCCCATATGTGGGATTGTGATATCTACCTAGGCCAACCTCAAGGAGATGTGACTCTCCTGCCTGGGCCCTTCTCTCAGTAAGGATTGTACATATCACTGGATCTAGCATCCAGGTGATGTTCACATTCTTGCCTGTGCCACGCCAACCAAAATTATTGTGAACATATTTGTGTGTGCACCTCATAGGGATGAAACTCTGATCTCTGGAATGGGCCTTGCACAAAGGAAGGATGGTGACATATTGTGAAGCCAGGCATACAGCTGTGGGTACTTTTTGCCACAGCCATGCCCAAAGTAGGGCATTGTGACATATCTCTGCACCTATTACCTAGGTTAAGCGGCTCTCCTGCTTGGGCCCTGACAACCTGGAGAATGACATATTTCTAGGCCAGGCACACAGGTGATGATACTCTTTTGCCAAGACTATGCTTCACAGGGGACTTTGTGACCTATCTCTTGGGCCAATAAACTAGTTTATGGGACTAAATGCTTTGGCCTCACACACATAGAGCATTGTGACATGAAAGTGAAACCTGAACCAAGGTGATGTAACTCTTTCACCTTGGTTCTGAACTAATCGGGATTTGCAACATACCTTAGGACCCAGTACCCAGGTTATATGGCTCTTCTGTCTGGTTCTGCCCATGTGTTAGATTGAGACATACACCTAAAGAAGCACCAATGAGACACCACTCTCCTCTTCTGCCTGAATTCTGCCTGACTTCTGCCTACTGGGGACATTGGGACATGTTTCTAAGCCCATGACCTAAGTGATATGACTCTCTTCCCTTGCCTCAGCCTTTAAAATGCTGAAATTGTGATGTATTTCTGAGACCAGGATTTAGGTTATGTGACTATTTCCTTTTTTCTGAACCATGCCCACAAAGGGAAAATTTCACCTATTGCACTCAGATGATGTTACTCTTCTGCTGCAGTCCTGAATAATGAGGGAGTGATTGCATAATGGTAGGCCCAACACTCTAATGATGCTTCAGTCCCACCAGTGCCAGAGCCACAGAGGGCATTTTGACATATCTTCAGCCAAATCTGTAAGTGTTTTGGCTTTCATCCCTTGGTTGAGTTTCTTTTTTTAACAAGTAAAATTGTGTCATATTGCTAGGTCCAGCATCCAGATAACATGACCCTGCTTTCTGTATTCTGCCTAGAGACAGCACTGTGACATGCTGCGTGCCACAGCACCTAAGTGACATTACTCTTTTTGGTAATTTTTTGCCCACAAATGGGATTATAAAATATACCTTGCTTCAGTTTACAGGTATGATGGTCAAACTTACATTGTGATTCAGCAAATAGAAGATATTTTGCCTCTCATCGCAAGGCTTAGGGCAATAGGTAAAATCCTGGGTTGCGTATTTGAGGAAAGCTCACAGAACAATAATTAATATTGTATAAACTCCTTGGGTGGTACAGCGTTTCCTAACAAAGCCCAGCAAAAAGTTAAGATTGTGATTCTGAATTACACACACAATTGAAAGTAAAACTTGTCACCACCCCTCATTAAGAAAGCCCATTGCTGAGATACTGAGTCTAACAAGTAAAACAGTACAAAGATGGAATTGTGACTCTCATTTGTGGATTTTGCCACAGGTGCAACCATCACTCATTTTTAGACCCAGCTCACAGGCATAAAAATAAGCCTCATTCCTGAACTAAGCATAAATGAGAGATACTGACTCTCATATCTGGGTTTAAGGCAATATATAATATTCAGAGTCAAAATGAGCATGTGGACCTCAGAGTAGTTTGTGAATCTCACGCATGTTGTATAAAACTCTCAGATGTTCTAGAGGATGTCATACAATGGCCCAGCACACACGTGACAATGTGACTTACATACATATGAGTTAACAGTTAAAGGTGTCACCCTAAAAGATGAGGAGATATTGTCATATCATTGGGCCTAGTACCCAGGTGTAAAAACTGCTTTGTTTCCCATGTGTGCATTGTGACATATCGTTGGGTCAGAATCACAATAATGTGACTTTTTACTACTTGATCCTGCCAAGTAGGGATATTGTCACATATATCTGAGCCTATTTCTTGGGTGATTTGTCTATTTTGCTTCTGCTTTTTCACCAAAGAACATTGTGACATCATCGGTGATAACATCTAGGAAATGTGATTCTTCTCTCCTGCCTAGGTCCTGCCCACTAAAAGAATTGTGACATAACGCTGACTGCAAAAACTGGGTAATGCAACTCTCCTCTTTATTCTGGAGTCTGCCAAAACAAGGGATTATCACATATTGCGGAGTCCAGCACCCAGGTGATGTGAGTCTTCTCTGTTTCTCTAAGATTATAATGTATCCTGAGCTCACCATCCAGGTGATGAGACTCTCCTGCTCTGTTTCTGCCCGCAGGTAAAATTTTGTCATATACCCAGCTTCAGATACCATGCAATAATACAACTATCATACCTGGACCCAAAGAGGAGAGATATTTTGATTCTCATTGCCATTCTTATGGCCACAAGCAAAGTAATGGTTCTCATAGTGGTATAAAGTTCACACAGTATTATGACACTCCCAGCGTATCATAGAAAATGTGAGTAGTACAATGAGTGTTATAACAGGGAACAGCAAACCAATGCTATTGTGATTATTGGATTCACACCCAGCTGACGCGACTATCATTCTCTCACAAGAACAGAACCTGCAAATAAAGTACTAAATCTCACCAAAAGAGCAGTAAAAGATTGAAATTGTTCCTCTCATATGTGGATCTGACTCACAGGTGGTTTGGGGTTGCATGGTTCAGCACATCTGTGAGGCTGGGACTCTCCCCCTGGAATGCAGTTATCAAGTGGGATTGCCATCTTCTACATGGATTATGCCCATTGTTTAGATTGTGTCTCCTCTGTTTCGACCCAACTCACAGAAGGTGTTGACTTTCATACATAAAGCCAGGACTTGTGTGGGGCTGTGAAACTTACTTCAGAATATTTCCTGGTGTATGATTAGGACTTAAAAGTTAGCCCAGGTCCTGAGTAATTTGACTCTCCTTTTTAGGCCATAACCCGAGATGAAATTGTGACATATGTGGACCAAAAACCTAAGCAAAGGTGCCTGGGCCTGCCTACAAATGTCACTTTTACATATCACTGGGATGAGCAGCCAGGAGATGTGTATTATTTGCTTGATTCCTGCCTATATAAAGCATTGTGGCTTTTATCTAGGTCCATCATGTAAGTGACGTGACTCACTTCCACTGCCTTTGCCCTGTAATTATGGTGCATTGTGACACATAACTGGATAGTACACTCAGAAAATGTGACACTCCATTCTGGGTTCTACAAACAGAAAGCTTTGTAACATATCACTTGGCTTAGCACTTAGGTGATGTTTCTACTCTCCTACCTCACCCTGACCACAGGGGAGATTGTGACATATTGATAAACCCACCTCCAAGGTGAGGTCATTTTCATACTTTGGTTTTGCACCTAGTGGCCATTGTGACATATATCTAGGCCAATTGCCTAGATGTAGGTAAAGTGATTCTCCTCACCTTCTTAAGCCCTGCCCAACAGAAGAAATTTTGACATATCACTGAAACCAGCTTCCAGGTGATATGCCTCTTCTTCCAGGGTCCTGGCCACAAGAAAGATTGTGACATCTCACTGGACCAGCACCCTCACAAGTGATGTGACATTTCTGCTTGCTCTCTGTCCATAGACGATATCATGCCATATACTTGAGAGCAAACAAGAGGACTAATCATGACTGTTAGACCTGAAGCCAGGTCACATCAAAGATGGTGACTCCCATTGCTGAAACTTTCCACCAGTGTTATTGTGACATAGTCTATTTCCCATCTCTTGAGTGACTTAATCATCTTGCCTAAATGTTGCCCACAAATGAGATTTGGACATATTACTCAGCTGAGCACCTTGGCAATTTGACTCTCCTGTCTTAAGAATATCCTCAGGAAGGATTGTAACATGGCTTTGGACCCCTCGTCTAGTTGTCTTACTCTCCTCTGCTGTCTGAACCCTCCTTCCACTGGGGATTCCAGCATCTCTAATCATGCCATCCAAATGATATGACTCCATTTCCTGGTCCCTTCAACACGAGACATTGCGGCATATCTCTGGTCCTAGCATTTAGGTGATATGAGTCTCTTCTTCTGTCTGGAAACTGCCCACAGGAGCATTGTGCCATATATCTGGGTGTAACCCCCAGTTTATGCAACTTTACTGCCAGGAGTATGCCTACAAGGAGAATATTAGAACATTTCTGGCTCAGCATTTAGTGTACTTGGCTGTCGTGCCTATTTCATAAGCCACAATATAAATTGTTACATATACCTAGGTACAACTTAGAGACATGATAATGACCCTCATATGTGGACCCCGTAAATACGGTTAATTCTGAGTCTCATAACTTGCTTCAGAAACATGAGAGATTAAATCACTTTCTGGTAAAAAAGAAGACAAGGAAGGTTATAAGAGCCTCAGATGTTTTATAAACACCTTGGCCCATACAGAGAGTTTTATAACAGAACCCAAGAGAAAGGTGAAACTGTGAGTCTTATATGTGCACTCAGCTGACAGCAAGTACTGTCACCGTCTCACATATATGATGCCAACTGTCAATCATGAAAACAGGACATGTGTGGTATTATAAATCTCATCCTCAGAATTTTCTGCCAGTGTGAGTGATATAAATCTTCGCCAAGCACCTGTGTGATTTTGTTCTCCAGACTTGTTCCAGTCCACATATGTTATTGTGATACCTACCTGGGCCAAACTTTAGGTGATGTGATGCTCCTGCCTCGGCCCTGCTGTCATTAAGAATCATGACATATCACTAGATCCAGCACCCAGGTCATGTTACATTTTTGCCTAAGCCATGCATAGAGAAATCACTGGGCCATACCACTGTGTCAACAACTTAGGCAACACAACTCTCCTTATTAGAATGGGCACAGCACTCAGTGGGTGATAGTGACATGTGGCTGGGCCAGGCACAGAGGTGACAGGACTATTTTGCTAGTACCATGTCCTAAAGAGGGCATTGTGACAAATCTCTTGGCCTATCCTAGGTGATACTGCACTCCTGCTTGGGTACTGCTTACCTGGATAACAACATAATGCACAGAGGTGATGGTACTTTCTTGCTAGGGCCATGTCCTAAAGAGGTCACTGTGACAAATCTCTGGGCCTATCAGCTAGATGATGTTGCTCTCCTGCTTGGGTCCTGCTTACCTGGATAGTGGACATATTGCTAGGCTACGCACATGGGTGATGGTACTCTTTCACCAGGGCCATGACTCAAGGAGGACATTGTGACATATCTCTCGGCCAGTCCCCTAGGTGATGTGACTCCCTGCTTCTGTCTTGCCCACATGGAGCATTGTGATATTTTTTTGTACTTATTTTTTGTAACTCTCTTTTCTGTGTCCTGTCTTAAGGAAGTCTTGTGACATATCTTAGGACCCAGCATCAAGGTGATGTGACTCTTCTGCCTGGCTTCACCTCACATGTTAGATTGTGTCATATACCTAGGAAGCACCTAGGTGATATGACTCTTCTCTTCTGCATGAGTCCTGCCTACTTGGGACATTGGGCCATATATCTGAGCCTGTGTCTTAAGTGATGTGAATCTTTTTTTCTGCAAGAGCCTTTAGAATGGGGTGATGTGATATACTGCTAGGCCCAATACTTAGGTAAATTGACTCCTTTTTTCCTGAACTATGCCCATGAAAAGGAACTTTGATGTATCACTGATCCCAGCATGAAGATGACAGTTCTCTTGTTACTAGGTCCAGCATAAAGAGAGAATTATGGCATATTGCTGGGGCCCCCACCCTGATGATGTAACTCTTTTGCCTGTGCTAGAATAACAAAGTATTTTTACATACCATGGGCCTATTCTGTAGGTAATCTTGTTCTCATCATTAGTATGCATTTCTTTTTCCTACATATTCTACATTTGGGTTTATGTCTTATTGCTGAGTCCAGCACCCAGTTATCATAACCCCAATTTCTAGACCTGCATTGAGAGGGCCTTGTGATATATTGCTTGGCACAGCACCTAAGTATGCTACCTTTCTGAAAAGTTTTTTTTTTTTTCTACAAATGGTATGAAATTTACATTCCTTCAATTCAGACGCATTATGATCAAGCTGAAATTGAAATTTCACCAATAGTAGATGTTTTGCCTTTCATGGCTACACTTAGAACAATAGGTAAGGTTATGAGTTGCAAATTTGTACAAAGTTCACAGAAGGTTACAACAGTAACACATAATCTATAAACTCCTTGGTTGGTACACAGAGTTTTATAACAGGGCCCAGTAAAAGTTAAGGTTTTGACTCTTGATTACACATGCAGGTGAGAGAAAAAGTTGTCAAAATCCCACATTTACAAAGCCCACTGTTGAAGTCCTGAGTCTAACAAGTAAATAAAGTACAAAGATGGAATTGTGACTTTCATATATGGATCTTGCTACAGGTGAGATGGTAACTCACTTCTGGACCCACATCAGGGGCATAATAATGTGTCTTCTGTCTGAATCTAGCCTATAAGAGGAATGTTGCCTATCATAACTGAGTTTAAAGCAGTATGTAAGATTGTGAGTCAATAGGAGCATGTAGGCCTCAGAATGGATTGCAACTCTCATGCATGTTGCTTAAAGCCTTTGTATGTTGTAGATTGTGTCATAGGATCACCCAGAATACACATGAGATTGTGACTCCTATATACTCACCAAACAGTCAAAGTTGTCACCCTAATAGATGAAGAGATTGTGCCATATCACGAGGCCTAGTACCTCTAGGTGTTGAGAATTTTAGGCTTAAATTCTTTTCCATGGTTGCATTGTAAAACATCCCTTGCTTAGAATCATAATAGTTTAACCCTCTGCTTGGACCCTGACAACAGGGGATATGATCACATGTCTTTAGGCCTATCAGCTAAGTGGTGTGTCTCTCCTGCCAGTGCCCTGCCCACAAAGGACACTGTGACATATCACTAGATAAAGCATCTAGGTAATGTGAATCTCCTCTCCTGCTGAATCCTGCCCACTGAAGAAATTGTGACATACCACTGAGTGAAAAACCTAGGTGATGTGACTCTCCCCTTTGTCCTGGGCTCTGCCAAGAGAGTCCGAGAAGATGTGCTGAGCCCAGTCCTTAGAGAATTTGACTATCCACTTTTTTTAATCCCTGTATTCAGTAGGCATGATGACATATTATTTGAGAGTGTACCCAGGTGATATGATTCTTCTGACTGAGTCCTGCCTACAGTGCAGAATAAAATGTATCCCTGGATCAGAATCCAGATGATGAGACTCTTCTGTCTTGTCTCTGTCCAAAGGTGAATTTGGGACATATACCTGGATTCAGCTCACATGCACAATAATAACTCTATGGCCATGGGTAGAGTTCTATATTACCCACCTCTAAGAATACACAGAAAAGTATCCCACTCAGGCATATCGTATAAAGCCTGAGTGGTACAAAGAGTGTCATAACAGGCACCCAAAACCAGGTGGTATTGTGACTCTTGAATGCACACCAAGCTGACACAATTGTTATTCTCACACATGAACAGAGCCTACCAATGCAGTGCTAAATCTCACACACATAAGACTTGAAACTGTTACACTTGTACGTGAATCTGATCCACAGGTGTTTGATGGCATTGGAACCATGATTAAGTAGAACTGTGGTGCTGTGTCTCTCTTATTAGAACACAGTCTTCGGGTGGGATTGGGGCTCTTACACATGGATCTTCCCATTGCTGAGATTGTGACTCCTGTACTACAACCCAACTCGTAGAATGTGTTGATTCGCATACTCAAAGCTCGGACTTGAGTGAACTGAAAATTATTTCTGAACCTTCTTGAAAGTATGATTGGGTCATGCAACCCTTCCCAGCATATGAGTAATTTGATGCACATTTCTAGGCCCAGACCACAGATGAAATTTTGCCATATGCGGAACAAGCCCCTAATCAATATATAACATCATCCTTGTCTCTGCCTATAAGGGGCACTTTTATATATCACTGGGACCGTCACCCAGGTGATGTGATTTACCTGCCTGAAAACTGCCTAAAAAGAGAATTGTGTCTTACATTTAGGTCCATCACATAAGTGATGTCACTCTCTTCTACTGTCTTGGCCCTGCAGTTACAGAGCACTGTGACACATAACAGGCTACTGCACCCAGGAGATGTGATTTTTTGGGGGGTTCTGCCAACATAGTAACATACCACTTGGCTCAGCACCTGGGTGATGTTTCTTCACTTTTCATTGTGTCCTGACCACAGGGAGCTTGGGACATATTCCTGGGTACAGCACCAAGGTGAGGGCACTCTTTAGCCTTCTTACTGCAGTTAATGGTCATTGTGACATAATCTAGGCCAATTTCCTAGATGAAGTGAGTCTTCTCTCATGCCAAAGTCCTTCCCACAGAGGGCTTTTTAAAAATATATCACTGAAACCAGCATCCAAGTGATCTGACAATTCTGCAAGGGTTTTGCCCACCAGGTGGATTGCAACATCTCACTGGACCTGCACCCATGTAGGTGATGTGAGTTTCTTGCCTTCTTTCTGGCCACAGGTGATATTGTGTCATATACCTGAGACCAAAACAAAAGCCTAATAACAACTCATATGTTTGGAGCCAGGACATGTGCAGGATGGTGACTGTAATTCCTAAATCTTTCCACAAGTGAAATTGTGACACATACCTTTGTCCAGCTCCAGAGAGATTTAATAATTCTTCCTAGGTATAGCCCACAAATCAGATTTTGACAAATACCTGGCCAAGTAACTTGATGATTTTACCGTGCTATTTTAACAATGGCCTCAGGAGGGATTGTATCATATTTCTGAACACATCATCTAGGTTACATGATTCTCCTCTCCTGCCTGTACCCTGCTTACTTTGGTAATTGTAGCATTTCTAAACACTGCATCTAAATGATACGACTCTCTTTCCTGGGCCCTGTCAACAGGAGGCATTTTGACATATTTTGGGGCCTATCATTTAGGTGATATTACTCTCCTCTTCTTCCTGGACACTACCCACAAGGGACATTGTGCCACAGAGCTGGACCCAGCACACAAGTCATGTGGCATTTCTGACAGGACCCTGTCTACAAAGATAATATTGAAATATTTCAGGCCCAGAATTTAGGTGATGAGGCTGTTCTGCCTGCTTCATAACCACTCATGGAATTGTAACATATACCTACGCAAGGCTCGCAGGAATGATAACGACTCTTAGATGTGAACTCAGCAAATAGAGAATATTTAGGCTCTTATAACTAGGTGTAGGGACATGTGTGATATCATGGATCACATTCTTGTACAAACATCACAAAAGATTACAACATTGACACATACTTTTATAGAGTCTTTGGGTTATACAAGCAGAACCAATGTAGCACTCAGCACACAGGTGAAATTGTGAGTCCTGTATGCAAACCCAGCTGACAGAAATAACTGTCATCATCCCACATGGTTGCAGCCAACTGTCACACGTAAAAACAGGACATGTGTGGTATCATAAAACTCACCTTTGACATTTTCTGACAGTGTGATTGTGATATACATATTTGCCAAGCACCTGTGTAGTTGGACTTTCCAGAATGGTCCCAGTTTATATATGAAATTGTGATATCTAGCTGGGTCAGCCTCAAGGGGATATGACTGCCATGCCTGGGCTCTTCTCTCAGTAAGTGTTGTGACAGATCACTGGATCTAGCAGCCAGGTGATGTTACATTCTTGCCTGTGCCATGTCCACAAAAATTACTGTGACATATTCCTGTGTCCACCTCATAGGTGATGTAACTCTCTTCTTTGGAATGGGCCCTGCCCGAAGGAAGGATAGTGACATATTGCAATGCCAGTCACACAGGTGAGGGTATTCTTTTGCCAGAGCCATGCTGAAAGTAGGGCACTGTGACATATCTCTAGGCCTGTCACCTAAGTTATGTGGCTCTCCGGCTTGGGCCCTGCCAACCTGGAGAGTGACATATTTCTAGGCCAGGCACACAGGTGAGGGTACTCTTTAGCCAGGGCTGTGCTTCATAGAGGACACTGTGACACGTCTCTTCAGCTATCACCTGGTTGAAGTGACTCCCTCTCTGGGATCTACTCACATGGAGCATTGTGGAATAAGCAGAGAATTTGTACCTCATTTATGTAACTCCCTTTCCTGGATGATATCCTAAGACAGCCTTGTGACATATCTCAGGACCCAGCACCCAAGGGACGTGGCTCCTCTACCTTGTTTCTGCTTACATGTTACATTATGCATATTTGAAGGGAAGCACCCAGGTGATATGACTTTCCTCGTCTCAATGAGCCCTGCCTACTGGAAACATTTGGACATATTTCTGAGCCCATGATCTAAAAATGTGACTCTATTTTTCTGCCTGGGGCTTCACATTAAGAGGATTTTGGCACATTGCTGATCCCAGCACGCAGAATATGTGACTCTCCTCTTGTTCCCGAGCCATGCCCACAAAAAAAGAATTTGGACCTATTGCAGGGCCCAGCATCCCGATGATGTTACTCACCTGCCTGGGTTTTGCACAAAGAAGAAACTATGGCATATTGCATATTGATAAGCCCAGCATCCTTATGATGTGACTCTCCGGCCTGTGTTGGAGCCACTGAAGGTATTTTGACATATCTTCAGCCCATAATGCAGATGTTTTGGCTCTCCTAACTTGGCTGGGTATTTTCTACATGTGAGATGTTGTCATATTGCTGGCTCCAGCACCCGGTTATTGTGACCTAATATCCCCTATACCCTGCCTGAAGAAGGCAATTTGACATATTGCCTGGCACACCATATAAGTGATGTTTCCCTCCTGCATACTTATTTGGCCACATATGGGATTATGACATATATCTTGCTTTTAGTTCACAGGCATGATGATCAAACTTATTTTGGGATTCAGCCAATAGGAGATATTTTACCTCTCATCATTAGGCTTAGGGCAATAGGTAAGTTCCTGGGTTACATATTTCTACCAAGGTCATAGAAGCTTAACACTGAGTTATATTTTTTCAAACTCTTTGGTGGTAGAATGTTTCATAACAGGGCCCAGCAAAAAGTTCAGATTGAGACTCCTGGTTACACACCCAGGTGAAATCAAAAGTTGTCATCATCCAACGTTTACAATGTCCAAGGTTGAGGTCCTGAGTCTAACAGGGAATACAGCACAAAGTTGGAGGTTTGACTTTTATATGTTAATCTGACAAAAGTTGGGATGGTGACTCATTTCTGGACCCAGCCCACTGGCATAATAATGGGTCTTCCTCCCTAACCCTGCCTATAGGGAGATGATGACTATCAAACCTGAGTTTAGGGCCATATGTAAGATTGTGAGTCCATAGGAGCATGTAGTCCTCAGAGAGCTTTGCAATTCTTATGCAGGTTTATAAAACCCTCAGCTCCTGTAGACAGTGTTGTATATTGGCCCAGCACACATGTGAAATTGTGACGCTAATATACATATTCAGGTAAAAGTTAAAACTGTCACTCTCAAAGATGAGGAGATTGTGTCATACGACTGGACATAGTATGCAGGTGTTGAGACTTTTTGGCTCATATTCCTTTCCATGGGTTTATTGTTACATGTCAATGGGACAGAATCATAATAACTTGACTCTTCTGCCTGGGCCCTGTCAACAGGGGATATTATTACATATTTCTGGTCTTTTCGGCTAGGTGATGTGTCTCTCCAGCCTGTGTCCCGCACCCAGAGGACATTTTGAAATATCACTCTGCTCTCCTGCCTGGGTCTTGCTTATTGAAATGTAACTCCGCTCTCTTGCCTGGGTCTTGCTTATTGAAGGAATTGCGACATATGGCTGAATGCAAAACCTAGGTGATGTCTCTCCTGTCTATTCAAGAGTTTATATCTGTGCTGAATTTTGTTTCATGACTTTGGTGTTCTACCATTATACCGGCAGCACAATCCTTTGATTAATGTAGGTTTGCTTTGTGTTTGGAAATTGTTATGTGTAATGCTTCCTATATATATTTTTAAGATTGTCAGGCTTTTCATGGTTTATTGGAATCTCAAGTAATTTTGTGGAGTTTTGTCTATTTTTGGAAAAGTAAAATTAAAAATTGAAAAGGAGTGTGTTGCCGGTGTGCTTCACTTTAAGCAGTATGGACATCTTCATAATATTTTATCTTCCAACCCTTGAAAAACAGCATGCTTAAAAGTGCGTTGTTTTCTGGGCATGGTAGCTCATACCTCTAATCCCAGAACTTTTGGAGGCCAAGTAGGGCTTGAACCAAGGAGGTGGAGATTGCAGTGGAGCTGAGATTGTGCCACTGGACTCCAACCTAGCTCCGGAGTGCCAGAGTGAGAGTCCATCTCAAAAGAAAAAAAAAAAAAAACTGTGTTGCTTAATTTTTATATTTTTGGAGTTTTTCTGCTTTTCTTTTGTTACTAAATTCTAGTTCCATTCCGTCTGGGCTATAAATAATTTTCTGTAAAATTTCAACTGAAAAATAATTAAGACTTCTTTTGTGGTGTCACATGTGGTCCATCTAGGAAAATGTTTTATGTGCTATTGAAAAGAAAGTCTATTCTGTTGTCTCTATACATTTCTTAGGTGTAGTTGTTGTACAGTACATTCAAGTTTTTGTTCCCTCATTGATATTCTGTCTTGCTTTATTTATTACTGAAAGTGGGGTATTGATATATACTTCCACTATCTCATTGCTGCCTGCCTATTTTTGATTCAATTCTGTCAATGTTTGATTTATGTGTTTGGAATAACTGTCCTGCATTTATAGGTTCTCAGTGAATGAACCCTCTTACTGCATTTGAATGTCCTACTTTGTCCCTTGTGAATTTTAACATAAAATAAATTATATAAATATAACAGTTTTCAACTTAATAAATTGTTACCTCTTCTCCTCTCATTTGATTAACACTTGCATGGAATGTATTTTTATACTGCCATTTTCAGTCTAATTTTTATTAGATCTGAAATGAGTCTCTTAAAGGCATGACATAGTTACATCCTGATATAGACTACAACATAGCCACATTTTTTTTTTTCATTTGGAAAGATAATTTTGCAGGCTATAGTATTCTTTATTAGGCTATTTATTTCAGTGTTTTAACTATGTCATCTTATTCCCTTCATGCCCAAAAGATTGACATTCATAAATTTACTGGTAATCTTGCAGAAGCATACATATGAATAACACATCTATTTTTTATTTCTGAATTCCAGATTCTCTTCTTTTCTCTGACTTTCAAAACATTGCTTATGTTTTGTCTTGTTAGAAATCTCTTTGTGTTAACCTTAGTTGAAATTGTCTGAGCTTCTTGAGTTTCTTAAAATTTTTTACTGATGTTGAACTGCATATTAGTCTTTTTTTGTGCTTCTACTGCACAATTTTCATTCCTTTTTGTGACTTTTATCTTTTGTTGGTTTCATTTATTTATTTTTATGTTTTTTTCTTTATTTCTATTTTACTGATTAAGCATCATTGACACGGTGATTTTCACTTTTTAGCACTTTTTTTTTTTCTTTTTAAAAATAGATCTAAACTAACCCAAATCGCCTCTGGTAATTTTTATATTACCATTTATATCTCCATTTTTTATAACTGATTTCTGGATATTTCACCATGTTGACCTGGCTGGTCTTGAACTTCTTACCTCAGCTGATCCACCCACCTCAGCCTCCCAAATAGCTAGAATTACAGGTGTGATCCAATACTCCCAGCCGTTCCCCATATTTCTCACTGAGATCCTGCAGTCAGCTGGATACCCATAGTCTGCCTATGATACTGAAGTCTTTCTTTTTTTGTAACAGTTATTTGTCTTTAGTCTCAGTCAAAGTATACCATCTTTCCTTTCAACACTGTCTTGGAATGTAGGAATTTGTCTTTGGTAAAAACTCAAAAAGCCAGAAGCATGGACATGTCACTGTTTTATTTATTTTTGAAGGGGTAAGACAGGAGTTGTCAGTCTCTACACTTTTCATAGGATAAAATATGTGTGTAGTGGGTAAATATGAAATACTTTTATTACACTCCTATGTGGTTCTTGGCATTTTGCTCACTTGGTGCTGCAAATGCTTAACTGAGTCTTGGACTTCTCACAAAGGCATTTTGGTAAGTATATTATGTTAAACTTATATGTTTATAAAGGAATTAGGCCCTGTGGTATTTTATTGTCACCTTGTTAATGTGCTTTGTATAATTACACATTTGTCAAGTGTATTCACCTGAGTCGAATGAGGGAGAAATTTTGTCTTTTTTTGTTTGTTTGTTTCAGCTGGGCTGTTTTCATTTTACTACAGAGATATGGATGGAGCACAAAATAAAAGATTCATTCCAAAAAGTGACTGATAAAATATGAAAGCTGTGACTTTAATAACTTACTTTTAAAGAAACACTACCAAAGTGTGGGTTATTGCAAGGGCAGAAAAGCAGTTTTAATGGCTTTCCTCAATGTCTGTCATCTACTCATAGCAAAACAAATGTGGCAAACCTTTTGAGTTGTGCTCAAACTTCAGTGAACATAAAAAAAAAAATTAGTGGGAGAAATGCTACAAGTATGAAGAACGTGGCAAAGACTGTACATTGTTCTCACATTTTACTATAAAAAAGGAAATTCCTATTGCAGAGAGATGACACAAATGTGAAGAATGTGGCAAAGCCTTTAAAAAGTTATCAAGTCTTACTGAACATAAGAAAGTTTATCCTGGAGAGAAATCTTACAAATATAAAGAATGTGGCAAACCTTCACCTGCTCCTAAACCTTCATTAAACACAAGATAAATCATGCTGGAGACACATCCTAAAAACGCGTGGAACGTGGCAAAGCCTTTAAGTGCTTCTCAGACCTTACTAATCATAAGAGAATTCACACTGGAGAGAAACCCTACAAATGTGAAAAATGCGGCCAAACATTGAGCTCATTCTCACACCTCATTAGACATAAGAAAATTCATACTACAGAGAAAGTCCACAAGTGATAAAAATGTGGAAAAGCCTTTAACAAATCCTCATGTCGTGTTCCACATCAGAGATTTAATACTGAATGAATGCAATATAAGGGTAACGACTGATGAAGACCATTTACTTAACATCTTGGAGGGTCTCTAAGAACTTGGTTTATAATCTGTATGTTTCTGTATTGGGTGCATATATAGCACTTTACTCTTATGTAATGTTCTTTTTTGTCTTTTTAAAAAAATCTATGTTGACTTAAAAGTCTGTTTTGCTAGAAACTATAATCTCAACGGCTGCTTTTTTCCTGTTTTCTATTTGCTTGGTAGATTTTTCTTTTTCAATTTATTGTTATCTTATTTTAGATGGGTGTCTCAGTTACAGCATACCCTTGGATATTAACTCTGCATGCAATTTGCCACTCTGTTTTTTAACTGGGATATTTAGCCCATTTACATTTAAAGTTAGCATTTTTATGCGTGGATTTGATTCTGTCCCTGTGATCTTAGCTGGCTAATTTTCACATTTATGTAGTTGCTTTATAGTGCCAGCTGTTTATGTACTTTAGTGGGTTTTTTGGGGGTTTGTTTTGTTTTGTTTTGTTTTTGTTTTGTTTTTATTTTGTTTGTAGTGACTTGTAATAGTCTCTTATTTACTGCTTTCTTCAGAAGCTCTTGTAAGGCCGGTCTTGTGGTAACAGAGTTCCTCAGCGTTGGCTTATCTGAATAGGATTATATTTATTTTTTACTTCTGTAGCTTGCTTTGGTAAGATATAGAATTCTTGTTGTGAGAAGTCAGGGACTCTGAATGAAGGCACCTGCTGAAGCCATGGCAGAAGAACATAAATTGTGAAGATTTCATGGACATTTGTCAGTTCTCCAAATGAATACTTTTATAATTTCTTATGCCTGTCTTTACTGCAATCTCTGAACATAAATTGGGAAGATTTCATGGACATTTATCACTTCCTCAATCAATACTCTCATAATTTCCAATGCCTGTCTTTACTTTAATCTCTTAATCCTTTCAACTTCATAAGCTGAGGATGTACGTCGCCTCAGGACCCTGTGATGATTGCGTTATCTGCACAAATTGTTTGTAAAGCATGTGTGTTTGAACAATATGACATCTGGGCACCCTGAAAAAGAACAGGATAACAGCGATGTTCAGGGAACAAGGGACACAGCCATGAGGTCTGACTGCCTACGGGGCCAGGCAGAACAGAATCATACTTCTCTTCTTGCAGGAAGTGAATAGGAGAAATATCCTTGAATTCTTTTCTCAGCAAGGAATAGCCCTGGGAAAAAAAGGCATTCCCAGGGGGAGTTCTCTAACATGGCTGCTCTGGGAGTGTCTGTCTTATGCAGTTGAAGATAAGGGATGAAATACTTCCTGGTCTCCTGCAGTGCCCTCAGGCTTGCTAGGATTAGGAAATTCCAGCCTGGCAAATTCTAGTCAGATCCGTTGTCTGCTCTCAAACCCTGTTTCCTGTTAAGATGTTTATCAATGATAGTGCATGCCCATTGGGACATGGACCTTCATCAGTAATTCTAATTTCACCTTTGCCTTGTGATCTTGCTCTGCCCCCTTGCCTTGTGATCTTTTATTGCCCTATGAAGCATGTGAACCCTGTGACCCACTCCCTATTCATACACCCCTCCCTTTTTGAGATCCCTAATAAAAACTTCCTGGTTTTGTGGCTCAGGTGGACATCACAGAACCTGCTGACATGTGATGTCACTCCGAGAGGCCCAGCTGTAAAATTTCCCTTTTTTTTTTTTTTTTTTTTTTACTCTTTCCCTTTATTTCTCAGACCAGCCAACACTTAGGGAAAATAGAAAAGAACCTATGTTGAAATATTCGGGGCCGGTTCCTCTGAAAATTCTTGTTTGGAATTCTTTTTTTTTAAAGAATGTAGAATATTGGCCCCTAGTCTCTTTTGAGTTGTAGGATTTCAGCTGAAAGGTTTGTTGTTTGTCTGATGGTCTTCTTTTACAGGTGGCCTGGCCTTTCACTCTAACTGCCTTTAACACATTTTTTTCTTTCATTTTGACCTTGGAGAATCTCACGATTTCGTGTCTTGAGGGTGACCTTCTTGTAGGGTATCTTACTGGGGTTCTCCACATTTCCTTCATTTGAATGTTGACCTCTCTGTCTAGGCTGGAAAAATTCTCATGGATGATATCTGGAAATAGGTATTTCAAGTTGTTTTCATTCTTCCCATCAATTTCAGATGTTCTTTTTAATCATAGATTTGGTTTCATTACATAATCCTGTATTTCTTAGAGACTTTGGTTCATTTCTCTGTATTCTTTTTTCACTATTCTTGTCTGTCTTATTTCAGAAAGCCAGTCTTGAAGTTCTGAGATTCTTTCCTCTGCTTGGCCTATTCTGTTGTTAAGACTTTTGATTACATTATAAAGTTTTGTATTGTGTTTTTCAGCTCTATCAGGTTGACCACATTTTCCTCCTGATTGGCTGTTTTTTCCATTAATTCCTGCAATTTTTTCCTTTTATTGCATTGGGTTGCAACTTACATTTGTAGCTCAATGAAGTTTATTTCTATCCATATTCTGAATTCTACTTCTGTCATCTTAGGCCTTGCTGAAATGACCAAATTACATAATTTGGTCATTTGGATGAAAGAAGTCACTGTGGTTTTTTGTGTTTTCAACATTTTTGCACGGATTTTGTCAAATCTTTGTGGGCATATCTTTGAGGTTGCTGACATTTGAATGGAGTTTTTTTTTTTTTTTTTTAATCCTATTCAATGGCCTGTAATATCCAATTGTGGTATAAAGTAGATTGAGCCTACGGGCTTTGTTCCTGGGAATTTTTTTTTTTTTTTTTTTTTTTTTTTTTTGGTGGCAGGGAGACAATGCTCAGCTCACAACTCAGAGGCTGCATACTCTGGGGCAGTTGTATTTGTTTCCAACCATCTTCTCTGGCTCCTTGATATTTCAAGTCCATCACTTTGTAGGACTAGCATGCCGCAGCTGCAGCAAAGTGGTAGTGGATATGGGTTTTCTGCCTGCCTCTGGGCATTTACCTTAGTGGCAGGAGCAAAGAAGTTGGGAGGTGACTGAGGACGTAACTGCTGGACACTGTGTGTGCTGTTGCGCTAATAATGGTTGGTTGTGTTAGCTTGGTGCAGGAAGCTGGCCAGTGAATGTTTGATGCCTTCTTTGTGCCCCACCAATAAAGAAGTGATTGTTCAGAGTGTGGGAGAATACACAGTTCTCTGCACAGTGTTAACACAAAGGCAGAGTTGTGCCTTTCTGGCTCTCTGCCCACCAAAGCTTCATCTACAGTAGAAGCTGCTGTGGGTGGCAGGGGAATACTGCATTCTTATTTGCTGATGGATCAAGCAAAGTCCAACCCACCTTTGCAGACATGTGCCACCAAAGTAATATCAGGAGTTGCCATGGTCTCTGGAGAAGCTGCAGTATGGGGAACATACCTGTGTGCTGGTGCAGCCACAGGGGCTGCTTTGCTGGAGCAGTTAGGGCTCAGGCATCGTCCACCAATGCAGATGCCATGGTATGGTAAACTACTCTTCCAGAGGAGCTGAGACTGCCCTGTAAGTGGCTGCAGCCAGACTGGGACCCTGGGAGAGACCAGCAGACCAAGGAGTGCTCAGTTGGAGACGCTTCTTCTCATTTGCAAGACTATCCTGCAGAAATTAGGTCCAACAGGTTCTCTAGGGCTAAAGTCTCTTATGAGAGAAAGTTTAGCCTAGAGAAATGGCCATCACTGGCCACACTTTCCTACAGATGCTTTTGTGCCAAACCCACTGGACACCACATAAGCTGGCTTGCTGGCCCACCTCTTTGCTTCTCTTCTGGGGGGCTGCATCTCAGAGAGATGTAGGTCAGCAATCCCTCAGTGCAGTCAGCCCAGGATGGAGGAGCTCTGCTTTTGGCCAAGTAGAGGTTCACTGTCTGGTGAGGAGCAGTGAGGAGTGTGTGAAACCCAAGGAGGATGGACTGGCCTCTTCTCCTTGGGTAAACTGCAGCTTGTTTAAGGTGTGAATAACGCACTTAAGTTTTTGGACTGTTCATTAGCCTGAGGGAAGCAAGGACAGTTCTACTGCAGGGGCAGTGGCAGAAGTATTTTCAATTGCTGCTGGAGTCTCTGTCCAGGGAATTGCTAACTTGCTACTGGCTCAATAACTCTGGGAATGATTGGCTAGTGGGCCAGTCCTGGAGAACCTTCCCAAAGAGAATATAGGAGAACAGGCCCTTACGTAACAATCTGGCCACTTTCTGAAGGGCTGTTGGATTATCCTGAGTGTCCATTGCAGTTTCTAGTCATCTCCAATTTTCCAGTATCTGAAGTTATCACCAGTAAATGCTGCAAAACAACAACAATGGCAACATGCCCTTTTCTCTGGGAGCCCTGTCCCAGGGAGGTTAGACCTGTTTCCAGCACAAAAGCACATATAGGAGGTAGCTAAAAATCTCAGTTGAAAGATCTTACCCAGTGAGGGTGACATAATTGGGGACCCACTTGAAAAGCAATCTAGCCACATTTCTGTAGGACAGCTCTGCTGGGCAGAGGTACCACTTCCACCCTCAGTTTATTTGGATTCTCAAAAGCCAGAAGGCTGGAACAGCTAAGTCACACAAACAGCAAAAAGGGCAGCTCACTCTTCCCTCCAGGAACTGTATCCCAAAGACATTTCCAAATTCCATCGATCAAATAGCACCAGTGGTGGTAGATGGACACCCTGGTTGGAAAGTATTTCCCAGTGAGGAGGAATGAGATTGCAGACCTGCTTTAACAGGCAATCTGGACATGTCTTTTTACAGCACCTGTACTGTGCTAGGAGATTCTTTCTGTCCCCAGTCGGCTTGAGCTCTTCAAAGCCTGAAGGCTGGAATGGCTAACTTGCCAAAGCAGCAAAGAGGGTGGGCCACCCCTCTTTCTGGTAGCTCCATCACGTGGAGGTGAAATGCTGTTATCAATGGTTGGCTGGAATTGTAAGCCAGTAGATCTTACCCTGTGAGGAATTGTGGAAATGAGTCCTACAGACCATCGCTGCTCAGGCCCCTGGATTCTGCCTGTTTCCTATGGGAGTGTACAAGGATGTAACCTCCTGCTTTGCTGGAGTTGCAGCTAATTTTTCTTGGAAGCCTGGAGAGCCAGATTATCTAAGGCTCTTGAATCTCTGCACTGGCCTGGGTGACTGCTCTGCTGTGACTCCATGTAGCTCTGTTTGTTAAACGGAAGGCCATAATGAAGTGGGTTAACGAGGGTATCTCCTTACCTGAGGGTTGCAAAATCAGTGACAGAATTGTGGGTTGCCAGGGTCACACATGCAATTACTGATTTACTGGGTGGAAAGTTTCCCTTGGCTTCTTGTTTTTCCCGGATGGCCCATTATTCTACCTTCCTTTACTCCATTCTCCATTAGATAAGTCGTTTCTTTGATTGTTCCCAATGCTAGTACCTGGATGTTTCAGTTTAAGGTGCTGTATTTATGCATATTTTGCATTTCTCTCTGTGAGAACTACGCAGTCCAGCAGATTCTAGCTGGCAATCTTGACTACTTTCCTCTAAAAGAAACCTACCTTTTTATTTTAAAAGAAATTAGGCCAGGCCAGTGTCTCAAGCCTGTGATCCCAGTGCTTTGGGACACTGAGGGGATCAGATCAAGAGGTCAAGGGATCAAGACCATCTTCTCCAACATGGCAAAACCCCATCTCTACTAAAAATACAAAAAAATTAGCTGGCTGTAGTGGTGAGCGCCTGTGCTCTCAGCTACATGTGAGGCTGAGACAGGAAGACGGCTTGAACCTGGGAGGTGAAGGTTGCAGTTAGCTGAGATCGCACCACTGCACTCTAGCCTGGCAACAGAGTGAGACTCCATCCCAAACAAAAACAAAAAATAAAATGTAGTGTTGTTTTCAAAAGCGAATATTGACGTAATTTAACTCTTACATTTGATGCTCTCTTCATTTCTAGTGTTTATGTGAAAGAACATGGTCAATTGTTGCTGTACCAGAGTTATGAGAGGTTCTTCTAAATTAGATAGACAGATTTATATTCTTTTTCATGGAAGGTTAAGAAAACTGAAATCTAATGTAAATGAAGAAAATCTTAGTAGAAAGGCTACTTAATGGTTGGTTTACAGCAGTATTTTTGTTTTGTTTTGTTTTGTCTTGTTTTTGTTTTTGTTTTTGTTTTTTTGGAGTTGGAGTTTCACTCTTGTTGCCCAGGCTGCAGTGCAATGGCCCAATCTCTGCTCATTGCAACCTCCAATTCCCAGGTTCAACCAGGTTCAAGTACTTCTCCTGCCTCAGCCTCTCGAGTATCTGGGATTACAGGCATGCACCACCACGCCTGGCTAATTTTGTATTTTTAGTAGACACGGGGTTTCTCCACGTTGGTCAGGCTGGTCTCAAACTCCCGACCTCAGGTGATCTGCCCGCTTCAGCCTCCCAAAGTGCTGGGATTACAGGCATGAGCCACTGCATCTGGCCATGTTAACAGCAGTATTATATGTGACAGGATGATAGGAGTGTTTTAAGTGATCAGGATAGCATTCTGCACAGTAAGAGAAACCATATGAATTTTAGAAGAAAATTCCTTTACCATTTGCAAATTAATGTAATTAAAATACAGTGAATTTAAAAATGCCTTTTTAATGGCAATGTGTGAACTTAATTTGTTTTAATAAGCCAAAATTGTTGTTTTTGTGTTATGGCTATTTTACATTGAATGTGTATTTTGCCACTGATGTTAACTTTTCCCATCTTACTCAAGGTTGTAGGTAACAGATGGTAACAATATACTATCTGGTGACAGTGAAATAACATCTCTAGTGGTTACTTTGTTAGTGGTCTTTAACTGAAAATAATTTTGAGAATATGGTTTCTAGCACTTACATTTTTGTTTTTCTTGTAACTACAGATTATTATGATGGTTGCAATGAAGACTTTGAGTATAATGGAACTACATGTTTCAGAATTCTGAACAACTATTTAAAACATTTTATCCAACTTTTTTTTAAAAATATGACTTCTCTGGTCTGCTAAACATATACAGACTTTCAGTTTTGGTTTACATGGTTTTAAATATACAGATATATCACTGTAAAATAAACTTTAGGTGTAACAGATTTATAGAGAATAATCGTATTTGTTTACGGTCATGTACCTACTTTGAGAAGAAAAGAAAAATATTAGAATGAAATAGGTAGTTATACAAGCATTGATAAGTCACCAGCAAACCAGAATCTTCAAAGAATTTGAAAGCAAATTTATTTTCTCTGCTTTGTATTAAACGTATTTATCTAATATGTCATTGCTCCTGGCTTTGAAATATCTTATGCAAATTACTTTTTTTATATCTGTTCATTTGTGGCTAACTGTAAACATAATACACAATTTTGTTTTTGTCCAATTTTGTAAAACATTATTTGTATAATTTCCTCACAGATTATGAAAGTGGCTTTGGTAAAATATAATGGTGTTCCCAAAATAACTTTCACATGTGAGTAATTTCACAGTGTGTGCATTATTGAATGTTATTTATTTAGTATATTTTATATTTTGTTTCAATTAGAAAATGCGATTAATCCAATTTTTGTTTAGTTATTGTTCATTTTACTTCATAAAATTGATATAATTGAGCTGATTAAATGCATAGGGCCAATTTATTCAAGTAAATAGTTGAATGTTTAATAAGTCATGAGGTCTTTTTGGCATATACACGAAGTAAAAAAGACAAAACTAGCTATGTAATAGAAGCTACATGATTAAAAAATAGTCTTTTTAAAATTAGCCTACTGTCTCTAGTGAAAAATTGAAAACATCTATAATAAATGACATTAATTGTTCTCAAAAAGAGATCATAATTGTATGAAAACCTTGTAAAATTATTGGATTATGGTGCTACATTTAAACATCTATGGAGGAAGGCAGAGCGCTAGCCTATGCAGTCAAACCTGGAATGGCTGACACATGTTAAGGGTATTCACCACAGGTATTGAAACCTAAAATGCCCTGAACTCTTTTCATTTAGATTAACAAAATATGGTTTTAGTCTTCCTCCTCTATATTCTGGCATAGACAGAATTATCATGCCACTTTTTTACATTTGATTTTAGGTATTTTTTCTTTCTTTGAGATGGAATCTCACTCTGTTGCCCAGGCTGTAGTGTAGTTGCACAATCTCGGCTCACTGCTACCTCTGTCTCCTGGGTTAAATCTATTCTTTTGCCTCAGTATACCAAGTAGCTGAGAATACAGGTGCCCTCCACCAAGCCTGGCTAATTTGTTGTATTTTTAGCAGAGACAGTGATTCACCATGTTAGGCTGGATGGTCTTGATCTCCTGACCTTGTGATCCACCCACCTGGGCATGCCAAAATGCTAGGATTACAGGCATGAGCCACCACACCCAGCCTTATTTCTAGGTTTTGAAACAGCTCATCCTCAACTTAATGTCTCTGAGGACAGAAATACTGTGTGATATGGAAAAACAAAACAAAACATTTATTATAACCTAAGTAGTCTTCCCTTCTGCCCTGCTGTCCTGGACTTTCAGAAGTGTAGTTCTGGCAGACATTACTGAAAGGTTGATGTGGGAAACAAGCTTAAATGAAAATGGGTTGTGTGTGAAGACTGTCTTTTTAGGAACTGGCAGGATTAGCCTTCAGTTCTGGGTAGATTTTGGGCAATCAGATGATATATAAAGAGTGGTTATGTTGTATCAGGTCATAAGAAACGCTGGATTCTGCCAGTAGTAAACCTCTGTAAGAGTGGTATTTTTTGGACTATGAATTGGGTAAATTTTTAAATATAATTGATAGGTTTGTTCTGTATATTTTCAATAATTCTTTCACAAGAGCTGTTTGCTTTATTTCTATACTGATGCAGATTCTGAGCATCTTTAATTCTGTTCATTATCAGATACTGAAAGATAAAGAATAAGTAAATGAATCTCTTTCAGTTTTTGTCGTTAATTTAGCCAGTAAATATAGTCTCATTTCTATCATCTTTAAGTTTTACTAATGAAGGCCAGAATAGATTTTTTTCTCCAAAAATTTTAGCAACTATAAAAGCATGTTTATAAAGTCACTTTTATAGATACTATAAATATCAATTGTCAAATGTGTTGATTTCTAAGATAAAATATGTGAGAATTATACTACCCAACATGACCAATAAAATGTTTTTAAGTTGTCTATATAAAACATCTATCAATTTTGAATTGCATACCTAGCTAAATTTTTTTAAGATTGAGGATAAGATGAAAAATAATTTATACAAGTAACACAAACTAAGTTTACTGAAATTGTTTACTCATTTAAGAAATCTAATTGCATTTTAAATAAATTGCTGTCACTTGTTAGTAATTGTGTATCACATTTTTTAAATATTTTTCTCTAAAACAGGTAACAGTTGGAACAAAGAAGAAAACAAAAATTCAATGATTGTCATAAAAATAAGTTTGAAGAAAATAAAAGGTTTATTTGATGACCTAATTAAAATAATGTAAAGGACTAACAACTTTGTTTTTTACACATTTTTTTTTGGCAAAGGAAACCCTGACATAGTAATCTGCAGAAAATACTACTAATTATATTCTTGAGACAACTCTTACTGAATTTGGCAGTTTGAGAATCTCCAGCACAGTCCCAGGATTCCCTAGGAATTTCTTCTAGGAGAACATCCCATGGAAATGAAGCAGAAGGCCATGTACACACACACACACACACACACACACACACACACGCACACATACACACACACACTCACGCACACACAATTGGATGCTCACCCCTTAGAATCCAGTGGTTGCAAGTTGCAGAACAAGTAGGCTGTCCTCAGAGGTCCAGGGAGGGGCTATGGTCACCATCCTAGAAAAGGGGCCTGGACTTCCAGTGAGCCCTCCTGCCTGCAAGGGCCTCAGAGGCCCCTGTGCAGGCCAGCCTGGGTGCTGTGTTCTGTTCCTGGACCTTGAATCCTGCCTCACCTGCTAGCTTTTTTCACAACGAAATCAGGATGGCAATGCCCAGTGCAGTCCCACCTGAGGAAAGAAATCAAGAGTATCAAGTCCCACACCCATCTTGTAACATTAAGTGACTTATTGATTTATTAGTCAGTAAGTTAGAGCAGATTAATTCGTCAATGAGTTAGTGCTCTCTAACTCCCTAAGATTACAATCTAAAAGGAAAGCTGGGTGGCATCTGCATGAGGCTGTGCATTGGAGAAAGGATAGGTCACCTGGGCTTCAGTGAGCATGTTCCCCTAGCCAATCAGTGGAAGCACAGGATGTAACTGGAGGTGGTGAGTGGGCTCTGTGCAGTGGCCAGGCAAATGTGGGGTGAGCAGCCAGTCACTGAGGGGATTTCATTGCCCATTTTTTGATGAGCAAATTGAATCCCCAAAGCCACAAGGCAGGAGGGGCAAAAGCACTGGCCAGAGGCATTACCATTTTTCTTCACTGGCAGCCATAAGTTTCAGACCTCCCTGGGCTTGCCTTGAGGAAGAAGATGCCTCTTCCTTGAGAGTCTAGGCACAAAAGCAGCCAGTCATGTGTGGCAAAGCCACCCACAGCCCATTTTATGGGCTCATGTGGGCCTCCTTAATCCACCGGCCTGTGAAACCCAACTGGAATTCCAGAGTCCAGAGTTCACATTTGGTTCTAGAACCAAAATTTTAGTACTCAGGCCAGAGCCAAACTGGACCTGTTAATTCCAAGACACAAGGCTCAAATCAGAGAACAGACTTGACTGTTCAGCTGCACCTAGGCAGTGTGTATACTCTTCCAAGCAGATCCCATTCTCTTCCTGCTTCCAATTATTTCACCTGCAAGTTGTTATTTGTACCAGCTCTTTCTCTACCCCGCGTATCCTATGATTTTTTGAAATTTCTGTGAAGACCGCATGAGCTAAGCATTACGGGTCACAGTGCTCTAGCCTACTCAGGCTGTGCCAGGAAGCAGATCTCTCAACCTTTCTTGACACTTAAGAGAGTCATGAATAAATAGTACCAACTCTATGAGGAGGGCTGTCACATATTCAGACCCTTTTCTGGTCTCCGTACTAAAATACTCTTTTCTGGTCTCCTTATCAAAAGATGCATTAGAATGACAAGGAAAATAAGGCACCAAGCTGGCAGTTCTGCCTTTTAAAGCGCAGCCTCAGCCTGGTCACAGTGAACCACAATTTCAGGGTCTTGTTCAGCATGTCATACTTTGGAAAATAGTGGAACTGGGGCCCCATATTGTCGTGGTCCGGTGAATATGGAGACGGTCACCTCAGCAGCCTGTATATACCCAGTCACACCCGTAACAAAAACAGACTCTACCAACTAAGAAGCCATCACATTAACTTATACAACTGTACCTGCAATGTGCACACACATCAGGACTTTCAGATAAACTCCTGCCAACACAACAATTCAAGTAAAGCAATAACTATTTTGAATCTAAAATCTCAGGAAGAAGAAACTCCACTGCCTAAACCAGCCTGTATGATGGATGAAACTGACGGTGTTATCTTGACTTGGGCATACCTGGTTACTGACCCTCTATAAATAGATGCTTCTGAGTGTTCAGAGTTCCAAATCTAAAAAACCTTGTCATGGTCAACCTGGAGCTTACTCTTTATCTATGAGTAATCTGAGATACTGTCCTGAGTTCTATCTGAGAACAGTATCTCAGAGAGATCTATCTAAGACGGTGAAACCCCGTCTTAGCCAGGATGGTCTCGACCTCCTGACCTCGTGATCCGCCCGCCTCGGCCTCCCAGAGTGCTGAGATTACAGGCATAAGCCACCGCGCCAATAATGTCTGAGCCCCTGTTCTGTCCCATCATGTGGCATAGGAATACAGGTCACACAAGGAAGTGAGGCTATTCCATTTTTGTTAAATGAGGGCTGACAGGTGAAAGCTTGTTCAGAAAAAAAAGTGCTAAATAAAAAGGCCATACAAACTGCATGTTTTTTGCAAGTGGGCCTGGTTATTCAGCTAGGCCCACTGACACTGTACTTTCTGCTCTCTGTGGAAGTTTCCACTAAAAGTCCATATCTCATTTACTGGTTCTGAGTCTCTTCTTTGACATCTTGATCCTTGTGCCATTTCAATGGGTGTCGAGTTTGACACAACTTACCCCATAGTGAGGAAGGATTTCAGACTCTGCTCAGTGTGCTTCAAAGCTCACCAAGGCATCAGCTATAGAAGGATGAATTTATTTTTTTTACCACTCTCATCCAGGCCTCTTTTTTTAAATGTACAATCAGTGGAATACAAAGAAAGACCAGTAAGAAACATATCGTGGTCAGAAGCAAGATTAATGCCAAAATGAGCTGTGACTGCTTTGGTAGTAAAAAGTAGCATTTTTTCTTTATCCTCTGGGCAGCCCTCAACTTCTTTCACCACTTTTTGGCTTCAGCAATGGTTTTTAAGCTCCATTCTGCCTCTGGAGGAACCATAAGCCATGGTTGGCAAATGTCTTTACTTAATCCTGCTGCAAGAAAGCTTTCTCCTGACAAACATGACCTCTGTGATTATGAGCTTATAAGAAATCTAAACAATGCCCAATCTTAAAACTTATGAAACGGAGATGAGTAGGTCTGAGGGAAACAATTTCCCACAATTTCCTTTGGCAAGTTCAAAAAATTGTGATGGTAGACAAGTGTATAGAAGAGGACAGCATAGTATAATTCCTCATCATGTGAGTTTAGAGCCAACAGTTTTTAATCCTAGCTGTGAGGGCTCCAAATAAAAACCAGAAGTTAACTCACTGCATCTGTCAATGACTAATTGAACATTTTGTCTATCACAGTGAGGAGTCTTCATTGAGGATTTTCCCATTGAATATATAGAGATAAAGACTGGAAAAGGTAAAATAGCAACTCCATGAAATCCTTAGATAAAATGTAGAAATGTTCATCTCCTCGTATCATTAGCATTTTTTGCACATATTTGCATGTATAGCTACCCATAAAGCTGATATTTTCTTTTTTTTTTTTTTTTTTTTTTTTTTTTTGAGTTGGAGTCTCGCTCTGTCGCCCAGGCTGGAGCGCAGTGGTGCGATCTCAGCTCACTACAAGCTCCGCCTCCCGGGTTCAGGCCATTCTCCTGCCTCAGCCTCCCGAGTAGCTGGGACTACAGGCACCCGCCACCGCGACCGGCTAATTTTTTGTATTTTTAGTAGAGACGGGGTTTCACCGTGTTAGCCAGGATGGTCTCGATCTCCTGACCGCGTGATCCACCCACCTCCGCTTCCCAAAGTGCTGGGATTGTAGGCATAAGCCACCGCGCCAATAAATCAGTTATATGTCAAGTTAATATAAAAAAAAATTTCAACCAGGCGTGGTGGCTCACACCTGTAATCCCAGCAGTTTTGGAGGCCGAGGAGGTTGGATCTCTTCAGGTCAAGAGTTCGAAACCAGCCTGGCAAATATGGTGAAACACCATCTCTACTAAAAATACAAAAAAAAAAAAAAAAAAAAAAAATGATGGGCACTTGTAATCTCAGCTACTTGGGAGGCTGAGGCAGGAGAATCACTTGAATCCATGAGGCAGAGGTTGCACTGAGCAGAGATCACGTCCCTGCACTCCAGCATGAGTGACAGAGCAAGCTTCTGTCTCAAAAAAAAATAAAATAAAATGTAGAGACACACATATGATCTAGACATGTCCTGGTGGAGTAAAGTGTGTATGATCCTGTTCTGGGAAAGGAGAAGAACAGTCAGGACCTTGGATTATGTTTGTGGGATCCATTGGGACACTAATGAAGAGGCAGTCAGGTCTTGGCCTAGCAACACTGAGGCTTGCAGGGGGCTTCTGAAAGCAGCAAAACCGGCCCGTGACACTGAATGCTAGATGGGCCTGTAACAATGAAAGATCTGCCCAGAGATCTTAGCAATCTTACTAGGATGCCATGACTATGATTTGGATTGAAGACTCCGGGGCAGAGTAGCTGAGAGAGAACCTCAGCAAACACGAGCCTTGATGACTATGGCTGGGGCAATCTAAAATATCTTATCTCTTCTGTTTTATGAAGCAGAACATAGAAAGGTAAATTAAAAAAAAAAAATCAAGAGAAATAAAATGTAAAAATAAATTTAAAGCAAGTGAAAAATAGTAAGGACAAATAAAATAAACCGAAATAGAGAAAAATAGAGAAATGTAATTAAGATAAGTGAAAATAAAATGAAGATAAACAATAAATACAAAAAATAAAAGAAATAAACAGAAATGAAATAATTTCCAATAAAAAGTTTCAGAATAAGGAGAAAAAATAAAAAAGAAATATGGATAAAAAATAAGATAATATGAAGGAATATGACTAGAAACAAATAACAGAAAAAATATAAAATTAAATAAACTGCTAAAAACAAGATACAAGTTGAAGTATATTTGAAATGAAGAGAATGTAATGAGAAAAAAGAAAAATAGAAATAAAATTAAATTAAATTAATAGATAAAATGAAAAATAAAGAGAAACAAAATAAAGATAAAGAGAATGCACAAAAATAAAAAGTTAAATAGAGAAATAAGACGTCAGGTTAATCTACAAAACATTTCACCCAACAACAGCATAATACATAATACTTCTAATTGTATATGACACATTTTCTAAGATAGGCAAACTTGTGAGGTAGCATGCTAGTTTTAGCATATTTAAACTGATGGTAATCACAAAAAGTATTTTTTCTGACTACAATAAAATACAGCTGGAAGTTAAAACAAAACCATCATGTTTGCATATATTTGAAAACTGGACATATTCTTGAGCATACTATTTTTCAAGTGTTAGAACGTGCAAGTTTTTTAGATGTTAATGGTATACCAGGTGATCTATGGATCAATGAGATGTTTAAAAATGGTGATAGTTTTTGCAGAAGTACTAAATTATTCTAAAATGTTTGAGTCAATATTTACCTGTGTAACTCAGGCTGCAGTATAATATCATAATCATGACTTACTGTATCTTTGACCTCCAAAGCTCAGTTGATCCTCCTACCTCAGCCTCACAAGTGCTGAAACTGCAGGTGCATGTTGGCATGCTCAGAAAGTTTTTGTATTTTTTTTTTTTTTTTAGAGACAGGGTTTCACCATATTTCCCAGGCTGGTCTCAAACTCCTAGGCTCAAGCAACCCACCTACCTTGGCTTGGCTCCCCAAAGTTCTAGGATTACAGGAGTGAGCCAACACATATTGCCCTATGATTTCTATAAATACTCAAAAAACCACAAGTAACCAAACAACCTGTAAAAAAATAAATAAACTCAGAGGAATAATAGTTTTGTATTTCAAAACATATTGCAAAGTTACATTAATCAAAACAGTGTGGTGCTGGCATAAAGACAGAAAAATAAATGTTGAAACCGATAAGAGAAGGCAAAAATAAATCCACATGCATATACTCAGCTTATCATAAATGAGGGTTCCCAATCCTCATGTTGCAGAACTTTCTCCTTACTTCAGCAAAATTGAGTTCTTCTCACGTGACTAGGAAAGATTAGGCCCAGGGATACTCTGAAGGATGAAGGGTAGAGTTGATTGGGTAAAAAGAAGGAAAGAAAAACTGTCAACAGAGTGAGTGGGAGTCCTGTTTACAAGTCCCACCTCCTGGGTAGATTAACACTAAACCATCACACAAGAACTGCAGAGGCCAGTCTCCTTCTCCCTGCACAAGGAGTGAAGTTTCCCTGGCTCCAATCACTTCCCCCAGTGTGGACATGGATACTATTCAGAGAGAATCAGTTGAAAAAAGGCAGGCTTCATCTGGGAGAAGCAGTCTGATTTTTCAGTCTTTATGCTGTTTTAGGCTTGAAGATGGGGTTTCACCCAGGACCATTGGCTGTTTTCTAACTCTGTTATTTCCCCATATAAAGAAGTACATCTAACTGCCATTAGAATGAGGAGAAGGATCAGGACCAACACCACTTTTAAGAGCTTCCTGTTGACAGGGGGCACTGTTTTGGAAAACCGGCAGTCAGATTTTCCTAAGAGGCCTACCTAAGTGTCTCCAGTGAAAGGGGCCTTGTCTGAGGCTCTGGTGGCATGAATTTGGTAACCTAAATGGGAGAAGAATCAAACTGGGTTATTAAAAATCATGTATTAAAATAAAGTAAAATAAAACAAGGGGAAGGTGGCAAGGACAGCTCAAAAATTCCAAGGTATTTTTCCAGTTTACATAGGAAGGAGAAGGACAAAAGCACAACTTGAAAATTTTCTTTCACCCTTTTGCCAGCATGTCTGGCTTCTGTGTTCTTTTGCCCTGAGTCCAATCCTAAGTTAAGCCAACCAGTCTAAGGTTGGAGAATGCATCTGAGGTGACTGTCCCATAGTATGAATACATGATTACCTGTCTGTAAAAAGAAGACAGAGGAGAAAACAAGGTAAAAAGTAAGCATTTTTTCAAAGGAGGCCCAAAATTTCAGGATGCATTTAAAAGGAATATAGACTGATAATGAATGGCTACTCATCTAGAAGGAGAGTGAAGACCATGTATCCCTGATTCCTTTATCTTTCTAGGAAATATCCAGTGTATGTTGAGGGATAGAAGAAAGAATGTTGTCTTTCCCCCTTGCATCCTTGTATCCCCGAGTTCCAGGGATTGTGATAGGTTGCAACCCATGGATGTCAAAGCAGCTTTCACTCATGTTAACAGGAAGGCCTGTTGGGGGTGGAAATATCTGCTCTTACCTACATATGTCCTATCTTCCCTGCTCTCAGTAGTTCTGGAGTTCATTAGACTTCATTTATGCAACAGATACTATCATGGCCTTTATCCGTGAAATGTGAGGCTTGGCTTAATCCACTGGAATTAGTCATGCTCACTTCCACGGTGAATTTTAACCACCATAATCATCTGCCTCTGGATTTCTCAGATCCAGTATTCTTTCTTAGGGCTTCAACCTGAGGCTTGGAATTGAGGTTGGGACAAAAATGTTCCTCAGGGGATTGCATGGACTCCTCATTAGCAGCTAAATGCTAAGATAAAGCTGTGGAATTGAGTCCTCTTTCCACAAGGAAGAGAAAAAAATGCTTGTGACAAACCCAGATAACTAGTGGCAATAGTTAACTTTGCCAAGATTTGGGGGGGCACCCTGTTTATTTTCATCACTGAAAAATTTGCAGGGTAATTGCCTAGAACTAGAATATTAAACCAGATTTTTCATCGCTCATCCCTTTTTGTTTCTTCTGAGCTGCGGTTGAAGACTGCAAGCTTTTTCATAGGAATAAGCATGGTTGGTCTAAAATGTAGGCAAAAATTCAAACTTCATGGTTTTAAAATTTAATGACAAATGTATAAGTTTTGATACATGATCTTTCTCTATCCAGTCCTCTAATTTAAAAAAAAAAAATCATGAAGACCTGCCGGTGACAATATTTAATTTGTTTATTGATTTGTCATATTTTGCCTTAGCTGTGTTGAAGTACATATCATTTATACCTAATTTGTTCAGTTGTTTTTAATTACAAAGTCACGTAAAATTTTCCAAATACTTTTTGTTTATCTAGAATAAAAAATAAAGATGTGTAGCAGTAAACTTAATTAAAAAGAGAAACACTCTCTACACTATAAATTATAAAATATTGATGAAAAAAGTAAAAAAAAAGATATTTTTGCTCATGAGTTATAAAAAATATTGCTAAAATGGCTATGCTACACAAGGAAATCTACAAATTCACTGCAAACTCTATAAAATGCCAAGAACATTTTTGAACAAAAATGAAATTAAGAGGCATAAAATTTATGGGGAACCAAAAAAACACTCCCCAAATAGCTGTGAAAAAAGAACAAATCTGAAAATATCAAACTACCTGACTCCAAAACATACTGCAAAGCTATAACAAGCAAAACAGCATGATACTGGCATAGAAAACAGACACATAGACCAAAGTATCCAACGATCCCAGTAACAAAATTCATAAACCTAGAGCCAAGTAATTTTTAAGTTGCTTAGAACATACATTGAAGAAAAGACAATCTTTTCAACGAATGGTGCTAAGAAAATGGATTATTTAAATACAGAGGAATACAACTAGTTGCCTACCTGTTACCATATTAAAACAATTTAAATAAAAATAAATAGAAGATTGAAATGTAAACTCAAACTTATAAAACTATTTGAATAAGACATAGAGAAATTCTTTACTAAACAGGACAGGAAAAACATTTTAAATAAGATCTCAAAACCACAGGCAAGAAAAGCAAAAGCAGACAAATAAAATTAACAGAATCTAAAAAAAAAATTTACATAGCAAAAATAAATTAACAGAGTGAAAAGACAACTTACAGTGTGGGAGAATATATTTGCAAAATATACATATCACAATGGAAAAACATAAAGATATATAAGAAACGTAACAGCAAAACTAACTCACAATTTAGCAATAGGCAAGATACACTATGTGACACTTCTCCAAAGAAGACATGCAAATGGCCAAGTACATGTGAAGATGCTCAACATTATCATTAGAAAAATGCAAATTAAAGCTACCACAAGATACCAAATGACTCCAGTTAAAACGGCTACAATTATAAATAATACGTGCCTGGCCGTTTCAACAGGAGGCATTGTGACATATCTCTGGTCATTTAAGTCTATCATTTAAGTGATATACTCTCCTCTTCTGCCTGGACACTACCCATAGGGGGCATTGTGCCATACAGTTGGGCACAGCCCCAAAGTTATATGATTTTTCTGCCAGGAGCCTGCCTACAAGGAGAATATGGGAACATTTCTGCCTCAGCGTTTAGGTTATGTGGCTGTCATGCCTGTTTCATTACTGCAGAGTAAATTTTGACAAATAATTAGGCACAGCTCAATATTCTGACAAATCACTAGGCATGATAATGACTCATATGTGGACCTCCCAAATAGGAGTAAGTTTGACTCTTGTAACTCGCTTTAGCAATGCAAGTGATGTCTTAGATCTCTTTCTGGTAAAAGGGTCACCGAAGATTATAACACCCTCAAATATTTTACAGCCCTTGGCTTGTACAGATAATGCCATAACAAAACCCAAATGAAAGATGAAGTTGTGAGTCTCATATGCACACCCAGCTGACAGGAAGTACTGTCAGCATCTCATGTATATGAAGCCTACTGTGAAACATGAAAACAGGACATGTATGTTATTGTAAATCTCATCTCTGCAATAATCTCCCAGTGTGAATGTCATACACATCTTTGCCAAGCATCTGTGTGATTTGACTCTCCAGACAGGTTCCAGCATGTATATGAGATTGTGATCTCTACCTGAGCCAGCGTCTAGGTGATGTGATTCTCCTGCCTGGACCCTTTTCTCAGTAAGGATTGAGACATACCACTGGATCTAACATTCAGGTGATGTTACATTGTTGCCTGGACCATATTCACAGGCATCATTGTGACATATTACTGTGTCCACCACTTAGGTGATGTAACTCCCCTCTCTGGAATGGACCCTGAACACAGAGAATGGTAGTGCCATATTGGCAGGCCAGGGCATACAGGTGATGATACTCTTTTGCCAGGGATATATTTCAAGGAGGTCATTGTGACATATCTCTGGGCCTGTCACCTAAGTGATGTGACCGAACGCTTGGGCCTCACCTACATAGATCGTTGCAACGTAAAAGTTAGACCTGCATCAAGATGATGTAACTCTTTCAATCTAGTGCTGTCCTAGGGAAACTTGTGACATATCTCAGCACCCAGCACCCAGGTGATGTGGCTCTTCTGCCTGGGTTCTCCCCATGTGTTATATTGTGATGTACACATAAAGAAGCACCTACGTGATATGACCCACATTTTCTGCCTGAGTCCTGCCTACTGGGGACACTGGGACATATCTCTGAGCCCATGACCTAAGTGATATGACTCTCGCCCCCTGCCTGGGCTTTTAAAATAGTGGGATTATGACATATTGCTGAGCCCAGCATTTAGGTTGTGTGACTCTACTCTTTTTTTTGAACCATGCCCACAAAGGGAAATTTTGACCTATTGCACCCAGATGATGTTACTCTTCTGCCAGAATCCTGAATAAAGAGATAATTATTGCATAGTGATAAGTCCAGCACCCTGATGATGCTACTGTCCTGCCTGTGCCAGAGCCACAGAGGGTGTTTTGACACATCTTTGGCTTATTCTGTAAGTGTTTTGGCTCTCATCTCTTCATTATGTTTTTCCACATGTGGAATTGTGTCATATTGCTGGGTCCAGTATCCAGTTAATGTGGCCCTCTTTCCTAGACTCTGTGTAGAGAGAATATTGTGACATGTTAATTGCCACATCACCTAAGTAATGTTACACTTTTTTTTTCTAATTTTTTGCCCACAAATGGGATTATGGTTTATATCTTGCTTCAGTTCACAGGCATGATGAGCAAACTTATACTGGGATTCAGTCAATGGAAGATATTTTGCCATTCATCACTAGGCTTATGGCAATAGAAAAAATTCTTGGTTGAATATTTCTACAAAGCTCACAGAAGTTTACGACACGAATTCCTGTGGTATAAACTTTATGGGTGGTACAGAGCATTTTATAACAAGGCCCAGCAAAAAGTTAAAATTGTGACTCTCAGTTTCACACCCAGGTGAAAGTAAAAGTTGTCACCATCCCACATTTACAAAGTACACTATGGAGTTACTGAGTCTAACATGACAACACAGTACAAAAATGGAGTTGTGACTCTCACATGTGGATCTGGCCACAGGTGTAATCGTGACTCATTTTTGGGCCCAGCTCACAGGCATAAAAATGCTTCTCATTCCTGAATGTGGCCTAAATTAGAGATATTGACTATCATACCTGGATTTAAGACAATATATAAGATTGTGAGTCCATATGAGCCTATGGGCCTCAGAGAAGTTTGCAAATATAATGGATGCCGTTTGAAGCCCTTGGATGTTGTAGAGGGTGTCATTCGGTGGTCCAACACACACGTGACAATGTGACTTTGTTACAGACGCCAAGCTGACAGTTAAAGGTGTCACCCTCAAACATGAGGAGATTGTGTCATATCACTGTGCCGAGTACCCAGGTGTTAAAACTTGTGCTTTAATTGTTTCCCATGTGTGTATTTTGACATATCATTGCATAAGAATCATAACAGTGTGACTCTTTTGCCTGGACCCTGACAGCAAGGGATATTATCACATTTCTCTGAGCCGATCAGCTAGGTGATTTGCCTATTTTTCCTGTACTTTTGCCCCAAGGCACATTGTGACATCAGTGGTCATAGCATCTAGGAAATGTGACTCTCGTCTCTTGCCTAGGTTCTGCCCACAAAAGGAATTGTGACATACTACTGAGCGCAAAACCTAGGTAATGTAACCATCCCCTTTATTCTGGAGGCAGCCAATAGGGGAAATTATTACGTATTGCTGAGCTAAGCACCTAGGAGGTGTGACTCTCCTCTTTTTCTTCAACCTTGTCTACAGTCGACATGGTGTCATATTCATTGAGGCTGTTCTCCGTTGACATGAATCTTCTGACTTGGCCTGCCTATGAAGGAGATTATAATGAATTCTGTGCTCGGAATCCAAGTAAGGCAATTATGCTGCCTTGTTTCTGCCCACAGGTGAAATTTTAACATATACCTGAGTTCAGCTTACATACACAAATATAACTATCATATCTTTACCCAGAAGGGAGACATATTTTTACTCTCATGGTCAGTCTCATGGCCATAAGTAAAGAAATGAGTCTCCTAATTGCATAAAGTTCACAAAGGATTATGACACTCAAGCATATCATATAAAGTCTGAGTGGTACACAAACTGTCATAACAGGGAACAGTAACCAGGTGCGATTGTGACTCTTGGATGCATGCCTAGCTGACACGATTGTCATTCCCTCACAAAAATATGATCTACAAATAAGGTACTAAATTGTTACAAAAAAGATCAGTTGAAGGTTGAAATTGTTTCTCTCATACACAAATCTGACCCACAGGTGGTTTGGTGATACATGATTCAGCACAACTGTGAGGCCGTGACTCCCCTACTGGAACACAATCTTCAAGTGGGACTGGGCATCTTATACATGGATCTTGCCCATTGTTGAGATTGGGACTCCTCTGCTTTGACACAACTCACAGGAGGTGTTGACTCCTCCTGTACGTACGTGAAGCCAGGACTTCTGTGACTGTGAAACATTTCTGAATATTTCCTACTGTGTGATTAGGACATAAAAGTTAGCCCAGCTCCTGAATAATTTGACTCTCTTCTTTAGGCCCATGACCACAGATGAAATTGTGATATACATGGACCATACACCTAAGCATAGGTGCCTGGGCCTGTAGACAAAGGGCACTTTTACATGTCACTGGGAACAGCTCCCAGGTAACGTGGATTATTTGCCTAATGCCTGCCTATGAAAAGCACTGTGGCTTATGTCTGGGTTCATCATGTAGTGATGTTACTCAATTCTACTGCCTTGGCCCTGCACTAACGGTGCATTGTGACACATAACTGGGTACTGCTCCCAACTGATGGGACTCTCCATTTTGGTTTCTGCCATCAGAAAGCTTTGTAACATGTAACTTGGCTCAGCACCTAGATGATGTTTCTCCTCTCTTGACCTGCCCTGACCACAGGGGAGATTGTGACACATTGCTAAATCCAGCGCCAAGTTAAGGTCACTTTCAAACTTTGGTCCTGCACATAGTGGCCATTGTGACATTTATCTATACCAATTGCCTAGGTGAAGTGAGTCTCCTCTCCTTTCTAAGCCAAGCCCAAAAGGGAAATTTTGATACATCGTTTAAACCAGCATTCAGGTGATGTGATGCTTCTTCCAGAAGTCTGCCCACAATAAAGATTGTGACAGCTCACTGGACCAGCACCCACCCAGGTGATGTGACCTTTTTGCTTGCTGTCTGCCCATGGGGATATTGTGCCATACAACTGAGACCAGATAAGAGGACTAATCATGACTCTTAAACCTGGAGCCAGGTTATATGCATGATGGTGGCTCCCACTCCTGGAACTTTCCACCAGTGTTATTGTGACATACACTTCTGCCCAGTTCCTGAGTAATTTAGTAATCTTGCCTAGGTATAGCGCACAATTGAGATTTGGACATATATCTCAGCTGAGCACTTTGGTGATTTGATTCTCCTGTCTTAACGTTATCCTCAGGCACGTTTGTAGCATGTCTCTGGATCCATCATCTAGGTTACCTCAGTCCCCTCTCCTGCCTGAATTCTGCTTCCACTGGGTATTGTAGCATTTTTAAACACTGCATTCAAATTATATGAATTTCTTGCCTGATCCTTTCAACAAGAGACATTATGACTTACCTCTGGACCTATCATTTACATGATATGACTCTCCTCTTTTCTGGACCACTGCCCACAAGGGGTGTTGTGCCATACAGTTGGGCATAGGCCCAAAGTTATGTGATTTTTCTTCTAGGAATTTGCCAAAAAGAATAATATTGGAAGATTTCTGCCTCAGCATTTAGATTATATGGCTCTCATGCCTGTTTCATTACCACGGTGTAAATTGTGACATATATCTAAGCACAGCTCACAGGCATGATAAGGACTCCCATATGTAGAACCCTCAAATAGGAGTAATTTTTAATCTCATAACTTGCTTTAGAGTTATTTAAGTGATTAAGTTTCTTTATGGTAAAAAGATTGCAGAAGATTGTAACAGCATAAGTGATTTTAAAAAGCCTTCATCTTGTACAGAGGGTGTCATAACAGGACCTATCACTAAGGTGAAATTGTGAGTCTCATATGAACACCCAGCTGACAGTTAAAGACTGTAACCATCTCATATATATAAAGCCAACTGTCACTGATAAAAATGGGACATATGTGGTATTGTTAGTCTCATCCTGGGAATTTTCTGCCAGTCTGACTGTGATATAAATCTTTTCCGAGCATCTGTGTGATTTGACTCTCCAGACCGGTTCCAGCCCAGTGATGTTATTTTGAAATCTATGAGGGCCAATCTCTAGGTGGTTTGACCCTTCTGCCTGGGCCCCACTCTCAGTAAGAATCAGCTGAGCCATGCCCACATAAATTATTGTGACACATCACTGTGTCAACCACTTAGGCGATATAACTCTCCTCAGAACGGGCCCTGAACACAGTTGGGGATAGTGACATATGGTTGAGCCACAAGTCACTATCCCCAGCAACCAGACAAGAATGTGACTCTCTATGCACACCTAGTTGATACAATTGTGATTCTCACGCATAAACAGGGCCTAGTAATGAGGTACTAAATCTCACACATAAAAGTCATCAAAGATTGAAATCATTACTCTCATACGGGGATTAGATTCACAGGTGTTTTGGCAACATTTGAACCATGATTCAGCATGCCTGCGGTGCTGTGACTCCCCTACTGGAACACAATCTTCCAATGGGACTGGAGCTCCTATACATGGATCTTGACCATTGTTGAGATTTTGACTCCTCTACTTCCACCAAACTCATAGAAAGAGTTGACGACTTACATACAGGAAACGAGAACTTATGTGGAATGCGAAACTTATTTGCAAACTTTTCTGAGCGTGTGATTGGGTCAGGTAACTTTTCCCAGCACATGAATGATTTGACTCTTTTTCTAGGCCCAGACCACAGATAAAATTGCGCCATAAGTATAACAAACACCTTTGCAATATATAACATCTACCATGTTTCTCCTACAAAGGGCACTTTTATTTATCACTCGTATCGTCACCCTGGTGATGTGAATTATCTGCCTAAAACATGGCTACAAAGGGAATTGTGTTTTATAACTAGGTCCATCACATAAGTGATGTGACTCCCTTCTACTCCTTTAGCCCTGCACTTACAATGCATTGTGACACATAACTGCATCCAGGTGATGTGATTCTTTTTGGGGGATTCTGCCAACAGAAAGCATTGAAACATAACGCTTGGCTGAGCACCTAGGTGACGTTGGTTCACTTTTCCTGTACCCTAACCACATGGAGATTGTGACATATTGCTGGTCCCAGCACCAATGTGAGGTCACTCTCCAGCTTTTGTACTGCACAGAACAGACATTGTGACATAAATCTAGGCCAATTGCCTAGGTGAAGTAAGTCTCTTTCTTGTCAAAGTCTTGCCTACACACAAAGTTTTCATATGTCACTGAAATCAGCATTCAGGTGATGTGACCCTTCAGCCAGTGTCCTGTCCACAAAGTAAGTTGTGATATCACACTGGAGCCAAACCCTCATAGGTTATGTGAATTTCTTGCTTTCCTTCTGGCCAGGTAATATTGTGCCATATACCACAAACCATAGCAAAAGTCTAATAACAACTCATATGAGTGGAGCCAGGACATATGCAGGATGGTGACCCTTATTCTTAAGCCTTTCCACAAGTGTAATTGTGTCTTATACCTTTGTCCAGCTCCTAAGTGATTTAATAATTCTGCATAGGTATAGCCCAAAAACAATAGTCTCATAAGTACCTGAGCCAAGTAACTTGGTGATTTGACTGTGCTATCTTAACAATGTCCTCAAGGGGATTTGTAACATATTTCTGGACCCATCATCTAGGTTGCATAACTCTCCTCTCCTGCCTGTACCTGGCTTCCTTTAGTAATTGTAGCATTTCCAAACACTGCATCCAAATGATATAAATCTCTTGCCTGGGCTCTGTCACAGGAAGCACTGTGACATATTTTTGGGCCCATCATTTTGGTGATATGACTCTCCTCTCCTGCCTGGAGACTGCCCACAAGAAACATTGTGACACAGAGCTGAACTGAGCACACAAATATATGATATTTGTGACAGAACCCTGCCTACAAAAAGAATACTGGAATATTTCTGGCCCAGCATTTAGGTGATGTGCCTGTTCTGCCTGTTTCATAACCGCAGAGGGAATTAAATCCTATATCTAGGCATGGCTAACAGGAATGATAATGACTGTCGTATGTGGACTCAGGCAATAGAGGCTATTTTGACTTTTATAACTAGATAACTAGTTTTAGGGACATGACTGATACCGTGGACCATCTTTTATACAAAGGTTGCAAAAGATTACAACACTCACACATATTTTACCAAGTCTTTGGGTTATACAGAGGGAGTCAAAGCCGGGCTCAGCACACAGGTAAAATTGTGAGTCTTGTACTCACACCCAGCTGACAGTAAGAATTATCATTACCTCACATGGATGAAGTCAATTGTCAAAGATGAAAATAAGAAATGATTGGTATTTAAAATCTCACCTTTGGAATTTTCTGACAGTGTGATTGTGATATAAATTATTGCCAAGCACTTGTGTAATCTGACTCTCTAGACTTGTTTCAGCTCATATATGGGATTGTGATATCTACTTACGCCAGCCTCAAGGTGGTGTGACTCTCCTGCCAGGGCCCTTCTCTCCGTAAGGATTGTCTTATCACTGGATCTAGCACCCAGGTGATGTTACATTTTTGCCTGTGCCATGCCCACCAAAATTATTAGGACATATCCCTGTATTCGCCTCATAGGTTATATAACTCTCCTGTCTGGAATGGGCCCTGCACAAAGGAAATATAGAGACATATTGCAAGGCCAGGCACACAGGCAAGAGAACTATTTTGCCACAGCCATGCCCAAAGAAGGGAATCATGACATATCTCTGGGCCTGCTACCTAGGCTATGTGGGGCTCTTGTTGGGGTCCTGTCAACCTGGAGTGTGACATATTTCTAGGCAAGGCACACAGGTGATGGTACTCTTTTGCCAGGGCTATGTTCCATAGAGGATATTGTGACACATCTCTGGGCCTATCACCTAGGAGATGTGAGTCCCTCCTTGGACCCTACCCACATGGAGCATTGTGACATGAGCAGAGGACCTTCAATTAGTTGATGAAACTCTCTTTGCTGGGTGCTATGTGAAGAGATCCTTATGAAATACCTCAGAACCCAGCACTCAAGTGATGTGGACCTTCTGCCTGCATGCTGCTCTCATGTTCCACTGTGACATATTCCTAGGGCAGCATCTAGGTGATATGACTCTCCACATCTGCCTGAGCCCTGACTACTTGGGACACCTTGCAATATCTCTGAGCCCTTGACCTAAGTGATGTGGCTCTTTTGTTGCCTGGGCCTTCACGATAGGTGGATTTTGGCATATTGCTAAGCCCAGCACTCAAAACATGTAACTCTCCTATTTTTCCTGAATTATACCCACAAAGAAGAAATTTTGACCTACTGAATGGCTCAACACCAAGGTGATTTTTCGCTTCTTCCTGGATTATGCATAAAGAGGAAATTATGGCATATTGCATATTGCTAGGCCCAGCACCCTTATGACTGTGACTCTCCTGCCCATGCTGGAGCCACCGAATATACCTTGACATGTCTTGGGCCCATTATGTAGGGGTTTTGGCTCTCATAACTTGGTTTGGTATTTTCCACATGTGAAATGTTGTCCAATGCTTGGTCCAGCACCAGGTTAATGTGACCCAAATTTTTATACCCTGCCTAGAGAAGGCATTGCGACATATTGCTTGGTACATGATCTATGTAATGTTACCCTCCTGTCTTGTTTTTTGCCCACATGTGGAATTATGACATATACCTTGCTTTAGTTCACAGGCACAAAGATCAAACTTATATTGGGATACAGCCAATAGGAGATATTTTTCCTCTCATTGTTTGGCTTAAGGCAATATTTAAGGTCCTGGGTTGCATATTTGTACTAACACACATAAGCTTACAACACTAACTTATATTGTTTAAACTCTTTGGTGGTAAAGAGTTTCATAACAGGGACCAGCAAAAGGTTCAGAATGGGACTCTTGGTTACACACCCAGGTGCAATTAAGAGTTGTCACCATTCCATATTTATAATTCCCACTATTGAGGTCCTGAGTCTAACAAAAGAATACAGTACACAGTTAAAATTGTGACATTTATATGTGGCTTTGGCCACAGGGGAGATGGTGATTCATTTCTGGACCCAGCCCACAGGCATAATAATGAGTCTTCTCCCTTAACCCTGCCTATAGATGTCGACTATCAAACGTGGTTTAGAGCAATATGCAAGATTGTGAGTCCATAGGAGCAGGCAGGCCACAGAGAGGTTTGCAACTCTCATACAGGTTTCATAAAGCCCTCGAATATTGTAGAGAAAGTTATATATTGTCTGAGCATACATGTGAGATTGTGACTCTAATATACATGCTCAGCTAAATGTTAACAATGTCATCCTCAAAGATGATGGGATTGTGTCATATCACTGGGCCTAGTACCCTGGTGTTGAGACTTTTTGTCTCAAATCCCTTTCTGTGGGTGCATTGTTACATATCGATGGGTTAGAATCATAATAATTTGACTCCTCTGCCTGGGCCCTGTAAACAGGGAATATTATCACATATCTCTGGGTCTATCAGCTAGGTGATGTGTCTCTCCAGTCTGTGCTTTGCTCCCAGAGGACAGTTTTAAATATCACTGAAACTAGCGTCTATGTAATGTAACTCTTCTCTCCTGCCTGGGTCCTGCTTACCAAAGGAATTGTGACATATGGCTGAATGTAAAACCTAGGTGGTATGCCTGTACTCTCTCTTCAACAGTTTATATCTGTGCTGCATTCTGTTTTATTACTTTGGTGCTCTATTTTTATACCAGTACCAGAGTGCTTTGATTACGACAGGTTTGTTTTGTGTTTGGAAATTGTTAAGTATAATGCTTCCAATATTTTAATTCTTTTTAAAGATTGCCAGGCTTTTCATGGTGCCTTGAGATCTTACATAACTTTGTGGGGTTTTTTTCTATTTTTGCAAAAGTATAATTGAAAATTGAAACAGGCTGTGTTGAATGTGTTGGTCACTTTAAACAGCATGGGTATCTTCACAATATTAGGTCTTCCAACCATTGAAAAAGAGCGTAATAAAAAGTGTGTTGTAGCTGGGGGTAGTGGCTCATGCCTCTAACCCAGAACTTTGAGAGGCCAGGAGGATGCATGGCTAGTTCAGGAGATCGAGATCATCCTAGCCAACATGGTGAAGCCCCGTCTCTGCTAAAATACATAAAATTAGCTGGGTGAGGTGGTGCATGCCTGTAATCCCAGCTACTCAGAGACTGAGGCAGAAGAATCGCTTGAACCCGGAGGTGGAGGTTGCAGTGAGCTGATATTGCACGACTGCGCTTCAGCCTAGTGAAAGAGATACTCCATCTCAAAACAAAACAAAACAGGAAATTGTGTTGCTTAATCTTTATAAGTTTTGAATTTTTCAGCTTTTCTTCTGTTACTGATTCCTAGTTTCATTCCATTTGGGCTGTAAATAATTGTAAAATTTTAGTTAAAAAATTATTAAGGCTTCTGTTGTGGTGTCACATGTGGTCCATCTAGAAAAATGTTTTCTGAGGTATTGAAAAGAATGTGATTCTGTTGTCTGCATACATTTGTTAGGTGTAACTATTGTGTAATGCATTCAGGTTTTTTGTTCCCTCGTTGATAGTCTCTCATTATTTATTTACTACTGAAAGTGAAATATTGATGTATTTCCATTATTATATGGTTGTCTATTTTTTCTTCAATTCTGTCAATGTTTGCTTTATGTGTTTGGGAAAATTGTCATATATTTATAAGTTATTAGTGAATAAACCCTCTTACTATAATTGAATGTCCTACTTTGTCTCTTGTTAATTTTCACATAAAGTAAATTATATGAAATATGGTAGTTTTCATCTTAAGGAATTGTTGCCTCTTCTCCTCTCATTTGGTTAACACTTGCATGAAATGTATTTTTATCCTGTGATTTTCAGTCTTTTAAAATTAGATATGAAATGAGTCTTTTGAAGACATGACATAGTTAGATGTTCTTATAGATAGTGATAGAGGTCTTTTTTTTTTTCATTTTGAAGGATACTTTTGCAAAATATAGTATTCTTGTTTAGAACTTTTTTTTTTCAGCGTTTTACCAATGTCATCCTACCCGCTTCTTGCTTGAAAGATTTATGTTCATAAATTTACTGGTAATTTTGCAGAAGTGTGAATATAAATAATACATTTGTTTTTTTTTCTTTCTGCATTCTTCATTCTCTTTTATGTGACTTCCAAAACGTTGCTTAACTTGTGTCTTGTTGTAAATCTCTTAATGTTAATTTTATTTGAAATTTGCTGAGCTTATTGATCTTCTCATTTTTTTTTTACTAATGGTGAAGTACATATTAGTCTTTTTCTGTATTTCCACTCCACAATTTTTATTTCTTTTTGTGCTTTTTATTTTTTGTTGGTTTAATTTTTGTTATTTCATTTATTTCCTTTTTCTTAATTTATTTATTTCCATTTTACTCACGGAGCATCACTAAATCGGCAATGTTAATTTTTAAGGGTAATTAATTTTTTTAAGAATATATCTAGACTATAACTCATATTGTCTCTGTTAATTTTTACCTCCCCGTTTTTTAATAATTGATTTCTGGATATTTATTTTTATCTTTGATTGAGCCATATTATCTTGATGTTTCATATATGTTGTAATCTTAGGTTGCAATTTGTATAATAAAATGTGACATGTCAAAATCTGTATTAAGTTTCTTTTGTCTGGGGGAATAAAATACACATTTTTTAGGCTAGATATTCTTCGGTCTCTAAAGCTTATTCTGTAAATGTTTTCTCTGGGCTTGTGTGTTTTTTAGTTTAAAAGGTTTTCCCATATTTTTCTTTTTTCTTTTCTTTTCTTCTTTTCCTTCCTTCCTTCTTCTCTCTTTCTTTCTTTCTCTCTGTTTCTTTCTTTCCTTCCTTCCTTCCTTCCTACCTTCTTTCCTTTTCCTTCCTTCCTGCCTTCTTTCTTTCTTTCTTTCTTTTATTCTTCTTCTTCTTCTTCTTAATATTATTATTATTAATTATTATTATTATTATACTTTAAGTTTTAGGGTACCTGTGCACAACGTGCAGGTTTGTTACATATGTATACATGTGCCATGTTTGTGTGCTGCACCCATTAACTCGTCATTTAGCATTAGGTATATCTCCTAATGCTATCCCTCCCCCTCCCCCTCCCCCCACCCCACAACCGTCCCCAGTGTGTGATGATCCCCTTCCTGTGTCCAAGTGTTCTCGTTGTTCAATTCCCACCAGTGATTGAGAACGTGGGGTGTTTGGTTTTTTGTCCTTGCGATAGTTTGCTGAGAACGATGGTTTCCAGTTTCATCCATGTCCCTACAAAGGACATGAACTTATCATTTTTTATGGCTGCATAGTATTCCATGGTGTATATGTGCCACATTTTCTTAATCCAGTCTATCGTTGTTGGACATTTAGGTTGGTTCCAAGTCTTTGCTATTGTGAATAGTGCCGCTATAAACATACATGTGCATGTGTCTTTATAGCAGCATGATTTATAATCCTTTGGGTATATACCCAGTAATGGGATGGCTAGGTCAAATGGTATTTCTTTCTGTTTTGAGTGGGAGCTTCACTGTTGTTACCCAGGCTGGAGTACAATGGCACAATCTTGGCTCACTGCAACCTCCAGCTCCTGGGTTCAAGCAATTCGCCATCCTCAGCCTCCTGAATAGCAGGAATTACAGGAGCCTGCCACCACACCCAGCTAACTTTTGTATTTTTAGTAGAGACAAGGTTTCACCATGTTGACCTGGCTTGTCTTGAACTTCTCACCTCTGGTGATATGCCTGTTTCAGGCTCCCAAATTGCTGATATTACAGGTGCGAGCAACCGCTCCCGGCATTCTCCATGTTTCTTATTGAGATCCTATAGTCAGTTGCTATACCCCTTTTCTGCCTTCACTTGTAACAGTCATTTAACTTTGGTCTCAGCTATCCAAAACTGTCAGTTACCAACTTTCCTTTCAACACTGCCATGGAATATAGAAATTAGTTTATTGTAAGGTCTCAAAAACCCAGAAGCATGGACACAGGTGTCACTATTTTATTTATTATTGGACGGTGGAGACAGGAGTTGGGAGTCGATATTTAAAGTCATCATAGGATGAAGAATGGCTTTCGTGGGTAAACGCAAAATACTTTTATTAAACCACTATGTGGTTTTTTGCATTTTGCTCCCTTCGGGTGCTGCAAATTTTTACCTGGTTATTAGACTTCTCACAAAGGCATTTTGATCGGTGTATTTCTGTTAAGTTTAAATTTGTATTAAGGAATTAGAGCCTGTGATATTTTATTGTCACCTTGTTAATGTGCTTTGTTTAATTATATATTTGTAAGTTGTATTCACCTGAGTCTAATGAGGGAGAGATTTATAGTCCTTTTATTTTCTTAGCTTTCTCTTTTTATTTTACTGTAGAGCTATTGCTGGAGTATGACATAAAAGAATCATTTCAAAAAGTGATCCTGAGAAAATATGGTAGCTGTGACCTTAATGGTTTATATTTAAGGAAAGACTACCAAAGTGTGGGTAATTCCCATGTGCAGAAAGCAGTTATGATGGGCTTTATCAATGTTTGTTAATTACCCTTAGCAAAACCTGTCAACCTAATAAATAAGGCAAAGCTTTTGAGTTGTGCTCAAACTTCACTGAACATAAAAAAAGTTTTGGTGGAGACAAGTGCTGAAAATGTGAAGAATGTGGCAAAGACCGTAGGTTGTTCTCAGATTTTACTATAAAAAAGAGAATTCCTACGGCAGAGAGATGGTACAAATGTGAAGAATGTGTCAAAGCCTTCAATATTTCTCAAACCTTGCCGAACATAAATTTGAGTTTAAAATGAAGAGAAACCCTACAAATGTAAAGAATGAGACAAAACTTTTTCCTGATGCTCAACCCTTATTAAACACAAGAGAAATTATACTGGAGACAGACCCTACAGATGTGAAGAATGTGGCAAATCCTTTAAGTGCTTCTCAGACCTTACTAATTATAAGAGAATTCATACTGCTGAGAAATCCTACAAATGTGAAGAATGTAACAAAGCCTATAGGTAGTTCTCAGACCTTCATAAACATAAGATAATTCATACCGCAGAGAAAACCTACAAAGGTGAAGAATGTAATAAACCCTATAGGTGGTTCTCAGACCTTAGTAAACATAAGACAATTCATACTAGAGAGTCATACTCTACAAATGTAATGCACATGGAAGAGCTATTATGTAGTTCTTTGTCCTTAGTAAACATAAAATAGTTCATACTGGAGAGAAACCCCACATCCATGAAGAATGTGGCAAAGCCTTTACCCGCTCCTCAACCCTTATTAACCACAAGAGAATTCGTATGGAAGAGAGACCTTACAAATACAAAGAATGTGGCAAAACCTTTAAGTGCTTCTCAGACCTTACTAGTCATAAGACAATTCACACTGGTGAGAAACCCCACAAATGTGAAGAATGTGGCAAAGCATTGAGCTCATTCTCACACCTCATCAGACATAAGATAACTCATATAGAGAGAAGCTCCACAAGTGTTCAAAATGTGGAAAAGCCTTCAATAAGTCCTCATTTTGGGTTCAACATCAGAGACTTTATACTGAACCAATACGGTATAAAGTTAATGACTGTTTAAGAACATTTAACTTATGGTCTTGGAGAGTCTCTAGGAAGTTGCTTCATAATCTGAGTGCTTTTTTGTTGGGTACATATATAAGTGTTTACTATTATGTAATGCCATTCTTTGTCTTTTTTAAAACCTATGTTGACATAAAGTCTGTTTTGCCAGAAACTAGGATTGCAGCCCCTACTTTTTTTCTGTTTTCTATTTGCTTGGTAGATTTTTCTTTTTTCCTTTTTTCGAGCTTATTTGAGATGGGTGTCTTGATTATAGCACATCATTAGATATTGATATTTTATTCAGCTTGCCACTCTGTTTTGTAATTGGGGAACTTAGCCCATTTTCATTTAAGGTTAGTATTCATATGTATGGATTTGATTCTGTCACTATGATCTCAGCTGGCTATTTTGCACATTTATGTGGTTGCTTTATAGTGTCATCAATTTATGATTTTTAGTGTGTTTTTGTAGTGACTGTTATAGTCTTTTTCTTATTTAATGTTTTCTTTAGAAGCTCTTGTAAGTCAGGTCTGTGCTAAAAGATTTCCTCAGCATTTGCATATCTGAATAGGATCACATTTATTTTTCACTTCTGAAGCTTACTTTGGTTGGATATAAATTTTTGATTTGGAATTCTTTTTTTAAGAATGTTGAATATTGGTCCCTAATCTCTTTTGACATGTAGCATTTCAACTGAAAGGTTTGTTGTTTGCCTGATGGCCTTCTTTTAGAGGTGACCTGTCTTTTTAGTCTAGCTGCCTTTAATACATTTTTTTTCTTTCATTTTGACCTTGGAGAATCTCATGATTACGTGTCTTGAAAATGACCTTCTTGTGAGGTATCTTACTGGGATTTTCCCCATTTCCTGCATGTGAATGTTTGCCTCTCTATATAGGCTGGGAAAGCTCTCTTGAATGATATCTGAAAATAAGTATTTCAAGTTGTTTTTATTCTCCCCATCACTTTCAGGCACTCTTTTTAATCATAGATTTGGTTTCATTACATAATCCCATATTTCTTAGAGGTTTTGTTTATTCCTCTTTTTTTTTTTTTTCACTCATCTTGTCTGTCTTATTTAAGAAAGCCAGTATTGAAGCTCTGAGATTCTTTCCTCTACTTGGCCTATTCTGCTGTTAATACTTGTGATTACATTACAAAGTTTTCATATTGTGTTTTTTCAGCTCTATCAGATTGGTCACATTTTCCTCCTCATTGGCAATTTTTTCTATCCATTCCTGCAATTTTTTTCCCTTCATTGCATTGGGTTGCAACTCCATTTGTAGCTCAATGAAGTTTATTCATTTCCGTATTCTGAATTATACTTCTGTCATCTTAGGCCTCGGTGGAAATGTAATTTTTTCATTTGGATGAGAGATGTCACTGTGGCTTTTTGTGTTTTCAACATTTTTGCACTGATTTTGTCTAATCTTTGTGCGTGTATCTTTGAGATTGCTGACCTTTGAATGGGGTTTTGGGTTTGTTTGTTTGTTTTTTTTTTTTTTTTGATCCTATTTAATGGTCTTGAATATTTGATGTGGAATAAGGTGTTTGCAACTAACAGGCTTTGTTCCTGGGAGATTTTTTTTTTTTTTTTTTTTTTTTTGGTGGTGGAGCGGCTATGCTCAGCTCACTGCTCGGAGGCTTCATACTCTTAGGAACCTGTATTGAGCTCCAGCTGTCTTCTCTGGCTCCTTGATATTTAGAGTCCACCACTCTTTGTGACTAATGTGTCACAGCTTCAGAAGAGTGTTAGTGGATATGGGGTTTCTGCCTGTCTTTGGGCATTCACCTCAGTGACAGGAACAAAGCAGCTAAGAGGGGAGTAGGCTGTATCTGCTGGAGACTGTGTGTGCTGTTGCACTAAAGTCTTATTTGTGGCCCCTCATGAAGTTCTAATTGTTCAGAGTGTGGGAGGATACACTGCTCACCACACAGTGTTAGCAGAAAAGCAGGGGTGAGGCTTTCTGGTTCTCTACCCACCAGAGCTTTATCTACAGTAGAAGTTGCTGAGGGTGGCAGAGGCATACTGCATTCCCACTTGCTGGTGGGGCAAGCAAAGCCAAACCCACCTTTGCAGACATATGCCAGGAAAGTAATATGGAGAGTTGCCGTGGTATCAGGGGAAGCTGCAGTATGAGGAAGATACATGTGGGCTGCAGAATGGGGAAGATACATGTAAGCTGCAGTGATAGGGTCTGCCTTGCTGTAGTTCTTCAGGGGTCAGGCATGGATTACCATTGCCGATGCTGTGGTATTATCTTCCAGGGTAACTGAGACTGCCCTGTAAGCAACTGTAGCTAGACTGGGACCCTGGGAGAGGCCCGAAGACCAAGGAGTGCTCGGTTGGACCACCCCTTCTGATTTGCAACATTATCCTGTAGAAATTAGTTCCCCTCAGGCTAAAGTCTCTTATGGGAGCAAGTTTAGTCTATAGAAATGGCCATCACTGGCCTTATTTTACTATAGATGCTCTTGCACCAAACCCTCTGGAAACCATATGAGCTGGCTTACTGCCCCACCTCTTTGCTGGTCTTCTGGGGGGCTGCACTTGAGAGAGATGTAGGTCATCAATCCCTCGGTGCAGTCAGCCCTGGATGGAAAATATGTGCTTTCAGCCAAGTTAGGGGCTCACTGTCTGGTGAGGAGCACTGGGGAGTTTGTGAGCCCCATGGAGGATGGTCTAACCTCCTCTCCTTGGGCATAATGCAGCTCGTTTGAGGTGTGAATAAGGCAATTAGGGTTTGGGATATTTCATTAGTTTGAGGGTAGCAGGGACAGCTCTTCTGCACAGGCAATGATGAAATATATTCAGTTGCCCCTGGAAGCTGTGTCCATGGAGTTCCTAAGTTTTTGCTGGCTCAATAGCTCTGGCAATGATTGGCTAGTGGCCCAGGCCTGGAGGACCTGCCCACTGAGAATATATAAGAACAGGAACACATGTAACAGTCTGACCCCTTTTGTGAAAAGCTGCTGCATCTGCAATACGCTGGGTGTCCACTACAGTATCTAGTCACCTCAGATTTTCCGGTACCTGAAGTTATCACCAGTGAATGTGCAAAAAAAGCAACAATGGCACATGCCTTTTTCTCTGGGAGCTCCATCCCAGGGAGGTATAGACCTGTTTTCAGCCCAAAAGCACTTGTAGGAAGTAGCCAGAAATGCCTGTGGAAAGGTCTTCCCCAGTGAAAAGAAAATGACTGGGGATCCACTTAAGAAAGCAGCCTACTGGGTGCAGCAGCTCTTGCCTGTAGTCTCAGCACTTTGGGAGGCTGAGGTGGGCGGATCAACCTGAGGTCCGGAGTTGGAGACCAGCCTGAACCAACATGGTGAAACCCCATCTCTACTAAAAATACAAAATTAGCCAGGTGTGTTTGTGTATGCCTGTAATCCCAGCTAGTCTGGAGGCTGAGGCAGGAGAATCATTTGGACTCAAGAGGCAAAGGTTGTGGTGATCTGAGATTGCTTTATTGCATTCCAGCCTGGGCAACAAAAGTGACACTCTGTCTCAAGAAAGAAGGAAGGAAGGAAGGAAGGAAGGAAGGAAGGAAGGAAGGAAGGAAGGAGAGAAAGAAAGAAAGACAAAGAAAGAAAGAAAGAAAGAAAGAAAGAAAGAAAGAAAGAAAGAAAGAAAGAAAGAAAGAAAGAGAGAAAGAAAGAAAGAAAGAGAAAGAGAGAGAGAAAGAGAGAAAATGAAAGAAAAAGAAGGAAGGAAGGAAGGAAGGAAGGAAGAAAGAAAGAAAGAAAGAAAGAAAGAAAGAAAGAAAGAAAGAAAGAAATAAAAGAAAAGAAAGAAAGAAAGAAGGAAGGAAGGAAAGAGAAAGAAAGAAAGGAAGAAAGGAAGGAAGGAAGGAAGGAAGGAAGGAAGGAAGGAAGGAAGGAAGCACTGTAACCATCTTTTGTAGAACAGGTCTGCTGTGCAGAGGTACCACTTCCATCCAGTTTATTTGGATTCTCCAAAGCCAGAAGGATGGAACAGGTAAGTGACACAAACAGGAAAAATGGCAGCTCACTCTTTGCTCTAGGAACTGTAGCCCAAAAAGTTTTCAAAATTCCATCAACCAAAGAGTACCAGTGGTGTTAGCTGGAGAAACTCATCAGGAAGTACTTTCCAGTGAGGAAGAAGGAGATTGGGGACCTGCTTTAACAGGCAGTCTGGCCATGTCTTTCTAGAGCACCTGTACTATGCTTTGTGATTCTAGTCAGCTTGGGCTCTTCAAAGCCTGAAGGCTGAAATGGCTAAGTTTCCCAGGCAGCAAAGATGACGGCCCACTCCTCTTTCTGGTAGTTCCATCCCAGGGAGATGCAGTGCTGCTACCAATGGTTGGCTGGAATTCTAAGCCAGTACATCTTACCCTGTGAGGCACTGAGAAAATGCGTCCTACAGACCATCAATGCTAAGCGCCCTGAATTCTGCCTTTTTCCTATGGATATGTTCAAGATTGTAACCTCCTGCTTTGCTGGAGTTCCAGCGAATTTTTCTGGGAAGGCTGGAAAGTCAGCGAATCTAAGGCTCTTGAATCACTGCAGTCTTGAGTGGCTGCTCTGCTGAGACTCCCTGTAGCTATGTGCATTATACAAAAGGCCCCGGTGAAGTGGGTTTATTAGGGGATCACCTTACCTGAGGGTTGCAAAGATCTGTGGAAGAATCATGGGTTCCCAGGATCATGCATTCACTTACTGCCTTACTGGCTGTGAAGGTGTCCCTGGCTCCATGTTGCTTTCAGGTGTCCCGGTGTCCTGCCTTGCTTTACTCCATTCTCCTTATGTTAAGTTGCTTCTTTGATTAGTCTCAATGCAAGTACCTGGTGTTTCAGCTGAACGTCACGTATTTATGCACACCTTGCATTCCTGTCTATGAGAACTACAGAGTCTAGCTGCCTCTTTCTAGTCAGCAATCTTGATCACCTTCCTCTAAAAGGAATATACTTTTTATATTAAAAGAATTTAATATTTTTTGAGAACATATATTTTCAAAAGCAAATATTGATGTAATTCATCTCTTACCTTTGGTGATATATCTTTATTTCTAGAATTTATGTGAAAGAGCATGGTCAATAGCTGCTGCACCAGAGTTATGAGAGGTTCTTCTATATTACAAGGACAGATTTATACACTTTTCCATGGAAGATTAAGAAAACAGAAATCTAAGATACCTGAAGAATTTCTATGTACAAAGGCAACTTAGTTGTTGGTTTACGACAGTATCATAAATGACAGGATGATAGGAGTGGAGTAAGGGCAACATTCTGCATAGTGAGAGAAACAATTTGATTTTTAGTTGGACATTGCTTTACCATTTGCAAATTAAGGTAATTGGAATAAAGTGAATTCCAAAATGCCTTTTTAATGAAAATGCGTGGACTTAATTTCTTTTAGTAAATCAATATTGTTATTTTGTTAAAGCTATTTGACATTGAATGTGTATCTTGCAACTGATGATAAGTTATCCCATCTTAACCAAGGCTGTAGGTAACTGATGGTAACAATATACTACTGAGAGACAGTGGAATAACATCTGTAGTGATTCCTTTGTCAGTGGTTTTTAAAATGAAATAATTTGGAAAGTGTGGTTTTTACAACTTACATTTTTTTTCCTTGTAACTACAGGTTATTATGATGGTTGTAATGAAGATCATATTAGTATAACGGAGCTCTATGTTTCTGAATACTGAACAACTATTTATAAAATTTGATCCTACTTTTTCTCTATTAAAGGTATGACTGCTCTGCTCTGATAAACACACACAGACCTTTAGTTTTGATTTACATGAATTTAAATATAAGAAATATATTACTGTAAAATAAACTCTAGGTATGTAACAAACTTCTAGAAAATAATCATATTTATTTATGGTTGGTTACATTGAGAAGAAAATAAAAATATTAAAATGAAACAAATCCTTTTACAAGTGTTGACATCTTACCAGCAAGCCAGAAACTTCAAAGATTTTCAAAGCAAATCTATTTTCTCTGCTTTGTATTAAGCTCCTTGATTTAAAATGTGATTGCTAGTGGCTTAGAATCATCTTCTGCAAATTTTTCTTTTTTTGTAGGTTAGCCTGTTGCTCACCCTAGACATAATATATAATTTTCTTTTCATCAAAGTTCATAACACTTTCTTTGGACTGTGCTTGGTGGCTCATGCCTGAAATCCCAGCACTTTGAGTGGCTGAAGCAGGTGGATCTCCAGAGATCAGGAGTTTCAGACCGGCCTGGCCAACACGGTGAAATGCTGTCTTTACTAAAAATACAAAAATTAGGTGGGCATGATGGCGGGCTCCTGTAATCCCAGCTACTCAGGAGGCTGAGGCAGGAGAATCACTTTAACCCAGGGGATGAACATTACAGTGAGCCAAGATGGTGCCATTGCACTCCAGCCTGAGCAACAAAGCAAAACTTCATCTCAAAACAAACAAACAAGTGAAAAGACATTCTCTGTACAATCCCCTCAGAAATTATGAAAGTGACTTTGATAAAATGTAACGCTATTCGGAAAATAATTTTTACATGTGAGTAATTTTACAGTGCATGTATGGTATGCTATTTATTTAGTACATTTTGTATTTTTTCAATTTCAGAATTCTATTTAATCCAATTTTTTTGTTTACTTATTGACTATTTTACTCTATAAAGTTGACAGAATTGAGTTTATTAATTTTATTGGGCCAATATATTTAAGTAAACAATAGAACGTTTAGTAAGTCATGAGGTCTTTTTGACATACACATGAAGTAAACAAATACAATACTAGGTATGTAATGGAAGCTATGTAATTAGAAATAAATATTCCTTTTAAAATTAGCCTGTGGTCTCAAGTGAGAAATTTAAAATATCTATAGTAAATAAATGACATTAATTCTGCATACGAGGAGAGCATAATTGTAACCAATGCTGCACTAGTGAATCTCACAATTGAAACAAGATTAAGAGATGGACATTTTAGCAAAACTAAGTGAAAACGTTGTAAAATTTTCAGATTATGTTTCTGCATTTAAACATTTAGTGAGAGAAGTAGTGCACAAGTCTATCCAGTCAAACTTGAAATGGCTGACACATGTTAACCGTATTCACCCCAGGTATTGACACCTAAAATGCCCTGAACTCTTTTCATTTAGATTAACAAAGTATTGTTTTTGTCTTCGTCCTCTAAATTCTGGCTTAGACAGAATTATCCAGCCATTTCATGTAGATTTGATTCTAGATTATTTATTTATTTATTTATTTACTTACTTACTTACTTACTTACTTTTTGAGATAGAGTCTCACTCTGTCACCCAGACTGCAGTGCAGTGGCATGATCTTGGCTCACTGCAACCTCCACCTCCCAGGTTCAAGTGCTTCTCCTGCATCAGCCTCCTTAGTAGCTGGGACTACAGGTGTGTGTCATCACGCCTGGCTAATTTTTTATATGTTTTAGCAGAGGCTGAGTTTTACCATGTTAGCCAGGAGGGTCTAGATATTTTGACCTTATGATCTTCCCTCTTTGATCTCCCAAAGTGCTGGGAGTACAGGCATGAGCCACCATGCCCTACTGGATTCTAGATCTTGACACAGCACATTTTCAACTTAATGTTTCTGCAGATAGAAAAGCTGTGTAATATGGAAGAACAAAACCAAACATTTATTACAGTTCAAGGAGATTTTGTTTGTGCCCTGCTGTCCTGGATTCTCAGAAGTGTAGGGCTGGCAGACATTACTGGAAGGCAGAAGTGGGAAACAAGCCTAAATGAGAATTCCGTGTGCGTCAAGTTTGTCTTCTTAGGAACTGGAAGGATCAGCCTTCAATTCTGGGTAGATTACGGGCAGTTGGGGGGGTATATAAAGAGTGGTTACGTTCCATCAGGTTCTAAGTCAATCCACCTTCTGCAAGTAGTAAAACCCAGTAAAATTAGTATTTGTTTGAAATATGAATTGGGTGATTTTTAAAAATAATACACATAATAGGTTTGCTCTGTATATTTTTTAATGATTCTTTCACAAGAGCTCTTTAGCCTTATTTCTTTACTCAAGCAGATTCTGAATGTCATAAAATCTGCTTATTATCAGATACTGAAAGATAAAGCAAAGAATCTTTTTAATTTTTTGTGGGAAATTTAGCCTGTAAATTTAATCTCCTTTGTATAATCTTTAAGTTTTACTGTGGAAGACTAGATTTAGGTTTACTAAGTTTTTGGCAACTATAAAAGCATATTCATAATGTAACTTTTAAAGATACTATGAATATCAATTTTCAAGTGCGTTGATTTCTTTTTTTACTTGAGAAAGATAAGCTATTTGAGAATTATATTACCCAACATGTCCAAAAAATGTTTTTAATTTGCCTATTTAAAAAAATCTGTTGATTTTGAATTGCATACCAAGATAACCTTATTTTAAGATTGAGGATAAGATGAAAAATAATTTATGTAAATAACATAAACTAAGTTTACTGAAATTATTTACTTATTTAAGAAACTTGATTAAATTTTAAATAAATTGCTGTCACCTATCAGCATTTGTGCAGCATTTTTTTTAAGATTTGGTGTCTAAAACAGGTAACGATTTGGACAAAGAAGAAAAGAAAAATTCAATGATTGGTATAACAATAAATTTCAGAAAATAAAAGCTCTGTATGATGATGTAATTAAAATAATGTAAAGGATAAAAATTTTAATATTTGTTTTTACAGATTATTTGGCAAAATCAACCCTGAGACAGCAATGTGTAGAAAATACTACTAATTATGTTTTTGAGAATCTTATGGACTTTGGCACTTTGAGAACCTTCACTATAGGCCCAGGATTCCCTAGGCATTTGTTCCAGGAGAATATCTTATGGAAATGAAGCAGAAGGCCATGACCACAAAGATAAACGGATGCTCATCTAGAGACACGTAGGTGCAGGTTGCAGAAACAGTAGGCTTTTCTTGGTGGTCCAGGAAGGGGCTATTCCCACCATCCTAGAAAAGGGGCCTGGAACTCCATTGAGCCCTCTCTCCTGCAGGGACCTCAGAGGGCATTAGGGGAGGCCAGCCTAGGTGTTCTGTCCTGTCCCTGGCCCTTGGGTCCTGCCTCATCTGCTATCTTTTTCCACAAAGAAATCAGGATGGCAACCCACAATGCAGCCCCACTAGAGGAAGGAGATAAAGAGAGTCAAGGCTCACACCCATCTTGGAACATTAAGTGACTTACTGATTAGCTAGTCCAAAAGTTAGAGCAGAATTTGGTGGTGTGACACCCTAAGATTACATTCTAGGAGAAACCTGTATGGCACATGCCTGAGGCTGTGCGTTGAAGGAGTGTTAGACAGGTCACTTGGGCTTCAGTGAGCCTGTGCCCCTAGTCAATTCATGGAGACACGGGCTTGATAAGAGCAGGCAACAAGGGTGCAACACAGCAGACATGCTTAGCTGTCAGTTGGGCAAGGAGGGGTAGGCATCAGAGTTCCCTGCAGGGGAGAACCCTCTTAGGGCCCTGAACTGAACCGAGAGATTCTTCAGTTTTTTGAAGCACAGGCTGTACTTGGAGCTTCAGGGGTGGCACTGTCCTGTGGCATGGTAAAGGTGGGGTAAGCAGTCAGTCACTGAGGGGCTTTCATTGCTCATTTTTCTGATGAGCATGATTGAGAGCCCAAAGCCACAAGCCAGGAGGGGCAACAGCACTGGGCTGAGGCATCACCTTTTTTCTTCACTGGCTCCCATAAGCCTTCCTGGCATGCCTTGAGGAAGAAGATCCCTTATCCTTGTGAGCGTAGGCACAAAACTCATGTGAGGAAAGCCCAACAACAGCCTCTTTTGTGGGCGCACCTGGGCCTCCCCACTCCAGTGGCCTGTGAAACCCAAATGTAATTCCAGAGATGAGAATTTAAATTTGGTTCTAGAAACAAAGAGTTCAGCTCCGAGGCCAGAGCAGAAGTGGACATGTTAATTCCATGACACAAGGGCCAAATCAGAGAAATGGATTGACTGTTAAGCTGCACCCATGCAGTGTGTGCACTGACCCAAGCAGGTCCCATTCTCTTCCTGTCTCCAATTATTTTACCTACAACTTGTCATTTGTACCAGCTCTTTCTCTATCCCCCACATCCGGTGGTTTTTGAAATTCCTCTGAAGGCTGCATGACTAGAGTTAAGGGTCACAGCACTCTAGCCCACTCAGGCTGTGCCAGGAAGAGAGATCTCTCAACCTACCTTGACACTTAAGAACCATGCATAAATAGTGCCAACTCTAGGAGGAGGGCTGTCACATCCTCAGACTGTTTTCTGCTCTCCATACCAAAAGATAAATTAGAGGCCGGGCGCGGTGGCTCACGCCTGTAATCCCAGCACTTTGGGAGGCCGAGGCGGGCGGATCACGAGGTCAGGAGATCGAGACCATCCCGGCTAAAACGGGGAAACCCCGTCTCTACTAAAAATACAAAAAATTAGCCGGGCGTAGCGGCGGGCGCCTGTAGTCCCAGCTACTTGGGAGGCTGAGGCAGGAGAATGGCGTGAACCCGGGAGGCGGAGCTTGCAGTGAGCCGAGATCCCGCCACTGCACTCCAGCCTGGGCGACAGAGTGAGACTCCGTCTCAAAAAAAAAAAAAAAAAAAAAAAAAAAAAAAAAAAAAAAAAAAAAAAAAAGATAAATTAGAATGACAAAGAAAATAAGACACAGACCTGGCAGTTCTGCCTTTTAAGGGCCAGCCTCAGCCTAGTCACCGTGAATCACAATTTCAGGTTCTGCGTCAGCGTGTCCCACCTTGGGAAATAGTGGAACTGGGACCCCAGAATGTCATGATCCAATGACAGTCTGGAGAAGGGGCACCTCAGCAGCCTGTACAAACCCAGTCACACCTGTAACAGAAACACACCCTACCAACTAAGAAGCCATCTCATTATCTTAGACAACCATACCAGCAATGTGCACACACAATGGGCCTTTTAGTAAACTGTCAACTCAAGGATTTAAGAAAAATCAAACCATTTTGAATTTAGAGTCTCAGGAAGAAGACCCTCCACTGCCTTAACCAGCCTGTATGATGGATGAAACTGACAGTGTTAACTTGACTTGGGCATACCTGGAGACTGACCTTGTATTAAAAAAAAAAAAAAAAAGCTTCTGAGTGCCCAGAGATCCAAGATAAAAAACCTAGTAGTGGCTAACCTGAAAATTATTCTTTCTTTATGAGGAATATCTCAGTACCAGGTCTGTTCCATCCTGTGGCATGGAATACAGACCACACAGGGGACTGAGGCCACTCCTTTTTTGTTAAATAAATGCTGACAGGTGAAAAGTTGTTGAAAAAAGTGCTAAATAACAATGCTATACAAACTGCATGCTTTTTGTAAGTGGGAATGGTTATCATGCTAAGCCCACTGACAGTGGACTTTTTCCCCTCTTTTTAAGTCCCCAGTAAAACTCCGTATCTCATTCACTTGTTCTAAGTCTCTTCTTTGACATCTTGAACCTGGTGCCATTTCTATGGGAGTTGAATTTGATGCAACTTATCCTATATTAAGGAAGGATTTCAGACTCTGCTCAATGTGCTTCAAAGCTCACCGAGGCATCAGCTAAGAAAGATGCTGTTGTTCTCCTTAACACTCTCATTCAGGCCTCTTTTCCTTAGATGCACAATCAGTGGTGTACCAGGAAAGATGACTAAGAGAAACATCGTGGTCACAATCAAGATTAATGCCAGAATAAGCAGCGAACACTTGGAAATCAAAAGGGAGCATTTTTCAATGCCCTCAAATTCTGTCTTCAGTTCCTGGATTCAGTAATGGTTTTGAAGATCCATCCAACCTCTAGAGGAACCATGGGCCCTTAGGAGGTAAACACCTACACTTAATCCTGGTTCAACAAAGCTTTCTCTTGACAAATATGATGTCTGTGATCGTGAGCTTCTAAGCAATCTGCACAAAGCATAACCTGAAAACCTATAAAAGGGAGATGAGTAGGTATGAGGGAAATAATTTTCCACATTTTTTCTTGGGAAATTCAAAAAATTGTGATGGTGGGAAAATGTGCAGAAGAAGACAGCATATTAAAAGTCCTCATCAGGTGATTTTTACCACCAGAGTTTTTAATCCCAGCTATGAGATCTCCAAATAAAAACCAGAAGTTACTTCACTGCATCTATCCATGATTTATTGTACAATATTTTGTCTATCACAGTGAGGGGTCTTCACTGAGGATCTTCCCATTAAACATATAAAGATAAAGAAAGGAAAAGGTAAAATAGCAACTCCATGAAATCATAAGATAAAATGTAGAAATATTCATCTTCTCACATCAATTGCATTTTTGTACATATATGAATGTGTATCTACCCATAAAGCTAATATATTCAAAATAAATCAAATATATGTCAAGTTAAAACTTAAAACAAATTTTTTTGACTGGGTGCAGTGGCTCACACCTGCAATCCCAGCACTTTGGGGGATCGAGGAGGGTAGATCATTGAGGTCAGGTGTTTGAAAGCAGCTTGGCCAACGTGGTGAAATCCCGTCCCTACTAAAAATACAAAAAAGAAAAAAAAAATTCCTGGCATCTGTAATCCCAGCTACTTTGGAGGGTGAGGCAGGAGAATCACTTGAAACTGAAAGGCAGAGGTTGCAGTGAGCTGAGGTCACGTCACTGCACTCCAGCCTGGGTGACACAGCAAGACTCTGTCTCAAAATTTTATTTTTTAACGGCAAAAAGATTCACATATGGTGCAGACATTACTTGTTGGAGTGGAGTGGGTGCGGCTCTGTCCTTGTAAAGTAGGAAGAGCAATCAGTGCCCTGGATTGTGTGTAGGGAACCCATTCGTACACAAATAAAGAGGCAATCAGGGCTTCAGCCTAGCAATACTGAGGCTTGCACGGGGCTTTCGAAAGCAGTAGAAATGGCCTGTAAAACTGAATGCTAGATGGGCTTGTAACAATAAAAGATCTGTCCAGGGATAACAGCAGTTCTGATAGGAGCCCCTGACTATACCCTGCCTCAGCAAAATGTAGACAAATAAAGAAAAAATAATTCAAGAGAAATAAAATTTAAAAATAAAGCAATTGGAAAATAGTAAGGGCAAATAAAATAAACTGAAACAAAATAGAGAAAAGTAAAGAAAAATATAACTAAGATTAGTGAAAATAAAATCAAGATGAAGATAAACAGTAAATACAATAAAATTGAGAAATAAGAAAATTTTAAGAATAAGAAGAGACAAGTGAAAGTAAAAAAGAAATGCAGAGAAAAATAAAATAACAAAGAGATATGCATGGAAATAAATAAAAGAAACAAGAAATTGAATAAAATTACAAACAACAAAAATCTAGAAAATTTGAAATTGAGACTATAATGAAAAAACAAAAAATAAAAAATGAAGTAAAATTAAATTAATAGAAAAAATGAAAGTAAATAAAAATAAAGAGAAACAAGATAAAAACAAAGACAAATGTACAGAAAAATAAAAGATTAAAAAGAAAAATAAGATCTAGGGATAATCTACAAAACATTTCACGCAACGATAGCATAATACATAATATTTCTAATTACATACAGTTTATTTCCTAAGATAGGCAAACTTCTTAGCTAGCATGCAAGTTTTAGCATATTTGAACAAATGGTTATAAAAAAGTATTACTTCTGACTACAGTAAAATATAACTGGAGGTTCAAAACCAAAAGAAAGCTAGCATGTCTGCATGTATATGAAAAGTAGACAAATTCTTCCGCACGCTATTTTAAAAGAGTTAGAACATGCACGTTTCTTTAGACGTTTATGGTATTCAAAATGATCTACAGATCAATGAGACCTCTTTCAAAAAACCAATGGTAGTTTTTCCAGAAGTACTAAAATATTCTGAAGTGTTGGCATCAATATTTGGCTGTGTCACCCAGGCTAGAGTGCAGTGTCCTAATCATGGCTCACTGCATGTAGCCTTGAGCTCTGAAGTTCAATTGATCCTCCCACCTCTGCCTCACAAGTAGCTGGGCCTGCAGGTGCATGCCACCACGGTCAGCAAGATTTGGGGGTTTTTGTAGAGACAGGGTTTCACCATATTGCCAATGCTGGTCTCAAACTTTCTGGACTCAAGCAATCCACCTGCCTTGACTTCCCAAAGTTCTGGGATCACAGGAGTGAGCCACCAAATATTGCCCTATAATTTTTATAAATGCTCAAAAACCACAAATAGACAAACAACCTGGGAAAATATAATAAAGTCAGAGTCATATATTTTTTTATTTTAAAACATATTGCAAAGTTACAGTAATCAAACAGTGTGGTGCTGGGAAAAAGACAGAAAAATAAATGTTGAAAGAGATAAGAGAAGCCAGAAAGTAACCCACATGCGTATACTCAGCTTATCTTAAACGACGGTTGCAAATCCTCATGTTGCAGAACACTTTCCTTACATCAAAAAAAATTGGGTTCTGGTCACATGACTAGAATATATTAAGTCAGGGACGCTCTGAAGGATGAGGAGTAGAGTTGATTGGGGAAAATGGAAAAAAAAAAAAGAAGAAGAAGAAGAAAACTTTTAACAAAATGAGTTGGAGACCTGTTTACAGGCCCCCACCTCCCAAATTGATGAACACCAGACCATCACAGGAAACTGAAGAGTCCAGGCTTCTCCTCCCTGCACAAGAGGTGAACTTTCCATGGCTCCACTCTCTTCCCCAGTTGTGCAGGTGGATATTACTGAGAGAAAATCAGTTGGAAAAAGGAAGGCTTTATCTGGGGCCAACAGTCTGATTTTTCAGACTTCAGGCTGTTTTAAGCTTGAATGTGTGGTTTTGCCAAGGACCCTTGGCTCTTTTCTAACTCGTTATTTCCCCCCTTTAAATGAGTACATCTGACTGCCATTAGAAGAAGGATAAGGATTAGGACAAAAACAACTTTTAAGTGCTTCCTGCTGAGAGGGGGCACTTTTTTTTTTGGAAAAAAATGGCAATCAGATCTCACTAAGAGGCCTATCTAATTGTCCCCAGTGAAATGGGCCACTGTTCAAGGCTCTGGTTGAGTGACTTTTTGAACTTTGGTAGGCTAAAAATAAAAAGAATCAAACTGGGTTATTAAAAAACATGTACTGAAATGAAACAAGGGGCAAATGGCAAGGTCAGCTCAAAATTTCCAAGGTCTTTTCCCTTGAAAAGGGAAGGTCTTTTCCCATAGAAAGAGGAAGGACAAAAACTCCAATGGAAGAAAAAAAAAATTGTTTGGCCAGCATGTCAGTCTTCTGGGTTCTTTTGCCTTGAGTTCGATCCTAAGCAAACAAGTCTAAATTTTGGGAAATTAACTCTTCCAGGCTTTGAGGATGCATCTGAGGAAAGTGTCCCATAGTATGAAGACATGATTACCTATCTGTAAATAGAGGACAGAGGAGAAAGAAAAAACAAAAAACATTATTTTCAGAGAAGTCCCAAGGGTTTAGTTTGCATTCAAAAGGCACATAGACTGAAGACAAATGGCTACTCATCTAGAAAGAGAGAAGCAGTTGTCCCTGGTTCCTTTCTCTTTCTTGCAAATTTCCAGGGTATGTTGAGGGATAGGAGAAAAAATCTTCTCTTTCCTGCTCCTATTCTTCTATCCCCGAGTCCCAGTGATTGTAACAAGGTCCGTCCATGGGTGTCAAAGCAGCTTTCACCCATGTTAACGGAGAGAACTAGGGTGGTTGAAATGTCTGCTCTTACCCACGTATGCCCTATCTACTCTGCTGTCAGTAGTTCTGGAGTTCACTAGACTTTATTTATGCCAAGGACACTAGCATAATCTTTATCGATGAAATGGGAGGCTTGGCTTAATTGTCTGGAATTTGTCATGCTCACCTGCACTGTGCCTTTTATCCTCCATTATCATCTCCTTCTGGATTTCTCAGATCCGGTGTTATTTCCTAGGGCTTCAACCTGAAGCTTGAAACTGAGGTTGGGACAAAATGTGGCTCAGGGATTTGCATGGACTCCATATAGTTAGCTGAATTTTTAGATGAAGCTGTGGGATTGAGTCCTCTTTCCACGAGGGAGAGAAATAATGTCTTGTAACACACCCAGATATCTCGTGGCTCTAGTTATGCTTGCTAAGATTTGGGTGGGCACACTATTTATTCCCATAACAATGCAGGGTTTGCAGGATAATTGCCCAGAACTAGAATATTAATCCAGATTTTTACCAGTTTCTTTTCATTTCTTCTGAGCTGCAGTTGAATATCACTAATTGGCTTACAAGAATAAGCCGGTTTGTTCTAAAATGTAGGAAAAATGCAAATCTAATGAGTTTAGGATTTAATGACAACCATATAATTAGTTTTGACAAATAATCTTTTCCATTCAGTTCTTTTGTTGTTGTTGTTAGAAACAAATAATGATAGAACTGAGTTCTTTGTGAAATCAGCTTTAGTCGTATGCTTGGATTCATTATTTACATAAAGCACAGCAAGAAAAATTATTCCTACATAGTTATTTTACATTGGCTTTAATAGAACTCTTCCACAAGAAATTTCAGAGAGGACTTTCTGAAGTCAAACCCAGCCATGGTTTTGTACCATCAGTTAGTTATGAGTTGGGTTATCCTCTTCTCTTATGGTCCCAAAATAAACTTGGAGCCCCTGGGCCTGTCCAAAGTGTCATTCTTTACTTACCACAGATCTGGAACCCTGCACAAGGACTCTGTAGATAAGGTATAAGGCCAGTTTATCCAAGGGGCTATTATTGGCTCTGCAAGTTGAGCTTGACTGCTTAAAGGGAAGCAGAACTTTTCAATCAAGGCCTTGATAAAACAACCAGTTTCTCTAACTGTGTCCTGTTGCAAATAAAATAGACTATTATTACACTGATTCAAACAGCTATATTGCCATAAGTTAAGAACACTCATAACTATTTTTCAAATTCTGAAGAAGCCAGGAAGAGAGAGATAAACATGATTCAAATTTTCTTCACAGGAGTACACCTTACTCAAATATTAAAGGCTGTAAACAGCTCAAAATAAGTTTCCTTGACTATGGTAAACAATACATGAGTCAGTAATGTTACAAGCAAAAATAGGAAAGATTACTTCATGTTTCTATCAGTCCAGTCCATTCAGTTAACTCTTGTTTTGTTTAATATTCATAAACATTTTAGCTCTTCATGGGTCCTGGTAGGTTTTTCCTGTATTCCTGTCACAGCTCCAAAGTTTTCAGAAGCCTGCATTTGTGAGCACCAGTCAAAGTTCTATAGCTGATTAAAAAACATTTTTGGAAAAATGTCAAAACCAGATGACAATTGTCTGTGTTTAACAAAACATCCAGAGTAGTTACAGTCAGAAAGATGATTGACAAAAATTTTGGTTATGTCTATGGTTTGCAATAACTTAACATAACAGCATTAATTGTGGTTGACAGCATATATGTCAGACATTAGAATTTTAGAAATTCCATACAATTTAGGAACATGTATTAGTATTATTCATGAAAATGCCATCTAAAGAATATTGAAAACCATTTTTGGGATTCCTTGTAACTAAACACGTTGTATGATCCTGTATAAAGCTCTCGTGGATACTCCAGGCACCCTCTTTAGCATTCAAAAACCAGGAATTAGGAAAGACCATTTTGTAATCAAAGTTTGATTTTGAGAAGGATATTACATGTTAGGAGTTTGAAATGCTTGATGTTATAAAATAAAATTCCAGATTACCATAAATTATTTATTTAACGAAAATAATGACCTATAAATAAAAAAGCAGAAACTTTTACATTATTTAAAAATTTTCCTTCAGAGCAGATTAGTGCCTTAAGAGTACTTTTTGTGCTTTCATTTCAATGCTCAATTTACAAAAAAACAAAAAACAAAAACAAAAAAACATATAATATCCTCTTGAATTTAATTGATATTCACACACAGAATTTCTTGGAAAGATTTATTTTTACAATTCTTCCATAACTTGTTTGAACTTTCAGCTTTATCATCTGTAATTCAAAACGGTTGTTTGATCCTAGGCAAGAATTTATATTTGCATGCCTTCTTATAATGTTGTATTAAAAACACATTTTACCGTCCTTACACACCTTGTCTGGAAATGTACTTCCAGTGGTTTCAATTACATATTATCACGGTAAATTTTAGCAATTTTAACTTTAATGTAAAGCCAGGTAAATTGTCCTAATTATGTGCTAGGAGCAGCCATAATTAAGGGTGTGTTTAGTTCCATTTTTCCTCAGGCTTGACCAATTGTGAAGCAAAGTTGAACTGTTTTCAAAAACCAAAAAAGCAGTTATAACCTTAAAACATTCAGCAAACCTAGTATCTGACCTGCATAATTTAGTCCACCTACTCACATATTGATGACATTTGTGTTTTACTGATAATCTTAAGGCTGTTTTTATTTCTCAAGCATTAAAGTCATGTGAACTAAAACATACACATCTTTCATCTTTCCTTCAAAAATATTTGATCCAAGTGCTTATCATTTTTTCAGTAAATTTATTGGAGCTCTTTTACACACATACAGGCAGAAGAAAAACCCAGTACCTATAAGATTTTAAATCTGCCAATTTCCTGATTGAATTACTGGCCTCTCATGCATCCATTTTTTTCTTTGCTTGTGTCCCCTTCCTTGACATTTCCATGGCTCCACCTCCTTTTCCCAGTGCGCGTGTGGGCATTACTCAGAGAGAAACAGTCAGGAAAGGGCCGATTTTATCTGAAATCAGCAGTTCAATTTATCAGCCTTTAGGCTGTTTTAGGCTTAAAAGTGGAGTTTTGGCCAGGACTCTTGACTGTCTCCTGTCTCTATTACTCAAAATGAGAAAAGGTCCCTTGGCTATCTCTGGTCTCTATCACTTTACATGAAAAAAGAACAGTTTATTTAACAAATGAGGTAGAGAATACTGAATACTCAAACAAAAAAACAATTTTTGAACCTTACCACAAGGATGAACTTAAAATGAAACAGGACTTATTTTTATAGCTGTTGTAAATAATTTTTTTCTTGAACTTTTCTTTCAGATGGCTCATTCTTGGCATGTAAACATGCTCCTAATTTTGTATGTGAATTTGATATAACGCCACTTTACTGAATTTCTTTATTAATTCTCAAGATTTTTAGTGTACTATTTAGTTCTGCTATATAAAAAATTGTATGATCTGTGATCAGAGACAATCTGAATTTCTCCTTTTTCATTTGGATGTCTTTTATTTCTTTCTCTTGCAAAATGATCAGGCTGAGAATTCCAGTACTCTGTTGAATGAAAGTGGTAAAAGTAGACATCATTGTCTTGTTCCAGATCTCAAAAGAAAAACTTTCCTATTTTCCTGTTCAGTGTGATATCAGCTAATGAATTTCATATTTTGCCTTAATTGTATTCAGGTAGATACCATCTATACCTAATTTCTTCTGTTGTTTTAATCACAAAGGCATGTTAGATTTTTCCAAATACTTTTTTTGCATCTAGAATAAAAAATAAAGGTGCCTAGCAGTAAAACTAATTAAGAAATAAACACTGTCTACACTGTAAATCATAAAACACTTATAAAGAAAGTAAGACATGAAAAGTTTGAGAGATATTTTTGCTCATTAGTTATAAAACATATTGTTAAAATGGCTTTGCCACTCAAGGGCATCTACAGATTCAATGCAAACTCTATAAAATACCAAATGACATTTTTTTCACAGAAATGGAAAAAACAGGCCAAAAATTCATAGAAAACAAAAGAAAACCTCTCCAAATAGCCAAAGTAATCCTATGAAAAAAGAACAACCTGAAAGCATCAAAGCACCTGACTTTAAAATATCCTACAAAGCTACAACAAGCAAAAGAGCATGACACTGGCATAGAAAACAGACACATAGACCAAAGTATGCAGCGATCCCAATAGTAAATTCAGAAACCTAGGGCCAAGTAATTTTTAAGCTGTTTGGAATATGCACTTAAGAAACGACAATCTTTTCAATGAATGGTGCTAGGAAAATTGATTATTTAAATGAATATAACTAGATGTCAACTGGTTACCTACCATATTAAAACAACTTAATTATATATAATTAGAAGACTTAAAGGTACAACTCAATCTTAAAAACTATTTGAATAAAACATAGGGAAATGATTTACAAAATAGGACAGGAAGAAAATGTAAATAAGAACTCAAAAGCATAGGCAACAAAAGCAAAAGCAGGCAAGTGAATTTAACAGAATCTAAAAAATATCACATAGCAAAAATAAATTAATAGAGTAGAGACAACTTACAGTGTGGGAGGATATATTTGCAAAATATACATACGACAAGGGATAATCACACAAAATATATAACAAACACAAAAGCAAAAATAACCAGAATTTAGTAATACATGAGAGACCTTAAGTGAAATTTCTCCAAGGAAGACATACAAATGGCCAAGTACCTGCAAAGATGGTCAACACTATTAATTATTAGAAAAATGCAAATTAAAGCCACAATAAGATACCAGATTACTCCAGTTCAGATGGATATAATCAGAAATAATACGTTAATACGTTCCTGCCACTTTCAACAGGAGGCATTGTGACATATCTCTGGGCCTATTATTTAGGTGATATGACTCTCCTCTTCTGCCTGGAAACTGCCTACAAGGGCCATTGTGCCACAGAGTTAGGCGTAGCCCCAAAGTTATGTGACATTTCTGCCAGGAACTTGCCTGAAAAGAGAATATTGGAATATTTCTGCCTCGGCATTTAGGTTATATGGCTGTCATGCCTGTTTCATTACCACAGAGTAAATTTTGACATATGCCTTGGCACAGCTCACAGGCATCATAATGACTCTGATATGCGGACCCCAGAAACAGGAGTTAATTTGACTTTTGTAACTTGCTCTAGAAACACGAGTGATGTCTTGGATCTCTTTCTGGTAAAAAGGCCACAGAAGATTATAACAGCCTCAGATATTTTATAAAGCCCATGACTTGTACAGAGAGTGTCTTAACAAAACCCAGAAGGATGAAATTGTAAGTTTCACATGCACACCCACCTTAAAGTAAGGACTGTCAGATCTCACATTGTCACTCATGAAAACAGGACATGTGTGGTATTATAAATCTCATCTCTGGTATGTTCTACCAGTGTGAATGTGATACAAATATTTGCAAGCATCTGTGTGATTTGACCCTCTAGATTGGTTTCAGCCCACATAAGGGATTGTGATCTCTACCTGGGCCAACTTCTAGATGATATGACTCTCCTCCCTTGGATGTCCTCTCAGGATTGTGACATATCACTGGATGTAAAACCCAGGTGATGTTACAGCTTCTAGAGGATGTGACCATCCTGCCTTTGCCATTCTCTAAGGATTGTGAAATATTACCAGATCTAACACCCAGATGATGTTACATTCTTGCCTGCGCCATTTCCGCAGACATCATTGTAACATATCACTGTGTCCACCACTTAGGAAATGTAACTCTCCTCTCTGGAAAGGACCCTGAACACAGCAGGTGGTAGTAACATATTGCTAGGCCCAGGCACACAAGTGACGGTACTCTTTTGCCAGGGCTGTGTTTTAAACAGGGCATTGTGACATATCTTTGGGCATATTACCGAGGTGATGTGACTCAAAGCTTGGGCCTCACCCACGTAAGGCACTGTGACATAAAAGTTGAACCTACACCAAGGTGATGTAACTCTTTCACCTTGATTCTATCCTAAGGGAGCCTTGCAACATATCTCAGGACCCAACACCCGGGTGATGTGGTTCTTCTGCTTGGTTTCTGTCTATGTCTTATACTGTGACGTATACCTAAAGAAGAACCTAGGTGATAAGACTCTCCTTTTCTGCCTGAGTCCTGCCTAATGGGGACACTGGGACATATCTCTGAGGCCATAACCTAACTGACATGACTCTCTTTCCCTGCCTGGGCCTTTCAAATGGTGGAATTGTGACATATTGCTGAGCACAGCATTTAGGTCATGTGACTCTCCTGTTTTTATCTGAACCGTGCCCACAAAGAAAAATTTTGACGATTTGCACACAGAGGATGTTACACTTCTGCTACGACACTGAATAAAGAGGGAATTATTGCATACTGGTGGGCCCAGCAGCCTGATGATGCTACTGTCCTGCCTGTGCCAGAGCCACAGAGGGTATTTTGACATATCTTCGTCCCATTCTGTAGGTGTTTTAGCTCTTATCCCTTGGCTAACTTTTTCTACATGTGGAATTGAGTGATACTGCTGGACGCAGCACCCAGTTAATGGCCATTTGGCCACCTTCAAACCACACTGAGACGGAAGCTCGGCTTTTGTGCAGTCCAGCAGTACAGAGAAACAGCAACCCAAAGTGTTGGGTTGGGGTTGCTTCTTCCCAGAGACCAAAGCATACCACCTCCTCCGCTATCCTAGTGTGGGAAGGAGGGTCAGGATGCACATGCATCAAGCACCCAGTGCCCAGCAATCACTACCACAGGCAGCAGGGAGATGAGGCAGAAAGGGTGAGGAAAGTAGCAGTTGGAATGTGTGTGTGCAGAAAAGCTACTAACCCTCTTATTTCAGCCACAGTTAGCTCACTGCAAGCAACAGAAATCCACTCTGGGAAACCTAAGCCAAAAGGAAGATAAACTGAAGAACCAGAAGACAGAAAGGGAAGAAGGGGGATGGTGGCAGAAGGTACTTTGTGGGAGAGATGGATCTTTCTCAAACCTTTTATCCCTGCCTGTTATTTAATCATGATTGGGTTCTTTGGGAAGAGGGTACGGCTGGCCAGGGGAGAGCAGGATACCGTGAGTGGTAGCTTCCAGGCATCTGTCTACCAACACAGGGGAAGGAAGCACGTCCCTCAAAGAAAGCCAGGATGCTGGCACCAGAAAAAGGGCGAAGGATGCTGAGCATGGGGAGGACAGAGATGTCTCTTCTCTCTTTGGGACTGTATCTTGTCACCTGTAAAATGGGGGAAAACTGTGGCTACATTGTGAAAATTTAATGAGATAAAACAGCACAGTGTGGCTTATGGGAAGTCCCTAATATATAATAATTTTAAATAATTGTAGCTAAATAATTTTAGCTTATCATCTTAATTTTTGATTCAGCTCTCTCTGAATTTTACATCCTAGCACAGATCAATGATCTTGCAACTCCAACCACACCATTTTGCAATTCTGAACCTCTACCTAGAGAAAGCAGTGGATCTTTATACATTCGACACAGCCCTTCCCTCTAGAGTAATAAAAAATAAACCTAGTTTTGCATAAGTCTTTTTCTGTAGGCTGGGTCTCTGGAGTAAGTGAACCCCATGGCCAATCCATCTGAAGTCAAGGTTAATAGGGCCGTGATACTAAAGATGTGGTATTAAAGATCTCCTTCTGGTACCGCATTCTTTATGATGCATGGCCAATTACCCACTAAGGAAGATACTGCAGCCGTAGCAATTTTATCCCAAAAGCATGTCATTTTATTTTTATTCCCACTGACAAGCACATACCTCTTTAAATAAAAAAAAAAAGAAAACGAAAGTGACTATTGCTCAAACTTACATTTTGCCCACACATTTTTCAACTCTTGGGATTGTATATTCCAGTCCGGATATGGGCACTAACCAAGCCTTTCCTGATGGATGGGCTTGGCTGTTTTCTCCATGGTTTCTTGGCTCAAATTTTTGGCAAATTACATGTTTTTGCTTAGTTTTTGGGCAAAACTAGATGTTTCTGTGGCTTTGCAGTTTTTCTCCACCAAAAGCATGAAATTTGACCAATTATTTACTGATAGAGTTATGGAAAGATGAAGCTGTGGCAGATTTCAAGTTTCAAAATCCATCTCTGGTTAATTTGTTTGAAATAATTGACTATAGGATATGGTAGATATCAATTATATGACAAACCTTTTAGGTTTTGTTTAATGTTAAAAATAAAGTGATAATGCTGGCCTTAGCATATTAATTAATGACTTTCGTTTTCATCCTAAGAACAATGGGAGCACATTAATCTTTGGCAGAAGATAAAGTGACCAGATTTGTGTTTTAACAGGTCTCTGTAGCTATTGAAAATGGACTGGAGAAGACGAATTGGAGTGAGAAGAGAGTGACAGAATCAGATAAAAATGTGCCATGTTACTATGAGCAGGAGATGAGGCAGCCTCAACCAATATGGTGCAGAGAGAAGAAAATCACTTGAGAGAATGGATTAAACTGGGTGGTTAGCAAAGAGAACTGAATCGAAAATTATGATAGTAAGCTAAATAATTTTACACACAAAAAGGCAGAGTTGCATTCACAATTAGTCTCTTCAGACTGAATATTACAGCCAAATTATAACAATTGGTGTTGCAATCACTTCCCTTGGGTTTGTATCCAAGGTTAAGAATGTCAGCATCCAGAGGTCCAAATTCTTCTTCTTTTTTTTTTTTTTTTTTTGAGAGGCCCAGAGGCCCAAATTCTTAATGTTTTTAGATGATAAAGTTTATTCAAGGTAGACTGTCTGTGTTGAATAATTTAGCCTCTTACAAATTTCAAGAAAAAATCTATTGTCCCTCTTCTCCACCACAGACACACTTTAATTGAACATTAAGCATATTTATTAAAGAAACATTCTCTTTTGCTTTTTCTCCCAAGAGAGATGGTGTTCTTACTCAGAGTTATAAGTGTCAGAATAAAGAATGCCCATGAGGTTGAATTGTATGATGCTACGGTAAAGTGAAATAAACATTCTCAAAAACATGATTATGACTTACAAACAAACAAACAAAAACCAACAAACAACTTTCTGTCGAGGAATTACGCTTTTGGGACAGAAACTTTCCTTTAAATTTGAACAGCTGCATGCCGACAAAGAATATGAAAAAGGCACAACACACCGATTATGAAAACATGACTACACTTTAAGAGAACACAGAATTTTTCAGATCCATCTTAAATCTCAGGAGTTCTAGACCGAGACAGGAATGAGTGCTCTTGTTGCTAAAATCACTCTGATGTGCTTCTTGTTAAACAATTCACTCAGCAACATTACAGATTAGCACACACACACAAAAATTGTTTGTAGGTGAAAAATTGTTTGGAAAAGGACACCTTATTAGCCATGTTATCTACTTACAAATAAAAGCCGATTTTTGGCTCTCCTGAATGAAAAGAAGGGTAATTGGAGGATATCTGGGGCTTACTAACTTGATTTTAGGCCAGGGGTGTCCCAGAATCAGGGAGCTCCTGAAGAGGGGCCTTGTCATAGGAACTACCTGATCTGAGCTTCTCCTCAGTCCGAGATGTACCAAGGCCACTGCTTGCCCCGTGTTTACAGGATTCAGAGTCTTCAGGGAAAGTTGAGCCCAAGTGGTAGAGTCTTCTTCCCCAGCTGTGTTCTCACCTCCCAAAGCCCCACACAATGGAAAATCCCTCAAGAGGAGGCAGTCACAGAGAGAAGTGGAGGCCAGGTGGCCTCCAAATGATCAATGTCATACAGGGCTCCTGTCTGCTCTACGGCCACCTCTCAAGTTGTTCTTTCCTAGGTTCCTTCTTAAATTTGATAGATTTATCCAAAACAGGTATGAATTCAGATCCTACCAATTTAATATTGCAAGAACTCACCCAGGGGAAGGAATAGAGCTTAACAGTAATGTTGAAAAAGAAAAAGGAAATTTTTAATAAACAAAAGGTATCAATAAAATGGAGGACTCTTTATCTACTTAATTAACTGTTTGGTGACCCTGATGAATTTAATGATACTCAAACCACCTAAGTAAGTGAGCTACTGGGACTGAAATTTTGGCTCTCTCTCTCTCTTTCTTTTTTTTAGAGAGGGTCTTGCTCTGTCATCCAGGCTGGAGTGCAGTGACATGATCAAATCTCACTGCAGCCTCCAAATCTCAGGCTCCAGCAATCCTCTCATCTCAGCCTCTCAGATAGTCAGGACTACAGGTACATGCCACCATATCTGGCAATTTTTTAATTTTTATTTTTTGTAGAGACAGGGGCTCACTGTGTTGCCCTGGCTCAAACTTCTAGCCTCAAGTTATCTTTCCATCACAGTCACCCATAGTACTGGGATTACTGGCACGATCCCCTGTGCCTGGCCTTTCTTTGTTAAAATTCGCCTCTAAGTGGCAGCCCTTGAAATGTATTTCTAAACTGCTGTGAACAATTAAGTTTGATTTTTTTAAAAAAGTAAGAAGAAACCCGATTATTCAGACCTTGCACTAATTCAGGCTTTCCTTCCTACCAACCAGCCCCTTTTAAGATGGTCTCATGAGTTATTAGCATCTTCATCAATGTGTCAACAAGAATGACTACCTACATCTGCACAACAGTTTTCAAGATATTTCCATGGTTATTATTCTCTTATCTGGCCCCACCCACATCCTGCTGATTGGTCCATTTTAGAGAGAGCCGATTGGTCTGTTTTACAGAGCGCTGAATGGTCTGTTTTGACAGGGTGCTGACTGGTGCATTTACAATCCCTGAGCTAGACAAAGAGGTTCTCCACATCCCCACTAGATTAGCTACATAGAGAGTGTCGATTGGTGTATTTACAAATCCTGAGCTAGACACAGAGTGCTGATTGGTGCATTTACAAACCTTGAGCTAGATACAGGGAGCCAACTGGTGCATTCACAATCCCTTAGCTAGACATAAAGATTCCCCAAGTCCCCACCAGATTAGCTAGACACAGAGCTCTGATTGCTACACTTACAAACCTTTAGCTAGACACAGAGTGCTGACTGGTGCATTCACAATCCCTTAGCTTGACATAAAGGTTCTCCAAGTCCCCACTAGATTAGCTAGATACAGAGTGCCAATTGGTGCATCCACTAACCCTGAGCTAGACACAGTGTGCTGATTGGTGTGTTTACAAACCTTGAGCTAGATACAGAGTGCTGATTGGTGTATTCACAATCCCTTAGCTAGACATAAAGATTCTCCAAGTCCCCACCAGATTAGCCAGATACAGAGTGCCGGTTGGTACATCCACAAATCCTGAGCTAGACAGAGGGTGCTGATTGGTGTGTTCACAAACCTTGAGCTAGATACAGAGTGCTGATTGGTGTATTCACAATCCCTTAGCTAGACATAAAGACTCTCCAAGTCCCCACCAGATTAGCTAGATACAGAGTGCCGGTTGGTGCATCCACAAACCCTGAGCTAGACACAGGGCGCTGATTGGTGTGTTCACAAACCTTGAGCTAGACACAGCGTGCTGATTGGTGCACTCACAATCCCTTAGCTAGACACAGAGGTTCTCCAAGTCCCCACTAGACTCAGGAGCCCAGCTGGCCTCACCCAGTGGATCTTATACCAGGGCCACAGGTGGAGCTGCCCGCCAGTCACTCACCGTGCGCCTGCACTCCTCAGCCCTTGGGCGGCCGATGGGACCAGGCACCATGGAGTAGGGGGTGGCGCTCGTCCAGGAGGCTCAGGCCATGCAGGAGCCCATGGCGGTTGGGGGAGACTCAGGCATGGTGGGCTGCAGGTCCCAAGCCCTGCCCCGTGGGGAGGCAGCTAAGGCCGGGTGAGAAATCCAGCACAGCGCTGGTGGGTCAGCACTGCTGGGGGACCCGGCACACCCTCTGCAGCTGCTGGCCTGGGTACTAAGTCCCTCACTGCCTGGGGCTGGCAGGGCTGGCCGGCCACTGCAAGTGCAGGGATCAGCAAGCCCACACCCACCCAGAACTCTAGCTGGCCCACAAGCACTGCACGCAGCCCTGGCTCCCACCCCTGCCTCTCCCTCCACACCTCCCCGCAAGCTGAGGGAGCTGGCTCCGGCCTCGGCCAGCCCACACAAGGGCTCCCATGGTGCAGTGGAAGGCTGAAGGGCTCCTCAAGCATGGCCAGAATGGGCGCTGAGGCTGAGGAGGCACCGAGAGTGAGCCAGGGCTGTCAGCATGCTGTCACCTCTCAATCCCCCCTGGCAGTTTTGGAGAGTCACTGCTGCCAAAGAGTCTATTTGGGATTATAAAGTAAGAACAGATTTCGCTATTTCTTGCAAACTGTCTGAGATATCCTTGGAGAGTGTGTGGTAGTAGGATAATGAAGTAGATAAACCACATATTCTGGTTCCTGTAGCCATAGCCATTCCTAACCCTTTAAGGAGGGGTATTAGTTGTATGGCTCTGCACTGACAGACTTGAGCTTTGAGGGGTACTGATAAGGTCTGATTTCCTGGGGCAATGATAATGTTGGGACTTAGACTAAGGTGCAGGTGCCTGTCAAGTTAGTGGGGAGGCAGATACAGGTCGTTGTTCCACATAAGAAGAATCTGCCTTGTCTGGGTAGACAGAACTTAACCCTGGCTTTTAAAGGAATAGTGTACACTGTTTTTTTTTCTTTACTATTTCTTTCTCTCTCTTTCTCTCTTCAACTCCTTCTTTGTCTCTTCCTCTCTTTTTAACTCTCTCTTTGACTTTCTGTGTCTGTCCCTCTTTCTCTCTGACTCCTTCTCTTTGTCCCTCTGTTCCTTCCTCTCTCTCTCTCTTTCTCTGACTTTCTTTTTCTCTCCTTCTTGCTGGTCTTTCCCTACCTCTGCCAGTCACTCATGCTGCTGTTCTCCCCTCTTCTTCCCATTTTGATGGCTTTGGCAGTGTAAGAGTGCCACCTACTTGTGTTTTTGCATTGCATGCAATAATTCTATAATTTCCTTGTGGCATTTAACAGGGGTTCCCCCAGAGGTTAGGAACTCCCTCTCTTTCCATATTGCAGCATGGGCATGTAGGATTAGATAAGCATATTTGCTATCTGTATACACATTTATTCTTTTTCCCTTTCCCAGTTCTAAGGCTCGGGTAAGTGCCACTAGTGCTGCTAACTGGGCACTGGTCCCTGGGGGAAGAGGCTTACTTTCAAGTATGGATACATCACTAACTATGGCATAACCTGCCCTTCGTATCCCATTCTCCATAAATGAACTTCCGTCGGTATATAGGTTAAGGTCAGGATTAGTTAAAGGGACTTCTAAGAGATCATCTCAGGCGGCAAAAGTCTGGACTATAATTTGTTGGCAGTCATGCTCGATTGGTTCCCCATCCTCTGGGAGAAAAGTGGCAGGGTTGAGGGCCATGCACATGAGTATTTGAAGCGCCAGTCCCTCAAGGAGTAGCACCTGGTATCTAAGTAGGTGGTTGTCTGATAGCCACAAACTTCCTTTGGCACCTAGTATGCCATTTACATCATGAGTAGTCCAGACAGTGAGATCCTTTCCTTGTATTATTTTGATAGCCTCTGACACTAAGACGGCCACTGCTGCAGCTACCCTTAAACAGTGAGGGCAGCCTTTTGCTACTACATCAATTTCCTTACCTAGGTATGCCCCTGGTTGTGGGGTTGTCCCACGAGTCTGAGTAATGACTCCAAGAGCTATCCTAGCTCTCTTTGTGAAGTATAAAGAGAAGTTTTGTCCTGTGGGAAGGCTTAAAGCTGGAGCTTCTACTAGGGCCTGCTTTAAGGTTTTGAAGGCTGTTTCTGCCTCTGGTTCCCATTCTACTAGATGAGTATTTGCCTTCTGGGTTTCCTTGATTAGAGTATAGAGGGGCCTGGCTATCTTGTTGCATCTGGGGATCCACAGTCGGCAAAAGCCAGTAATTCCAAGGAACCCCGCAACTGTTTTAATGTTTTAGGGTGGGGATAAGCCAGTAGAGGCTGTATTCATTCCTTGCTGAGGGCCCTGGTCCCTCTGGCTAAGATTAGGCCTAGATATTTGACCTGCTCTAGGCAAAGCTGGGCCTTCGACCTAGACACCTTGTACCCTTGATTAGCTAGAAAGTTCAAGAGATCTAGAGTAGCCTGCTGGCATGAGGCTTCCAAACTGGTAGCCAAAATAAATCATCCACATACCAAAGGACCAGAGTGCCTGGACTTGAGAAGTGGCCAAGATCTTGGGCCAGTGCCTGATCAAACAGGTGAGGGCTATCCCTAAACCCTTGGGGCAAGACCGTCCATGTTAAGTTGGGACATGTGGTTTGTGGGATCCTCAAAGGCAAAGAGGAACTGGGAGTCAGAGTGCAGGGGAATACAGAAGAAGGCATCCTTGAGGTCCAGAAGCATGAACCATTTTGCTTCCTCTGGTATTTGAGAGCAGGGTATCGGGGTTGGGTACAACTGGATATAGAGGAATTACTGCCTCATTGATGAGTCTAAGATCTTGCACTAGTCTCCACTGACCGTTTGCTTTTCCTACTCCTAGGATTGGGGTGTTGCAGGGATGGCTGCATTTCCTTACTGAGCCTTGAGCTTTCAAATGTTTAACAATATTCTGTAGCCCTTTATTAGCTTCAGGCCTTAAGGGATAGTCTTTGATAAGGAAAAGTGGTGGGATCTTTTAAACTGATTTGGACTGGGTGGGCATTTTTTGCCCTTCCAAATTGTCCTTCCAATGCCCAGACTTCAGGGTTGATTCCCTCCTCAAGTAGGGGACAACAAATGGGTAAGTTCTTCCCCATATTCATGTAGATAATAGCTCCAGCCTTGGCTAATATACCCCTCCCTAATAAGGGTGTGGGACTTTCAGGCATAACAAGAAAGGGATGTGAAAAGACCAAAGTCTCCCAATTACAACTCAGGAGGTGGGAGAAATACCTGGTAACAGGTTGTCCCAGGATTCCTCAGATGGTAACGGACCTTGAGGACAGTCGTCCAGGACCAGAGATTAACACTGAGAATGCCGCACCAGTGTCCAGGATGAAGTCAATTTCCGGGCCCTCAATAGTTAAACATACCCGGGGCTCAGTGTGGGTGATGGCATGAGCTGGTGCTTGCCCGGGGCACCCTCAGTCCTGTTGTTGGATTATCTGGTTGGGGGCTTCTGACCCAGGAAAACTTCATCCTCTGGGGCAGTGCACCTTCCAGTGATTGTCTCAGTGTAGTGGACATGGACGAGGGGGCAGCTTGTTTCTCATTGGACAATCTTTTTTAACGTGTCCTAGTAAGCCACACTGATAACAAGCCCTACCAGGTGATTGGACTGCTCCATTTTCTGTCCTCTCTGAATCACCAAGGTTTGTTTATCTCAGGGCCAGGACTAAGGCTGCAGCCTTTCTCTGACCTCGCTTTTCCTTTTGGGCCTGTTCCTCTTGGTCCCTATTATAGAACGACGAGGTTTGCCAGGTTTAATAATGCCTCTAGATTTTGTTCAGGGCCCAGGGCTTGCTTTTGGAGCTTTCTCCTGATAGCTGTGGCTGATTGGGTAATAAATTTATCTTTTAGAATCAATTGACCCTCGAGGGATTCAGGCGAGAGGGGAGTATATATTCTTAAGACCTCTCGTAGCTGCTCGAGGAAGGCAGAAGGATTTTATTCCTTTCCCTGTGTTATGGTGGACATCACTGAATAATTCATGGGCTTTTTTCTAATCCTCCGTAGTCCCTCTAGAACACAGGTCAACAGATGTTTACAACTCCAGTCCCCATGATCTGAGTCAAGGTCCCAGTGGGGATCCATACTGGGGATGGCTTGCTGACCAGTAGGGAATTTGTGCCTTTCTTCAGCTGTCATTCTATCATTTACTGACTAAGATACCAGGTATCTCCAAACTCTCAGGCTGCAGCTAAAGCCACATTCTTTTCATTAAAGACCAGGGTTTGATCTAAGAGTAGCATGACATCTCTCCAAGCGAGGTCAAAGGTTTGCCCTAGACCCTGTAGGACATCTACGTACCTATCAGGATCATCTGAAAACTTCCCCAGGTCTGCCTTGATCTGCTTTAAATCAGAGAGGGAGAAGGGGACATGCACCTGGGTTGGGCCAAGTTCTCTGCCCCCTACAGCTTGAAGGGGACATAACCGATTGCCTGGGGGGCGGGTTGTGGTCCTCTGGAGATTTCTTTGCTTATTTCCTTCTGGGCAGGGGAGATTAGAGGAGGATTATCATTCATAGGAAGGGGAGCTATAGGGAGGCTAGGATATGGGGGTAAGCTGAGAGGTCCTCCTGTGGGATGTAAATTGTAAGCTTTGCATAGTTGTGTATTCTCCCTCAATGAAAAGAAAGCTTGGACATAAGGTATTTCACTCCATTTGCCTTCCCTCTTACAGAAAAGGTCAGGATGCAGGATAGTATTGTAATTTCTACTTCCCTCACGTGGCCATTTTTCCCCATCAAAGAGGGAATATTGGGACCAAGCCGTAGTGCAGAAAAAAAATGAGCCACCTCTTTTTCAGGGTTTGTGGGTTAAATTGGTCCCAATGGTTTAGCATGCATTTCAAGGGTGAGCCTGTTGATGCCTGAGTGTTTCCCATCTGAAAGACAAAACCGCCTGCGGTTTTGGTTTGTTTTGTTTCTCCCCCTGCCCTAGAACCCGCAACGGTCCCTGGACCCTGCTGATCAGAATAGTTGCACTCACCAACGCATCAGCAGAAACAACCCCTGCCCAGGAACCCACAATGGTCCCTGGACCCTGCTGGTCAGAATAGTTGTGCTCACCGACGCTGCAGCGGAAACACTAGCTTTCCTTCCAGACCACATGGAGGACTGAGGAAGGTCGGTCCTTACCGATGCATTCTCAAAAACCTGCACCCTTGCCTGTCCTCCTAGACCACAAAGAGGACAGACTGAGAAAAATCGGATTTAGTGGCCCTTACCGACACATTCTTAAAAACCTGTTAGAGTCCTAAGCATTCACCTTTTAGTGTTGGGACTTTACCCCTGTCCTATACAGATGTTATGCCCCAAAAATGAAGTGGAGGGCCATACCCTGAGGGAGGGAGGGGATCTCCAGGGTGGAAGAGTGACACATTTTGTCCTCACTTACATGAATAGGAAGGATACAATTTCTGAGGCTCCCCATATCCTAGCTTCAGGAATAGTTTTTGTTAGGCCTATTAGTCGGAGGAGGGATCCTAAAATTCCAGGTAGTCCCCACTACGACAGGGCTTTGGGCAAAAGTTATGTCTTTCTGATTGGTGAGCCCAGGTGCCTGAAGAAAGTAACAGAGTCCTGGACTTTATACTAGAAATCATTCTTATAGGAGAAACTAGAAAAGCACCAGAGACAGGTAACAATTTTTAGAAGGAGGACTAACCTCAGAGAAGAGAGTCAAGAGGAAGTTTGTGTGGCAAGCATTTGGACACAGAGGGCAAGGGTCAGGGATAGATAAGATAGATGGGTGAGTCTCGCTTGGGCGACATGCCTTTGAGAGTTCCACTCATGGCCGTAGGGTCAACCAACGTGTTGTCGGGACCCCGGAGCTGAATGGCTTTCCTCTCTGTTGACCCTCGGCTGAGCCCAGAAGTACAGGAAAAGCAGAAGCTTGTTCTAGGCAAACCAACGCTCCCAACTCCGAAGAGCTGGGGGTTGTTAGAGAGCCCATTTCCAGAAAGCCTGACACCCGTGTCTTTAGTCCGGTGGCCACACTAGTCGCTTTTAGCTGGCCGACAGGTGCCCGATATTTAACCCCCGAATTCTAAGGAAAATAGGATAGAATAGCAAGTGAAAGGGGTCTGATGGTACTCACTGCTTGGTGACAGGCGACAGTCTCACCGCTTGGCGATAGTCCCTTCGTGGTCACCAAAATGTGTCCGGAATTGGTGGGTTCTTGGTCTCACTGACTTCAAGAATGAAGCCGTGGACCCTTGTGGTGAGTGTTACAGTTCTTAAAGGCAGCATGTCCGGAGATTTTCCCTTCTGGTGTGCGGATGTGTTTGGAGTTTCTTCCTTCTGGTGGGTTTGTGGTCTCGCTGGCTGATGAGTGAAGCTGCAGACTTTCGCGGTGAGTGTTACAGCACTTAAGGCAGCACGTCTGGAGTTGTTCGTTCCTCCCAGTGGGTTCATGGTCTCGCTGGCTTCAGGAGTGAAGCTCCAGACCTTTGCAGTGAGTGTCACAGCTCATAAAGGCAGTGTGGACCCAAAGAGTGAGCAGTAGCAAGATTTATTGCAAAGAGCAAAAGAACAAAGCTTCCACAGAGTGGAAGGGGACCCGAGCAGGTTGCCACTGTGGGCTCAGGCAGCCTGCTTTTATTCTGTTATCTGACCCCACCCACATCCTGCTGATTGGTCCATTTTAGAGAGAGCCGATTGGTCTGTTTTACAGAGAGCCAATTGGTCTGTTTTACAGAGAGCTGATTGGTCTGTTTTGACAGGGTGCCGATTGGTGCATTTACAATCCCTGAGCTAGACGCAAATGTTCTCCACCTCCCCACTAGATTAGCTAGATACAGAGTGTCGATTGGTGTATTTACAAACCCTGAGCTAGACACAGAGTGCTGATTGGTGCATTTACAAACCTTGAGCTAGATACAGAGTGCCGACTGGTGCATTCACAATCCCTTAGCTAGACATAAAGATTTTCCAAGTCCCCACCAGATTAGCTAGATACAGAGCTCTGATTTGGTGCATTTACAAACCTTGAGCTAGACACAGAGTGTGGACTGGTGCAGTCACAATCCCTTAGCTGGACATAAAGATGCTCCAAGTCCCCACCAGATTAGCTAGATACAGAGTGTCGGTTGGTGCATCCACAAACCCTGAGCTAGACAAAGGGTGCTGACTGGTGTGTTCACAAACCTTGAGCTAGACACAGAGTGCTCATTGGTGCACTCACAATCCCTTAGCTAGACACAAAGGTTCTCCAAGTCCCCACTAGATTCAGGAGCCCAGCTGGCCTCACCCAGTGGATTTCACACCGGGAGGCAGGTGGAGCTGCCCACCAGTCCCTCACCATGCACCCACACTCCTCAGCCCTTGAGTGGTCAATGGGACCGGGTGCCCTTGAACAGGGGGCGGTGCTCACTGGGGAGGCTCAGGCCAGGCAGGAACCCATGGTGGGGAGGGGGGGTGATGGCGGGGACTGAGGGGGGTGGCAGGAGGGATTGGGTGGGTGGGAGCGGTTGGGGGGGGCGGTTTTGTGAGGACAGCGGCGGAGGGCGGGCGGCGGTACGGGTGTGGAGCCTCAGGCATGGGGGGCTGCACGTCTGGAGCCCTACCGCACGGGGAGGCAGCTAAGGCCCGGCGAGAAATCGAGGGCAGCACCAGTGGGCCAGCCGTGCTGGGGGACCCGGTGCACCCTCACAGCTGCTGGCCTGGGTGCTAAGCACCTCACTGCCTGGGTACAGCAGGGCCGTCTGGCTGGCTGCTCCGAGTGCGGGCCTGCCAAGCCCACACCCACCCGGAACTCAAGCGGGCCCGCAAGCGCCGGGAGCAGCCCCGGATCCCCCCGCCGTGCCTCCCCCTCCATACCTCCCACAAGCGGAGGGAGCCGCCTCCAGCCTCGGCCAGCCCAGAGAAGAGCTCCCATGGTGCAGCGGCAGGCTGAAGGGCTCCTCAAGTGCAGCCAGAATGAGCACTGGGGCCGGGGAGGCACCGCGAGCAAGCGAGGGCTGCCAGCACGCTGTCACCTCTCACTAAGACAGAGATTCTCAAGTTTTTCCAGTTCACAGCTCCCCTAGTATCTCTATAATTTTTTCATGGCACATACAGGTCAAAATAAATACCCCAAAATTTGTTTATGAATTAGTCAGGCCCAAATAATTTACCAATTATTTATGTCCTGAAAACACAGTGGCCACTTCAGGAAAAAATAATACAGACAGACTGAAGTAAAAATACATTTACTTTATTTTCAAATGATCACAATTTTTTTTTTTTTTTTTTTTTTTTTTTTGAGACGGAGTCTCACTCTGTTGCCCAGGCCGGAGTGCAGTGGGCCAATCTCGGCTCACTGCAATCTCCGCCTCCCGGGTTCACACCATTGTCCTGCGTCAGCCTCCCGAGTAGCTGGGATCACAGGCGCCGGCCACCATGCCTGGCTGTTTTTTCTTTTTTTTTTGTATTTTTAGTGGAGACGGGGTTTCACCGTGTTAGCCAGGATGGTCTCAATCTCCTGACCTCATGATCCGCCCACCTCGGCCTCCGAAAGCGCTGGGATTACAGGCAGGAGCCACCGTGCCCAGCCACAATTTCTTAATAATGTGAGGTGTGTGCCTGTTGGGCACTGAACAATTACTCAGACCTTGGACTCAGATTGGATACTGCCATTCTCATTTCCTATTTCACGTTGATTTTTTTCACAATGCGTCTTTTTTATCATAGCAACTGTCTGAAACTCAGATACTGTGCAAAACCATCAAAACCAGTGTTTTTGCACAGTATCTGACGGATGTTAATGAGTTTCCTTCAAAAGTCTAAACTACCTTGCAGTGTTCTGATGTGTTCACTGAGGCACCTCAGAGAGCCTCAGCAACAATTTGAGAACCATGGCATACAAGTCACCATGCTATGTCTAGATATGGCTGTGCTGGAGGAGTAATGCCTTCTAACCTGCCTAGCAGTCACTTCCTCTGTCCTTTACAGGCTCCTGTGTCATGCCAGGAGGACAAAGGGCTGATGATTTGACCAGCAGTTTCCTGGCTACCATTCCTCAGCCAGGAGGAACCAAGCTTCCCAACATGAAGCAAAACCAAACCCATTTAAAAAGTAAAGGTGATGATGGTAGGCTCCTGCATGTTTTCTGAAATTACCTATATTCCTCTCATCCTGTGCTCACAGGCATGTGACATAGGTAAGACTGAAAACTGGATTGAATTGTGAGGAAAGAACAAGTTTTCCCCAGCTCCCAAGCACGTCCCATCTGAATACTGGAAACTATGTGTAAATCTTAAACAGCAGGGTGTGGAGGAGAATCCGTTCAAATTAGAGTCGAATGTTATGAAGACATCCCAGGATCCTCCTGGGGAAGGAGATCTGAACCATCAGGCACCTGAAGAACTGCTTGGTGGCGAGGTAGTGTCGAGGCATTTCAGTGTGGTTAGTGCTACACATAGCCTCTATGCAGATGGGTGAGAAGCCTGATTGTCTTTGACTAAGACTGAATTTGGTTCCACTTCAAACTCTTATTCTACTGCATGGTAGAAATGAAATAGCAGGCAGTTCAGGCTTTCCCATGATGTTACACAAAACAATATGAAATTGCTGCTATTTGATCATTTCTAAACTATAAAAATTGCAACTACATATGGCCCAGATGATAATTTGTCTCCATCACTCCCAGGGTTTGTGACAGTCATGATCCCAGGGGCCACCTGGTTTCCATCACCACCCACTCTGTTGTGCCTCCGAGATGTCCTTGCTCTCCTATGCTCTCCATCACTGGTCCACGAAGACCTCATCTGCCTTAGCCCCATCAGCCAGGGCTTTCTGAGGCTGGAGTGAATCATCTCAGCAATTCCCACATCTCCCTTGGGTGCTGCTATGAAAGGTCTGTGACAGGAATGAGGCACAGTCCCTTTTCTCAGTGACATTTACCAACAGCCAAACTCTCGTGGTCCCTAGTCTCTGTTCTCTCCCGCTCTCTGGAGTGAGAAGAACCAGTTCTTCCAACTTTATTTACTCTTCCAAGTCAAATGCTTCTGGCATCAACTTAGTACCTGAACTGTAAGGGTCAGGGTTTTAAGCTCCTGCATCTCAAACCTTTGGTGTGGAAACAGAAAACATGAGTTTCTCTTCATATTCCCCAGCATCCCTCCTTTTAGACAGCAGATACCTCCCAGTGTAGCTCCAATGGGAGAAAGCCCTTGGGGTGAAAATAGTGAGGAAATCAGGACCCGCGCATCACCTTGGTGTGCAGTGGGTGTCTGGCTCCTCTCATGCCTGGGTCTTGTCCAGGTGTGTGGGATGCACCTGACAGGGAAAGTCCTGACCTCTCATTTCCAAGCTGTGTAACCCTGGGCAAGCCACTGACCTCTCTCCAAACATCAGTTTCCTCAGGCCCTCAGAGTTAGAAAACATACTGCCAGCAGGCCCAAGGCTCATCCTGTATGGTCAAATACAGTCAAGCAGAGAGAGAAAAATCTTCTGGATTCAATGCAAATGCAACAACTTCCTGTTGCATTAGGAGTAGCAAGACTGGCTGGCTTTCTAAAAGCTTAGAGATATTATTTTTGAAGCTATCTGTGTATACTTTATTCCCTTTCATACATACCCCTCCTGGCTGACCCAAATGAAAAAAGATACGAAACTCGTTTCTGGCCCGGCTCTTGCCTGCTCAGATGGAATGTGTGGTGATACGCCCATTTTTCCGCTCAGCTGTATTCCTGTTTATTCCTGTGAACACATGGTCTCTGTAATTGGCAATAATTTTTTTCTTTGGGATATTTACCTTCCTTTTGTGGGACAGCCCAGATTCTTGGGTGGATTCGTTTCCCACTCAATTACCAGAAAAGGGCACAATGTGATTGGGAGAACTACGTGGAAGAAAGCTCAGCTCCCAGGCCCTCACACAAGCAACTCTGTGCTCCCATCTATGTCAGAGCCTGGGGACTATGAGGAGATTGCAACGGAACATCCTGTCCCCTCCACCAACATTCTTTCCCCACGAAGCAGTGGCATTTTCTTTTGTGTTCTCACACAATTCAGACTAGGTGGAGTAGCCTGTACGGAATGACTGGAATGACCCTACTGAGCAGAAGTGTTCCCCTTCTCCCTTGCCAAAACTGTGGGCTGAGAGAGAACCCGCCTGATAGCCCCCTGCTTTGGAGGTGTTTCTGCGGTGGTCCTTTTAAAAAGGGTGTATTCGGGGCATGGGTTGAAACACCAAGCAAGTGTAAATCACAGGCTTCACACACTTGCCTTTTGGGAGGCAGGTCAGCTCCAACCTGCAGCAGCTGAGAAAGAATACATAGGGGTCCTTGAGGACAGAGAGCTTTGTTGATGACCAGCCTTAGGGTATAGGAGAAAGAGAAAGGCCGGAGCAGCCACAGCCACTTCTCTGTGCCCAGCAGTGTAGCCACCCGCCTAGCAATGCTCCAGCCATGCAGAATGGGCCTGCCTCCTCTCTGCCTTGTCCTGAGGATGGAGATATCTCTGACCTGGAGGTCCTAGGACCTCACTTCCTAAATGTGTGACCCTAGATAAGTTGCTTAACCTCTACCGGAACCTCAATTTCATCATCTGTAAAACAAGAATAATCAACCCACCTACCTCATAGGGTTGTTTTGATACTTAAATGAGACAAAGCATGTGTCTAAGGGTTTTCTGATTCGTAAAACACCACAGGTGTATAAGGATTGTTTTCCTGACTTATCTTAGGACCTTTTGAAAGAGACCTTCAATAAGAGACCTTCAATAAGTTCTCTAAGTTCAACCTCTACTATGCACAATCCTGAAAGGTCGTCTACCCTCTGCTTGAATCCTTGCTATTATGGGAAACTTACTACCTTTCTTTGAGGAAAAACTCACTACCACAAAGCCCTATGACTTGAGCTTCCTCTGGTTAAATCACAGCCATCTCACATAAGCTCCAGAGTAAATGGGAAGGGAGAACCTGACTCATCCAGCAATAGCAGAAAGATCATCACGTAGATTGTGTTGTTCTGCTATTTACAGATATTTGTGAAAAACCTGAAGTCAGTGTCATTCATCTTCCCTTTTGAAGGTTAAGTGTGTTTGTTTTTGTTTTTGTGACCAGAAATACATTAAAATTGGATTAGGAGCCATGTGCAGAAAAATTCACTGATGCTCAGTGCAGTGTATTCATTGTATAAACATGGAATAAAATGTTTGTCCCAAGATTATTTCACTTTGTCCACTTAGAAAGATTTCCTGTGACTTGCATAAATGTGGAAGAAAGCGTCTTCATTTCTTTTTAGCCAGGATCATTTGATGACATTTTGAAATGTCAGGGAGACTCTTAACTTAAATCTGACCTACAAAGGGCCATTGAGAACAGTGAAGTGTGCCCCCAAAGCCAAAAACTTTGTATAGCTTTAATTTCAGTACAGAGGTAAATCGACTTCTGCTTTTGGATTTAAGATTTGGCAAGCATGTGAAATTAAGTATCACTAAGGGGGACTTTTTACAGAGGGAAGCTAGGAGATTATGAGTGTTAGGGCTTACAGATTTAATCTGCAATTAGCATAAACATGCAAAGGTCACCCTAAAGAGATGCATGCCCCTGTGATCTGTAGGGGTAGCTGTCAGAAGTAGAGAGAAACGGCAAACAGAGTTTTGCAAACAAATGTGTGGTGGGGATTCAGGTTTTCATGTACGTGTTGCATCTGTGGCCTAGAAGATATCAGACACATGGCCTAGGAGAAATCAAGGGTGAGAAGTCACCAGCCCACAGAGAAGATATCACTAACCTTGAGGCTAACAGAAGTAAATGACAGCTTGTGGCAGCAGCTGTTGGTCACCAACTCAACAGTGATTACCTCCTTCTTCTTTGTTAACAGAAAATGATTTCTGTTCAGGAACTGAGCAGCAGATAGTTTTTAGAATCTGGACCCCATTGAAGTTTCAAGGTGTCAACCTTGATTAGTCTGTGTCCAAAATTGTAGTTCTGTGTCCCTTGTTAGTGATTGGTTTACGATGGGGCATGTGCCACAATTCTGATCAATGAGAAGTCTGCTAGAGGTACTTCTAGAAGAGTTTTCCTTACTTTTAAAAAAGAAGAAACCAAAGAGACTTTCTGTTTCTGTCATTTGGATGTTGCTGGGAGATAATGTGATGCTTGGAGCTGTTGCGGCCATTTTGCAACCATGAGGGGAGGACCCTGAGGCAAAGGCAACATGCTTAGGGTAACAGAATAGGAACATTGACAAATCTAGACTCCGTATTAGGTTGATGTGCTAAACCAATCAGTGCCAGTACTGCCTCCCTGTAGACTTATTACCTGGTCACTCACAGATGAGACTATGGAGTCAGACTTCCTAGGTTCAAATTCCAACTTTACCACTTACCAGCTGTGTGACTTTGGACTTCTCTGTGCCTCATATTTCTGATTTGTGTACCTACCCTGTAGTATTCTTGTTAGAATTAAATGAATTAATACGTGGACAGTGCTAGAACCATACCTGATCACTCAAACATTTAACATTCTTTCATCATTTAAGCCATTTTGAGTTGCATCTTCTAGTTGTTGCTTTTGAAAGTATCCTATGTAACACAGCAACTTTCGGTTAATGTTTTCCTGTCAGAAAGTTAGGAAACTAACAACAAAAACACAAACCATCCCTTAAACAGTGGAAAAAGGACTTGAGTGGATATTTCTCCAAAGAAGAGAGGCCATGGCCCACAAACACATGAAAACATTCTCAGCATCATTCATCATTAGGGAAATGCAAATAAAAAGGAGGCACCACTGTACACCCATTAGGATGGTAATGACTTTTTAAAAAGAAAACAGAAAACAGCAAGTATTGGTGAGGATGTGGAGAAACTGGAATTTGTATATTGCTGGTGGGAATGTAATATGGTTCAGCCACTGCAGGAAACAGTTGGTGGTTCCTCAGATGACTCAACACAGAATTATCACAGGACCCTGCAATTCCACTCCCAGGCGTCTGTACCCAAAAGAATTGAAAACAGGGATGCAAGTACATGCATACACATGTTGATAGCAGCACAGCAGCCAAAAGGTGGAAGCAAACCACATGTCCATTGATGGATGAATGGATAAATAAATTGTGATATATACATACAGTCGAATAACATTCAGCCATAATAAATTAGAAAAAATGATGGGAAATGAGAAAAATATCCCATTTACAAAAGCAACCAAAATCACAGAATACTCAGAATCAAACACAGAAGAAATACAAAACGGCCTAAGGACACGGAAGAAGACATGAAATGAAGGGAAACATCACACACGTGAATGAGCAGGCTCAGGCCTGACAAGATATCAATTATTTCCCAGTCACCCTGTGAATTTAATCAATCTTTAATTTTTTAACTTAGCAAACTGATTTTTAAATTCTACTCAAAGAATACATTTGTAAAAGCAACTGAATTAATTTTTTTAAAGGAGCCAGGTGTGGTGGTATGAGCCTGTAGTCCCAGCTACTCTGGAGCCTGAGCTGAGATAGAAAGGTTGCTTGAGCCCAGAAGTTTAAGACCAGCCTGGACAACACAGTGAGACCCCATTTAAAAAATTAAAGGGGATAGCTCTTACTAGATAGTAAGATATATTTTAAAATTACTATAATTTAGGAATTTGATACCAACATAGGAATGAGAAAATTGATTACCGAACCAGAAATCAGAATTTGTCATATACTGATTGGTATTTGCAATCGGTAGGAAAAGGAAAGATTAATTAAATAGTCCGGGAACAACTGCCTTGAAACTAATATACTAAAATAAATTCCACGTGGATTAAACACAAAAATAAAACCGCAATAGAACTCAAAGAAAATATAAGTAAATATTTTCCCATTTATCAGAACCCATCCACATGGTTCAATTCAACTGCAGGGGAGGTTTGAAAACGTGTGTGGTTTTTTGGGAGGCACTCACTGTTATTGTCATAGATACATAACCTATTTCTAGGGATGAGGGAAAGGACAAAACAAAGGATTGAAACTGAAGGGCTTTCTGCCTATCCTCATGTTTATCAAAAAAATTCCAATACCCAAAATACACCATCCCACAATTATAATTGGTTGCATAGGCAAAGCTTCTCTTTCTCGTTTGATGATCCTAGTATATCTCTATAAGGACCACATCTTGGCTGATATTCCAGCTGCACATTGGAATTACATCTGTTCTCATTCTCATATTAATAATGAAGCTTGATTAATAAATTACAAGGGCTAACTCTGGAGCTATTGGTTCAAAATTCCTTGCCAGTGAGGAAAACAAAAGAACAACTGTATTTTAAGAATAGATCCACCATAATAACATGCTGATGGTCAAAACTGATCAGGCAGTCTGGATGAAGCCTCACACCTTCCTACACTTTGCAAAAGAAGTAGCAGGTAAGGAAGGACTAGCCTGAGCTCCTGTTCAGCCCTGGGGAGGGAGCAGGTATGATGGAGCTGGCAATGTGGTCATTCCTGCTGTGCTCAGCCAATTTGCTTGAACTTCAAACAGAAGTGTTAACTTCACGGTGTGCAAGTTCATCCATCCTCTGCTTTTGTCCTCCTTGGAGGCTTTCAGTGGCACATGTTGGGGGAAGAAAAGGCACTTGTTCTCTTCTCAATTGTACAGAGCAGCTGATCAGTGTCTGCACGAATTCCTGAACAAAGAACATATTTCAGACCTTCTTATTGCTTGCTTATTTAATTTAACAGATGTCAGTTGTGACACACACATACGACTTTCTCCCTAGGCAATGGATTATGGCAAATTTCATTTTATGCCTGGCATGAAAGCCATGCAATATTGGGTATTGAAAGGACTTTTTTTTTTTTTTTTTTTTTTTGAGAGACAGAAAGAGGGGAAAACCTGTTGTGCCTTAAAATCCCTAGTAATGCAAGAAAACCAATTTCCACAAAGGCATTGTCCTGGAAAGCTTTGTTGGTTTATGTCGCTACCTAATGGGAATGTGTCAGATTACACAAGGGCTGTTGTGTCAGGTCACACATCCTGTCACAATGAACACACTGGTGGTGTGTGGGTGGGAATGCAATTTATGGGGATGCCTGCGCTGGATGAGATGTTATCTTCACATTCTGTGTCTACTTCTAGTTATTTAACCTTGGCCAAGTCCCTCAACGCCTCTTAACTCAAGGATCCTCACCTAAAGGAGGGTTCTGGATGCCAGCTTTGTGAGATTGTTGACAGAACTAGGAAAAGGTGTACTTAACTGGGCTAGGTGGCTCATGCCTGCAATCCCAATGCTTTAGGAGGCTGAAGCAGGAGGATCACTTGAGGCCAGGAGTTAGAGACCAGCCTGGGCAAGATGGCAAGATCTCATTTCTTCAAAATAGAAATTAAAAAATTAGCTGGGTGTGGTGGTGTTAGCATGTATTATACACCATACCTGGGTAACAGAGAGACTCTTTCACGGAAGAAAAGAAAAAAGAGAAGAGAGAAGGAGGAAGGAAGGAGAGAAAGGAAGGAAAGAAGGAAGGAAGGAAGGAGGGAACAAAGGAAGGAAGGGAGGGATGGAGGGAGGAAGGAAGAGAAGGGAAGAAGGAAGGAAAGAAGGAAGGAAGGAAGGAAGGAAGGAAGGAAGGAAGGAAGGAAGGAAGGAAGGAAGGAAGGAAGGAAGGCAGGCATGTATTTTAAACTGAGGCATAGCCCAAAGCTCGTAAACTCAGGGTTCTGTCAGTCCATGTAGTAAAATCATGAAGCCCTACATATTTTTTCTTCTTTTGGTATAAGTTTCGGTTTCAGAGGTATGTTTTTTGACACAAGTAAAACTTCCAGCATGGAAATAAACTGCAGTCAATGGCTGCCCTGGAAGTTGGAGAGGTGATAGGAAACTGCATTGAACTGGACTGCATTGAACTGGTTTGAGTGGCTGCATTGAACAGGACAACACTTATCTGGTCTCAGGTGGATGACTGCTGTCAGCCCAGAATGGCCAGGATGTGTGGCAAGATCTTTCTGTTTACCAAAATCAACCAACCACTTGGGATATCCTGCTTGTAAATGCTGGCCCAATTTTTTAAACACTACAGGGGCTAAAGAAATTATCCCTGGGGACCAGGTTCAGCTTGTGGATCTCAGCTGGCGCTCTGCTGCTCATTGCTATAGACTTGCAAGAAGGTGGGTGCTAGGTGTGGAGCCTATGCTATCTGGGGTACTCTATAAGTGGGGAAGGGGGGCTCAATGCTCCATGTCTGTGGGGAGGTTAGTGGGAATCTAGAGACAGAATCAGGATTGGGGACCTGAATTACTATGTTACTGGCCTGACACCAGAGGCTCAGCCTGGTAGAGGCCTACGTAAGGCCTTCCCTGGTCGTCAATCCTCCTTCCTCGCCACCATGTGTTTCTCTCCTCTTCCTTGGGACAGCTCTCCCTGAAGCCTCCAGGCTTCCCTTATGAGATCCCCCCAAGAGCTAAACAGTTCCTGGAGACCACTGAGAAGACTGCCAGACTGAGAGTCAGACTTGTGGATACATACTTACTGTTTGGCCTTGAGCGGGAACCTCCATCCCTCTGAGTCTTTGTTTCCTCATTTGTAAAGTGAGGAGGAAGAGAAAAGCCTTTCCCAGCTTCTCAGGATGGCACCCGGGTACAGATCATAGAGATGATGCATGAGGCATGCTTTGTGAACTTGAAAGTGCTGAGCAGTACTTGGTCATTTTAAAACAATGACATCTTCTTTGAATAATTCTTAAATCCTGGTACAGAATTAAGAAAGGATCATCTATTCAATTAGTCAACTATTTGTTCAAGAAATATGTACTGAGCCTTCCATTATGTGCCAGGTACTTCTAAGCAATAACTAAGACAGACATGGATTGCCTGTCATGAAATGTCAATTCTAGAGTAGGAGGCAGAGAATAGGGAAGAAAGGACGGGAGGAGGGAAGAAAGGAAAGAAGGACGTGAGAAGGAAAGGAAGGGAAGGAGAGAAGGACAGAAGAAATGAGGGAGGGAGGGAGGAAATGAAGGAAAGAGGGGAGAAGAGAAGGAGGGGAGAAGGGGAGGAGGGAGGGACGGAGTGAAGGAAAGAAGCCAGCTTAAAATTGGCCATGATGAGTATTTATACTACTAACATTGGAAAACTCAGTAAATCAGGGTTCTTCCTGCAGGCTGACTTTTAAATATTTGCCGTAACTACTGAAGCCAGAGGTTACAGTGAGGAGCCAGAGGAGGATTCTGAGTGCAGGAGAAACACAATTTGCTACTCATTTTATCCATTTTTCAAAGGATCCTCTTCACCATGTACAGAATAGACTGGAGCCAGGCACAGTAGCAGCGGGAGTTACCAGCCTAGAAGGCTGTGAAATAACCCAGGCATGAGATGCAAGGGGCTTCGGTTGGACTAGCAATGGAGTAGCCAGACATGGATGGTTGGGATATGATGGGGGGCAAGGCTGACAGCGTTCATTTGTGGATTGGCTGTGAGGTAAAGATAGAGACAGCTAGTGAATTGTACAGAAACACTCTGTTCATGAGGAGCTTACAGTTTAGTGGCAGAAACAAAGCAGGCAGTCAGCTAGGACTTTCACAGATATTTATTTATACTGGCTTTCAACGACATATAACACAGGGAAACCTAGCCACATTTGGAAATGAAATGTCATTTGAGCTTTGTTATGGTGAGGTATGATACAATCACACACCCATGGAGGTATTTACATATAATTTCCTCCACACCTGATTTGGTTCTGCAAACACCCCAGGCCCTATACATGTCATTCGCTAGTAATGTGCTGCGTCAAGGAGGCGTCAGAACCGTGTGAGCTTTCACACATTATCTACCCACCCAACTTCTGGGTTTTGCCTATTCTGTCAGGGTCCTCTGTGAGCTGCTGGGGTAATGGGCAAAGGGTGGAGATGCAAATGAAAATAGAAATGCTGAGTGAACAGGTTATCTAGTGGAAAGAGGGTGCCAAAGGAAGCAGGGTAGCTAGTGTGAGTGGACTGTTTGATACAGAGTGTGGGAAAGAGTAAGATCTGGAGATGCCCGGATGAGGGGAGTCTTGAGGAAGGAAATGAATGATGAGTTTCTTCAGGGCTGATGATAGGTTATGTCATTCAACCCATTCTGCAATGACCACCATGTGACTTTGCTCCTAATAAATAAGCAAATTATATTTCCCCACCCCTTGATATGGGGTTTGGCCATATCACTTGCTTTGGCTGAAAGACTGAGATGAATGGGAGTGACAGGGAACTCCTTATGAGATTTCTTCTTTAAAGGCTTTCCACATTTGCCATTGTCATCTGCCATTGTTTGCCACAGGAGGAGAATGAGAGACACACGCTGCAGAGCCAGCCTAGCTAAGCCCTGCCTCGGTCAGCCAAAAAGCAGCTGACCTGCAGACATGTGAGCAATTATAAATGGTCATTGCTTTATCCTGCCGAGTCTTGAGGAGGTGTTTGCACAGCAACAGCTGACTGATGCAGGGACTTACAGTGTGTCCCACAGTGTAGTTTGGCTTTTCCTCATTTGGTGTAAGTAGGGACTTCAGTTACTTCTAAATGCTTTCCAAGTGGTTGATTACTATTTATTTTGGTAGTATTGAAAGTGTCTTTGCAAAAATTCTATCAGTGAGAAAAATTATAACAGTAAGCTGAGCTAACTAGTTACACGTAGTTAGACAGGCATGACTGGGGCAAGAGAGAGATCTTTCCTCTCCTACCAGGAATGTTAGGTGATAGTTTGAGAACTATCACACTGTCTCTGAAAAAAAGATAATTTGGGGGTCTAGGCACAGTGGTTCACACCTATAATCCCAACACTTTGGGAGGCAGAGACCAACAGATAGCTTGACCCCAGGAATTCAAGACCAGCCTAAGCAACAAGGCAAATCCTGTCTCTACAAAAAATACAGAAATTAGCCAGGTGTGGTGGCACACACCCGTAGTCCTGGCTACTCAGGAGGCTAAGGTGGGAGGATCAATTGAGCCCTGGAGGTTGAGGTTGCAGTGAACCATGATTGCCCCACTGCACGACACCTGGGGTGACAGAGCAAGACCTTGCCTCAAAAAAAAAAAAAAAAAAAAAGCTTTTGTTACCATAGGTAGTTAGGCAGACATGAGCAGGGAAGGAGAGGGCCCTCTTCACCAGGAATGTCAGGCGACCATAAGGTGATAGTGAGGTGGTTGTTAAACTGTCTCTAAAATAATAATTGGTTGCAGCCAGCGCCAGGGAAACGCAGTCTCCCAATAGATAGAAAACACCTGAAACTGATGATCAGCAGCTTCCTGATTAGATGGCAGGAGTTGGGTGAGTGAACTCAAGCATGCACACTAAGAGGCAAAATGGTGGAATTAACTGGTACCTCACCTTCCTTAGGGAATACTCAACCGGTAAGGGAAAAATGTTTCAAGGCGGCCTGAATACAACTTTAGTAAACACACTGCACACGTGGCCCCTCCTAAGTGCTGGCAGGCCACCCCAAGGGAAGGATCAGGGGAGAAGGGCACAATCACCCCAGAAGCATAAAAACCCAAGTCAACGGTCAAACCTTGCACTTGATCTCTCAAGTCACCCGCTTGCCCCTCTTCCAAGCGTACTTCACTTCCTTTCATTCTTGCTCTAAAACTTCTTAATAAACTTTCACTCCTTCCCTTAAGCTTGCCTCAGTTTCTCCCTCTGCCTTATTCCCTTTGGTTGAATTCTTTCTTCTGAAGGAGGTAAGAATTGAGGTTGCTGCAGTCTTGTGTGGATTCACCACTGATAACAGTTAAAATGGTAAATTTTATGTTATGTATATTTTATCACAATAAAAATTACCAAATAAGAGATAATTGGCTATTTAAACATAAATAATAACCATGTATTATAGGGGTTATGACTTATATAAATTGGAAGACAAAAACAATAACATAAAGGCTGGTGGGGGGAGAAATAGAAGTATACCCATTTGAGGATATCATACCACATATGAAGAGGTATAGTATCCCTCAAAATATATCGTGATAAGAAAAGATGTATGCTACCACTAAAATAATAAAACAAAGAGTTAAAGCTAATAAGTCTATAAAGGAGATAAAAATAGATCATAAAAATACTCAACTAATTCAAATCAATCCAGTTAATCTAAATTAATCCAATTAATCTAAAATAAGACAGAGAGGGAGGAAAAAAGGAACAAAGAACAGGTGGAACAAATAAGAAACAAATGCCAATGTGATAGAGTGAAAGTTAGCCATTACAGATAAAAAGTTTAAATAAAAATAGTCCAATTAGCCCCATTAAAAGGCAGACTGTCAGATTGGATAAAAATGCAAGACAACTTTGTGCTGCCTGCAAGAGATGCACTTTAAAATATAAAGACACAAATGGGTTAAAAGTGAAAAAAAATTTTTTTTTCTTGAGGCCAGGCTGTTCTCAAACTCCTGCGCTCAGGATCCACCTGCCCCAGCCTCCCAAAGTACCGGCATTACAGGCATGAGCCACGGGGCCTGGCCAAATAGTCTAAGTTTTGACAAGGGTATGCCATTGCTGACACTGGCCAAGAGGAAGCTGGAGTGGCTGAGCAGTTTTCTGAGAGCCAAAACCCAACTCTGTGTGTGAGTTTTCAGCCACTACAAAGGCCTTACCACAAGTTTGTTCCATGGGTCCTCCCCACCGGCCTCGGTGCACAACCAGAACCAGAGCACACAGTCCCCTAGGGGAGTTGTATCAAAGACTCACGTCCCCCCGCACTTATGTTCTTACACATACCTGCATTCCCAGCCCAGATACGTCCATGCAGAGGTCCCCGGATCAGGAGGGTCCTGGCAGAGGTCTTTCTTGGCTGCCTCTACTAGACACCAACTTCTTGAGAGTAACCTGAAAAACATGCTTTTCTCTCTTCTTCTTCTTCTTCCTCCTCTTCTTCTTCTTCTGCTTCTTCTTCTTCTTCCTCTTCTCCTTCTTCTTCTTCCTCTTCCGCTTCCTTCTCTTCTTCTTCCCCTTCTTCCTCTTCTTCTTCTTCTTTTTTCTTTTCTTCTCATTCTCCTCCTCCTCCTCCTCCCCCTCCCTCCTCCTCCTCCTCTTCTTCTTCTTTTTTTTTTTTTTTTTTTTTTTTTGAGACTGAGTCTCATGCTGTCGCTTAGGATGGAGTGCAGTGGCGCGATCTCGGCTCACTGCAACAACCTCCGCCTCCGCGGTCCTCAGTATTAAGTATCTTCCACTCCTAGCCTTCCCCAAACTCCCACCCTTCACCACAGGGTCCATAAATTCCCAGCAACAGCGAAATAGCAGGAGGCTCATGTTCGGCAGTCCGTCTCGCTAAGCAGGGAGATGATCATCCCCATACCCCAAACTCCCCTCCTCTGAGCTGCTCCATGGGGGAAAACATGGAACATTCTGGGAGCTGGCACTTCTTCCTTTTTTGCTTCTTGCTTATACTGTTGCATAAGTGAATAAAGTCTTGATGGTTTCTTTTTTTTTTTTCTTTTTAAGTTTGGCCGTTTTCTTAACTGACCACGTTAAAACCTGGCAGCTCAGCTCTCTCTCCAGCTGAGCCCTCGACAGAGGCTATATTAATATACTAAAAGAAGTAAATCTTAGAGTGAAAAATGTTACCGTAGGCAGAGAGTCATTTCAGCATGACAAATTGGTCAGTTAATGAAAATGTGACAATCCTAAGGGTTTAGGTACTTCATAACAGTGCTTCAAATACATGAGGCAAAAACTAATAGATTGTAAGGAGAAATAAACACATCCATAATTGTAGCTGGGAATTTCAATAATCCTTTCTCGATAATTAATAGAACAAGTGGACAGAAAATCAGCAAGGATATAACAGATTTGAACAATACTATCAAACAACTCCTAATTGACATTTTTACAACACTCCATCCAATGGCAGCAGAATATATATTATTTTCAAGTACACATGGGCCATTTACAAAGACCAACTACATTCTGAGCCATAAAACCATTCTCAATATACGTAAAAAGATTCAAGTCATACAAATATGTTCTTTGACCACAGTGAAATTAAATTAGAAATCAATAGAAGAGGGATAACTGAAAAATACCCAAATATCTAGAAACTAAATAACATGCTTCTAAATAACTCACAGTTCAAAGAAGAAATCAAAAGGGAAATTACAAAATATTCTGAGGTGAGTGAAAATGAAAATACAGTATATAAGAATTTGTAGGATGCCACTAATGTTTGGCATCTAATACTAATACTAATGGAACTGTATAACACCAAATACCTATTTTACAAAAAAAAAAAAAAATGATTCAAGGCAATGACCTCAGGATCCATCACAAGAAATAAATAATAAAAACAAGAGTGCACATTAAACTCAAAGGAAGCAGACAGTAGGAAATAATAAAGATCAAAAGAGAAATCAATAAAATAGAAGACAAAAATAGAGAAAATCAACAAAAACAAAGTTGGTTTCTTGACAAGAAAAATAAAATGGAGTTGGGCACACTGGCTCATGCCTGAAATCCCAACACTTTGGAAGGCCAGGGCAGGTGGATCACCTGAGGTCAGGAGTTCTAAATGAGCCTGACCAATATGGTGAGACACCATCTCTACTGAAAAATGCAAAAATTAGCTGGGCTTGGTGGTGCACACCTGTAATCCCAACTACTCAGGATGTTGACGCAGGAGAATTGCCTGAACCCAGGAGGCGGAGGTTGCCCCATTGAGCCGAGATCAACCCATTGCACTGCAGCCTGGGCAACAAGACTGAATCTCCATCTCAGAGAGGAAAAAAAAAAAAAAAACAAAGCAAAAGAAAATGGATAAATCTCAAGATAGATTGATTAGGAAAAAGGAGAGATCAAAATTTTTCACATTAGGAATGAGAGAATGGGTATCAGTGGTTTCTAAGATATTAAAAAGTATAAAAAGGGAATATCACTTGTAAAATTTTATGCCCATAAATTTTACAATGGAAATGAAATTAACAAATGTCCTAAAACATATAAAATATCAAAGCTCAGTCACAAAGAAACAGATAATAGCCTTATATTTAAAAAAAAAAATCAATATAGGGTGTGCACGGTGGCTCACGCCTGTAATCCCAACACACTGGGAGGCTGAGACAGGTGGATCATCTGAAGTCAGAAGTTCAAGACCAGCCTGACTAACATGGCAAAACCCTGTCTCTATTAAAAATTCAAACAAATTAGCTGGGCATGGTGGCACACACCTGTAATCCCAGCTGCAAGGGAGACTGGGGCAGAAGAATTGCTTGAACCCAGGAGACAGAGGTTGCAGTGAGCTGAGATCGCACCACTGGGCTCCAGCCTAGGTGACAGAGAGACACTCCATCTCAGAAAATAAATAAATGTACAAATAAAAATAAATGTAAAAATTTTCAATTTGTAGTTAGAAATCTTCCCACAAAGGAGATTTGAGACCCAGATAGCTTTGCCAGTGAATTCTGCCAAACATTTAATGAAGAAATAATACCAATTCTATACAAACTATCCCAGAGAACTTATGAGGCAGGGAATATTTGTAAGAGACCAGAATTACCATGGCACAAAAACCTTACTAAGATGTTAACAAAAAAGCAAACTATAGGCCAAGATTCTTCATGAATATAGAAGAAAAAAATTAAAATTTTAGCAAGCTGAATTCAAAATCTATAAAAAGAATACAATATCATGATAAATTGGGATTTTACTTCCTAGGAATTCAGGATGATTTTACACTGAAAATAAATCAGTACAATTCTCCATGTTAGCAAAGAGATAAATCACATGATCATCTCAAAAGACACAGAAAAAGCAGGTAACAAAAATCTAACATGTATTATTAAATAAAAACTTTCAGCAAACTAAGCATAGAAAAGCATTTCCTCAAACTGATAAAGGGCATCTGTGATGGTTAATACTGAGTATTAACTTGACTAGCTTGAAGGATGCGAAGTAGTGTTCCTGGGTGTGTCTGTGAGGGTGTTGCCAAAGGAGATTAACATTTGAGTCAGTAGACTGGGAGAGGCAGACCCACCCTCATTCTGGGTGGCCACAATCTAATCAGCTGCCAGCACAGCTAGAATAAAGCAGGCAGAAGAACATGGAAGAACTAGACTTGCTGAGCCTTCCGGCTTTCATCTTTCTCCTGTGCTGGATGCTTCCTGCCCTCAAACATCGGAGTGCATGTTTTTCAGCTTTTGGAGTCTCAGGCTTGATGCCAGTGGTTTGCTAAGGGCTCTCAGGCCTTCGGCCACAGACTGAAGGCGGCACTGTTGGCTTCCCTATTTTTGAGGTTTTGGGGCTTGGACTGGGCTTTCTTGCTCGTCAGCTTGTAGACGGCCTATCATGGGATTTCACCTTGTGATCATGTGAGTCAATACTCCTTAATAAATTCCCTTTCATATACACATCTCTCCTATTAGTTCTGTTCCTCTGGAGACTCCTGAATAATACAGCATCTATGAAAAATCTATAGCTAAAAACTTACTTCATGATAAAAGACTGAATGCATTTCCTCTGTGATCAGGACTAAGACAAGGATGTCTGCTCTCACCACTTGTATTCAACCTTGTGCTGGAGATACTGGAACATATAATCAGACATGAAAAAAATGCATCCAGAATGGAAGAAATAAAACTGTCTTTATATATAGCCAACATGACTATCTATCTAGAAAATCTAATAGAAACACAAAAAAGTTAGAAGTAATAATTGATTTTAGCTAAGGTTTTAGGATAAAATATCAATAAAAAATCAACTGTATTTCTACAGACTAGCAAAGAACAATCACAAGTTGAAATTTTAAAAATACTTTGAATAACATAAAAATATGAAATACATAGGGATAAATCTGACATAAAATGTGAAAGATGTGTACACTATAAACTATAATACATTGCCAAAAGAAATTAAGGACCTATATAAATGGAGAGATAGACCATGTTTATGGATTAAAAGACTCATTATTATTAATATGCCAATTATCTCCAAATTATGGATTCAATGGAATCACAATCAAAACCCTAGCAGACATTTTATAGAAATTGACAAGCTGACTCTAAGATTAATGTGGAAATGAAAAGGAACCATACTAGACAAAACAATTTGGGAAAAGAAGAACTAGGCGGATTAACACTGTCTCACGTCAAGACTTATTACTAAGCTACAGTAACCAAAATAGTGGGTATTGACATCACAATAGACAAGGGATATCATTAAAAAATATAGAGAGCCCAGAAAGAGACCTAAATATATATGGGGTGTGTGTGTGTGTGTGTGTGTGTGTGTGTGTGTGTGTGTGTGTCTGTCTGTCTGTCTGTGTGTTTGTGTTTACAAATGTGCAAATGTAATTAAGTGGAGAAAGGACAGTCTTTTCAACAAATGGTGCTAGAATAATTGGTTACCATATGCAAAATCCATACTTCACACTATACCTAGAAATGAACTGAAAAATGGGTCACAGGCCTAAGTTAGAAACCAAAAACGATAACATTTCTAAAAGAAAATCTTTGTGACTTTGCACTGGGCAAAGATTTCTTAGCTGTAACACCAAAAGCATGATCCATAAAAGAACAAACTGATAAACTGGATTTCATCAAAATTCAAAACTTCTGTTCTTCAGATGATGCTACTAAGAGAATGAGAAAACAAGCCAGACTGGGAGAAAATATTTGCACAGAATATGTCTGATAACAACCTTCATCCAGAATGTATAAAGTACTCTCAAAATCGAGTTAGAAAAACAATAAAACAATGGGCAAAATACTTGAACAGATACTTCCACAAAGAAGATACAGGGATGGGAAATAAGCATATGAAAAGATGTTCAAAATCATTAGTAGTTAGGAAAATACAAGTTAAAAGCATTATATGCCTACCACAATAGCTAAATTTAAAAAGATTGACAATACCAAATGTTGTCAAGGAGGTGGAGGAATTAGAACTGATATACTGTTGGAAACGAAAAATGGAAAACCTGCAGTTTCTTAAAAAGTCAGACGTATTCCTGCTATGTGATCCAGCACTTGTATATCCAAGAGAACTAAAAGCGTATCATAAAGTGACTCATATATAAATGTTTATAGCAGCTTTATTTGTAAAAGTCTCACACTGAAAACAACCCAAATGTCCATAACAGGTAACTAGATAAAGAAATGTTGGTGTATTCATACAATGAAATACTATTCAGCAAAAAAAAAAAAAAAAAAAAAAAAAAGGTCTATGGATACATACAACAATATGAATGAATGTTAAAGTAATTATGCTGAATAAAAGAAGCCACACCAAAATAAACTACTTATTGTATTATTACATTGGTATATGCCTCTAGACAATTAAAACCAATCTGTATGACAGAAAGGAGATCAGTGGTTGCCTGAGAAGAGGGTACATGGAGAGAGACAGGAAGGAGAGATTACAAAGGAGCACAAGGATACCTTTTGGGATGATGTTTATGTTCACTATATTGATCGGCTTCATGGGTATATACGTATGTCAAAACTTATCAAATTGTACACTAGATACATATGCTGTTTATTTTATGTCACTTATACTTCAAAATGCTGTTAAAACTCTCACCAAATTAGGTATGCAAGGAATGTTCCTCAACAGAATAAATGCCATATTGGACAAGCCCACAGCCAACATCATACCCAATGGTAAAAAGCAGAAAGCTTTTCTTCTATGATCAGGAACAAGGGTGCCCACACTCACCACTTCTATTGTGCATAGTACCACAAGTGCTACCTAGAGCAGTTAGGCAAGAAAAAGAAATAAAAAATATCCAAATCAGAAAGGAAGAAGCAAAATTGTCTCCGTAGATGACATGACCTTGTATACAGAAACTCCACCAAAAAACTGTTAGACCTAAAAAGAGAATTCAGTAAAGTTCCAGAATACCAAAATCAACATTAAAATTGAATTGCAATTCTTTCATTATTATTATTATTATTATTATTATTATACTTTAAGTTTTAGGGTACATGTGCACAACGTGCAGGTTTGTTACATATGTATACATGTGCCATGTTGGTGTGCTGCACCCATTAACTCCAACAATGATAGACTGGATTAAGAAAATGTGGCACATATACACCATGGAATACTATGCTGCCATAAAAAATGATGAGTTCATGTCCTTTGTAGAGACATGGATGAAGCTGGAAACCATCATTCTCAGCAAACTATCGCAAGGACAAAAAACCAAACACCGCACGTTCTCAATCACTGGTGGGAATTGAACAATGAATTGCACTTCTATACAGCACCAACAAATTATCTGAAAAAGAAAGAAAGAAAACAATCCTACTTACAATAGCAACAAGCACAATAAAATTACTTAGGAATACATTTAACCAAGAAGTTTAAATATCAGCATATAAAACACTGAGAAAATAAATTGAAGATGACACAAATAAAAAGAAAGACATCACATGTTCATGTATCAGAATTAATATTATTAAAATATCCATACTACCCAAGGTGATCTATAGGTTCATTGCAAACTCTATCAAAATTCCAATGGCAGCATTCTTCACAGATAGAGAAAAAATAATTCTAAGATTCATATGGAACCACAAAAAAACCTGACCAAAGCAATCTTGAGAAAGAAGAGCGAAGCTGGAGGCATCACATTTCCTGATTTCAAACTATGTTACAAAGCTATGTTAATCTAAAGAGTATGGTACTGGCATAAAAACAAACACATAGACTAATAGAACATCATGAGTTTGAATGGTACAGGTCCACTTATATGTGAATTTTCTTCTGTTTCTGTCACATCTGAGACAGCAAGACCAATCCTCCTCTTCCTTCTCTTCCTCAGTCTACCCAATAGGAACACAAGGAGTATGAAGACCTCTCCGCTTTGACTTAAGGAATAGTAAATATATTTTCTTTTCCTTATGATTTTCTTAATAACACCATCTTTTCTATAGTTTACTTTAGCGTACAAATACAGTATATAATACATATACAAAATACATGTTAATCAAGTGTTTACGTTATTGGTAAGGCTATTGGTCAATAGTAGGCTATTAGTAGTTAAGCTTTTGGAGAATCAAGTTTTAAGGCCAAGGTAATTCAAGGCCCAGTCTGGGAAACATAGTGAGACCCCATGCCTTAAGAAAAAGTTATATGCTGATTTGCGACTATGCAGGGGTCAGTGCTCAAACTCCACGCTGTTCAAGGGTCAACAGTGTATTATATGCAGAATATAAGAGAGTTGAACTCATCAAAACATAGAGTACCATGGCAGTTGCCAGGGAATGGCGGTGGGGGAAATGGGTAGATTTTGACCAAAGGGGACAAACTTTCAGTTATAAGATGAGCAATTTCTGAGAATCTAATGTATAGCATGGGTGATAATGTATGTATTAATTAATTTGATTGTAGTAATTATACAATGTATTAGGTTGGTGCAAACTAATTGCACCAACCTAATTTAGGCATATCAAATAATTGCATTGTACACCTTGAGTATATACGCTCTTTGTCAATTAAATAAATAAAAATAAAAATGGTCAGATGAGTTTAATAATTAAGAATCTGAAAGAGGGAAAAGTCAGTTAGAATTTTGCTTGTAGTTACAGAATAGAGCCAAATATGTAAAATTTCCCTGTTCAATTAAAAATCACTAAAAAACTAACACTAATATGAATGTATGCTAATTCTGCAATGGTTTTGTACAGTGTGGTCATCTACAAGTTCAAATGCTACACAAGTATTCAAAAAATCATTGGGAAAGTGTTTCTAGTCTAATGCTAAGTGAGTAAAGGAGACTGAAAAATTGTGCCTAAACCTATGGGTGACAACTTTCCTTCTCACTATTAAAACTTGTTTCGAGCAATACTTTGTAATAAAATAGGAATGGAAACATTTTAAGGCTATTAACTTTTAATCAATGACTTAAAGACAGTCACTTATTTTTTTTTCTAAACTATTCAAAACCTAAACAGGTGGTATGGAGGAAAGACCTGCACTTTTTGAGGAGTTTGAATAATCAGGCAATTGACCACATCAAACAAATTAATCTCTAGGGAGAGGCTGAAAATCCCTTCTCCAAAATGCTTGAAACCAGAAGTGTTTCGGATTTGGCGGTTTTTTTGTTTGTTTGTTTTTGATTTTGATTTTGGAATATTTGCATATATATAATGAGATATCTGGGAGTGAGACCCAAATCTAAACATGGAATTCATTTATGTTTCATATATACCTTAGGCACATAGTCTGAAAGTAATTTTATACAACACCTTAAATAATTTTGTCTATGAAACAATGTTTTTGTACACTGAACCATCTGAAAGCAAAGGTTTCACTATCTCATATTAGCACTGAAAAACTTTCAGATTCAGGGGCATTTCTGGATTTGGGATTTTTGTATTAGGATGCACACATCCTGTACTGATTTTAAAAGAAGGCTTTCCTGGGAATGATGCAGCCCAATAGAAATGGCAACTACCATTAAAAGCAAAAAGCTAGATTGAAATATTATCAGAATAAGTTGCCACATCACTCATTATTCACTAAAACACTTCTATTCAAAAGGCCCAATTTTTGTAGATTCCTGAAGTAGGACTTGACACCAGGTATCACAAATTTACAAACTTACCACTTCAGCGTTTTAAAACTTTCTTACCAGGATCCCTGGTCTTCTGGGTGCCATGGAAACTCCAACTAGAAAAGAAAATGAAATTCCCTTCGGCTGGAAACTGTTCGTGTCATTCCTGAGCCCCCCTAGGTGTCTGTTGTAGATTATATAAGCTGCAGTTCGCAAATGCACTTTGCATTTGTTCCACAAACCCTGTTGAATGCTTGTTTTGTAGGAGGTTCCACATGCTGGGCAAAGAAGAATGAATAAAACACAGTCTCTGCCCTGGAAGAATTTACAAAGAAATAGTGGTACTACAGGTGCTGTGGAACAGCACAGAGTGTGTAAATGTTAGCTTAATGGTATCTTTCTAACATCAAACTTTTTTATTTCTTCTGTTTTCACACTCTCATTGCAAAAAACTCAAACAATTCAGAAAAGAATAAAGAAGAAAATTTAAAACTCTTTGAAATCCTACCATCAAGTAATAAGCATTGCTAACATTTGATGAACATCTTTCTTAAGCATTCATGTACTAAAAAAATGAGAATTACACCCTAAACGCTATTTTTATAAACTCAGTGCTATTTTTCAACATTCCTTTTCCTAATCAGGAGCATGTAGTAGATCTCATGAGATGCTGCATCTTTTTCTTAATGTGATGTCAGCTATTATCATTTATATGCATTGGCCTGTCATAAAAGTCTGCAGAATCTAACTAAAGCCACCTAGGTTCATTCACCTCTACCTTATCTTGCAGGTGCTGCCTCTTGTCCCAGTGTGGAAGGAACCCTGACCTTGCAATTGAAAGGCCTTGCTTCTGGTGCTGACCACGTTCTGACCCTCAGCCATCCCTTAAACCTCCCTAAGTTCCAATGTTCTCTTCTGTAAAACGAGGGTTGTAAATATTTGCCCTGCCTGCCTTCTTCCCACTGGCTATTCCCTCTGCCAAAAACTGGGCTACTTGACCTCCAGGAAGCTTGCATATGTGTCACTCTTTATTCTCCTTATCATCTTTCTCCTTCACTAGAACATAAAGCACTACAAGGGCAAACATTTTTGTATGCTTTGTTTCCCGATATTTCTGTCTAGAACAATGTCTAGTGTAGTAGATGACAAACAAATGCTTGCTGAATTAATTGGACAGAGCTGAACAGAGAATGGGAGGTGGGAAGACTGCCTCGCCACACAACTCTGGGGGAATCCTTCACATTGTAGTCCATGTGATGGCATCTCCTGGAAGTGTGCAACTGCACAGGCTTCACAGCTGTGCGGCAACCCCAACAACAACCGTGGAAGTACTCTGTCAAAGAGTATGAATTATTAAATAAAAATATTTTTTCTAGTAATGAAAAAATGTGAAAACAAATAAAGGAAAAAAATCATCTCAAATTCTTCAACCTAGTGATAATATCTTCGTTAGTATTTGCTGAACATCCTTCTAGACACTTCTCTACTGATATATATATATATATATATATATATATATATATATATATCAATCTTCATTTTGCATAAGTGACATCATACCATAAATGCTATACTAGTATCTGCTTTTGTTTTTGCCCAATAGTATATTATAATCAGCTCTCTTTGTCAGTAAATACAAATCCATATCATCTCTGTAAACCAGGGGTCTGCAAATTAAGGCTCATAAGCCAATTCCACCTGGGTTTTGTGTTTTTTTTTTTTTTGGTAAATTAACAAAGTTTTATTGGAACATGAATGTGCTGATTCCTTTATGTACTATCTATGCCCATTGCTGTGCTACAATAGCAGAATCGATTATTTCTGACAGACACCATATGGCCCACAAATCTACAATACTTACTATCTATTCTTTTCCAGAAAAGTTTACCAGCCCTGCTTCGTAGCTGAGTATTAAATGGTATGAAAATACTCTATTTGAATTATTCCTCTATCAGAACATATTTACCTTGTTCCAATTTTTGTTGATAAATACGTCGTATACACATCTTTCAACTCATATCCAGTACATCACCTTGAGATAACTTCCTAGAAGTGGATTGGCTGGGCCAGACATGAACTCTATAAAGGTTCTTGATACACATGATTAAAATGCCCATGGCATGGAACCCTCATCTATTTCTGTGCTTTTGTATTTTCTGTGTGTATTTCAGTTTTGTTTAGTTGGCTCAAGTAAAATTAGTTCCTTTTGAAAACGTTCAGCTTGTATGAACTCAACTAAGGGTACCAGGAATTTCCATCCGCAACCCAGCCAGGAGTTTGCCAGAGGCCAGGAGAGCTCCTGTCCAGGCAGCTCCAAAGAGGCCAGGGGTCTGGTGAGGAATGGAGAAGAGCACGACTGAAAACTTAGAAGAGAGCAGCCAGGGACTGATGCCAGATCCGTTGACCCTGTCAAAAGATCTGAACTCTGCCCCACATTTGTCCTTTTGACCCCATCGAGTTAACCAGGAGTTTAGCCATCCATGCTCCACACAACTGTAGCTTTTCTTCTTCTTCTGTGCACCTATAACTCTGTCTCATTAGATTGCTCTGAAGTTTGTTATTGATTATCTAGGAAATAAATACAACCAACTTTTTGCCTATTTCCCAATTGTTACGGCTGGTAGAAATAATCAGCATAAAATAAAACTGACAACAGATGATACCACACATGGCAACAATGCTATTGGTTAAAAATGGAAAGAAGGCTCGCATCCTTTTGATAAAATGCATTCAAATTTTATTTTTTGTTTTTGTTTTTATTTTTTATTTCGATAGCTTTAGGGGTGCACGTGGTTTTTTGTTACATGGATGAATTGTATAGTGGTGAAGTCTGAAATTTTAGTGCACCCATCACCTGAGTAGTGTATATCGTACCCAATATGCAGCTTTTAGCCCTCATGCCTCACCCACCTTCTCCCCCTTTTGATTCTCTGATGTCCATTGTATAACTCTGAATGTCTTTGTGTCCTTATAGCTTAGCTCTCACTTATAACTGAGAACACATGGTTTCTGCATCTCCATTCTTAAGTTACTTCATTTGGAATAATGGCCTCCAGTTACACCCAAGTTGCTGCAAAAGACATTTTCTTTACATTTAGACTTGCAAAATTTGATGTCAGAGAGATTTGGATTTGGAAAACAAAAGCAAAAATTGCAGTGGTTGAAACTAAATAAGGAAAAATTAATGTGATACAAAAAAACTGATCAATGAATCTAATTTGTGTAAAAACAATGAAAATAAGGAAAGAATTGCAGTGAAAAGAAAGTTCAGTGAAATAAAATTAAACACAGCAAACATGGAAACTGGCTTTGCTGCATGGTACAGAATACAATCAAGGGATTAAATTGGCTTGAGATTGTGCTGGAAAATATTTTCTTGATGGAAAGCCACCTATGTTGGGGATGAAATTTCTTTAAACCGACAGCTAGACAAATAACTTTCTACTCATTATTGGACTTCTATAGTCAATTTTTCACAAGAATGTTGGAGTCTCTGAAATCACTAAAGCCCCAGTAAAAAGGAAAATGGAATCTCCTATCAGTTGCTGTATGTAGAACCTCTTTTGTAAGCAAGTGGCAGCCAATGTTAACACTTCTCACACTGACCTTAACAATTCTTAGAATATTAAAAAAATTCTGCACAGAAATTAAGTATTATGTACTTATTTCTAACAATTCCAAGGAGGTAAACATTATTGTACAATTTCAAAGTCTTTTTTATAGTGTACATTTAATAGCAAATAAGAGAATATTTTACAATTTGATTACATAATTTTACTTGTGAGTTTTGTAGGGTTTATGGGCCATATTATTTTTTACCCATCTACTATACTTATTTAATAGGCTTCTGGAGAGGATTTTATAATGTTACACTAGTTAGTCTTATTTTTATTAGAATATGCTTTTTACTGAAGATTTCCTATATCAAAGAAACAAAGGAGAAAAATAAAATACAAAAATTAGAAATCAGCCATAGCCTCTATGGAGTGCAGTCACCAAAGTGCCAATTCCAGAGGCAAAGTATTTTTGTTTTATTTATATTGTTATGGCTCATGTGGTGACTTCATTTAAAGACACTGTTCCCAAAGCTGAATTATGTATGAAAGCAAATACGGGAGACAGGAAGCAGGGAAGGAAAAGAGTAAAATCAAGAAAGCAACATCTCAAATACCATGAATGATCCCGTTACTTTTTCCCCCTCATCAAGATCGACTCAAGGCCTGGGCTGCACAATACTGAGAAAGACCAATTAAAAACTAAATTGTCTGAAATGACTGTGGTCACACAGGTGAAATTTTGTTTTCTTAAGAGAAAAAAGAAATTTGTCAGCTTCTTGAGGGCAGAAAAATATTGTTGTAGATCTCTATGTTGCCAACACTTAGTATAGAGCTAGTATAGTTATTTTTGAATAAATGAATGGGTAAGAAAAAAATAACGCACAAATGAAAATATGTCATTATTTAAATACTTGGGACTTGTCGGTCTAGTCTTGCTCAGTGGTTCTCAGTGGTTCTCAATATTGACTGCACATTACAATCATTTCGAGAGTTATTTTTTCTTCACTTTTTACTATGTATTATATACAGAGAAGTACACATTTCTAGGGGAGCTTTTAGAAACTGCTAATGACCCCTATAATGGTTTAAATTTAAGATACTGACAATATTGGTGGTGTGGCAAAAATGTAGGACAACTGAACACTCACACATCACTGGTGGATGTGTGAAATAGTACAACTACTTTGAAAAATGGTTTGGAGGTTAGGCACAGTGGCTCATGGCTGTAATCCCAGCACTTTGGTAGGCCGAGGAGGGTAGATCACGAGGTTAGGAGTTGGAGACCAGCCTGGCCAACATGGTGAAAACAACGCCTCTACTAAAAACACAAAAATTACCCGGGCATGGTGGCACGTGCCTGTAATCCCAGCTATTCAGAAGACTGAGGCAGGAGAATTGCTTGAACCTGGGAGGCCGAGGTTGCAGTGAGTCGAGATCGCGCCATTGCACTCAAGTCTGGGAGGCAGAACAAGATTCTGTCTTGGAAAAAAAAGAAAAAAAGAAAAATGATTTGTAAATTTCTTATAAAGTTAAACAGACACTTACCATAAGACCCAGCAATTCTACTCCTACACATTTACCCAAGAGAAATGAAAACATATCTCCACACAAAGACTTATAAGAACGCACATAGAAGCTCTATTCCTAACAGTCAATACGTGCAAACAGCCCAGATGTCCATCAAGAGGTGAATGGATAAACAAAATGTGGTACCTCCATACAATGAAATACTAATCAGTAGTGAAAAAGAATAAACTATGGATATATGTAACAATATGATGACTCTGATAAACATGCTGAGTGAAAGAAGCCAGACTGTTAGGTTCTGTTTATATGAAATTCTTGAATAATCACCATTAATCTATAGTAACAAGCCAGATCAGGGGTTGCCTGGGATGAAATGTGGGGTATTTGAAGATGATGGAAATATTGTATACTTGATTAGAGCAGTGTTTATAGGGAGGATACATACTTGTCAAAACTCATTGAACTGTACACTTAAAATAAATGCATTTTGTTGTATGTAAATCACTACCTTTGAAAGATTGATTAAAAAAAAAAAAACTATTGACACCCAGACTCCACCTCAGACCAATTAAAATTAGAATCTCTAATGGAATCCAGACATTGGACCTATTTAAAAGAGCTTCCTGAGTAGTCTGATGTGTAGGAAGAGTTGAGAACTAGTGGCCTTAACTTTAAGAGAATATTGGGGAGAAAATAAAACAACAAAATAATTTTTTAAAGAGTGACTATGAAGGATCATGGATGATTTTTATTTTCTTCTTTAAGCTACTCTTTATTTTTGGATCTTTTTCCATCATGAATTATGTGCATAATTTTAAAAGACAGTGTTATTTTATTTATTTACCTATTCTACTCCTCTCATCCTCTCCAATTTTGCCCTCTCATTCATTTTGGTTCAGATAAGCCATTATCTGACATTCGTTCATCCAAAGCTGATTAACCATCCTTTTATGCAAAGGACTGTCTTAGGAATTGAAGGTGCAAAAAAGAACAAACAAATCTGCTCCAGGCAATCAAAGGCATAGGAGACAAAGATGTACACATTTATTTTTAAAAGAACCTCCAAATATTATAGTAGCACAAAGATGACAAGAGATAAGAATATGTTAATTTATTCTTGTGTGTTTCCAGAAAATGCGTGGAAATTTCTTTAAAAACTTAAAATGCACCTAACATAGGACCTTGCTGTTCAATTCCTGGGTCTTTGCCCAAAAGAAATAAAAGCATACATCTACACAAAGACTTACACACTAATGTTAGTAGCACCTTTGTTTGCAATAGCCCCAAACGTGAAATAGCCCAAATGACCATCAGTATAAGAACGGATACACAAATTGTGTAAAATCTTTATTATGAAATACTACTCAGCAATAAAAAGGAAGAAACTATTGATACATGCAACAACACAGACGAATCTAAAAATCATTATGAGAAATGAGAGAATTCACAGACTAAAGGGTATATACTGTATGATTCCATTTATATAAACTTCTAGAAAGCTTGAAGTAATTCATAGTGACAGAAAACAGATTATTAGTTGAGGGTGGGTTGGGGAATGAATTACAATGAGATGATGGGAATGTTTCTTATCTTCACTGTTGTGATGGTTTCACAGTTGTATACATATGTCAAAACTCAGCAAGGTGTACAATTTTAATATGTGCAGTTTATGTACAGTAATTATATTGCAATGAACCTGTTAAAATTAAAAGGAGGAAGGAAAAAATAGTGAAACCAACAAGGCTGTGAATGGGCCTGAATGAGACCCATGGCATCCAGTTGGTATCCTTGCTAACAACAAGGAACCATCTTGTGGGTCTGGACTAGGGAGAAGAATCTGGTGACTTCCTCAACTTTAGAGTCTGTTACTAATAGGAGAAGCAGCCAGTGGAGAGGAGGACACTTGGGATGGGGCTTTGAACCTTGGGTTCAAAGAAGAACTTGGGTTCTTCTTTGAACCTTGAGAAGAACCTGCATGGATGACAGACATATCAAGAAAACATGGGGCAGAGTCCCAGCACTTCCTTGTCTCACTGATTGTTTGGATTAAGCTAAAGTGATTTCAATCACTATTCAACAAACAAAAAGGTACCAAGACCTTTCAGTGGGGGAAAGAATTGTCTTTAATGATGCTGGGACAACTGAATATCCAAATGCAAAAGAAGAAAGTCGAGACCCTACTTCATACTATATAAAATGTTAACTCAAGATGAATCAATAACCTAAATATAAAAGCTAAAACTGTACCCCTTCGAAGAAAACACAGGTGTAAATCTTCTTCAAAGTGGATTCAGCAATAGATTATTACATATGACACCAAAAGCATGAAAAACAAAAATAGATAAATTATATTTTGTCAAAATTTTAAAATTTTATGCATCAAAGGAAGGACATTACCAAGAAAGTAAAAATCCAGCCTACAAAATGGGTGAAAATAATTGTGAATCATATTTTAATAAAGATCTAGTATTGAGAACATACATATAAACAACTTTTAACAACTCAACTACAAAAAACCTAACAATCCAATTTAAAAAGGAGCAAAGGACTGAATAGATATTTCTATAAAGAATATATACAAATGGCAAACAAACATGTTTTACAAATGTTCAATACCATTAGTCAGTAGGGAAATGCAAATAAAGGCCACAATAAAGTATCACTTCACAGCCTCTAGGATAGCTATACTTTTTTTAAATGGAAAATTAACAAGTGCTGGTGAGAAATCAGAACTTGTACATTGCTGGTTATAACGTAATATGGTTCAGCTGCTGTGGAAAACAGTTTGGCAATCTCTCAAATGATTAAACACACAATTACCATACGACCCTTAAGTTCATTGCTGTGTATACACCCCAGAGAATTAAAAATCGGAACTCAACAAAAAATAACAGATGCTAGTGAGGTTGCAGAGAAAAGGGAACCCTTATACACCATTGGTGGAGTGTAAATTCATTCAACCCTTATGAAAAGCGGTACGGCAATCCCTCAAACAGCTAAAAGCAGAACTGCCATTCGACCCAACAATCCAATTACTGGGAATATACCCAGAGGAATATAAATCATTCTGCCTTAAAGACAAATGCACACAAATGTTCATTGCAGCACTATTCACAATAGCAAAAACAAGGAATCAACCTAAATGCCCATCAATGACAAATTGGATAAAGCAAATGTGGTACGTATACACTATCAAATACTACGTAGCCATACAGAAAGAACAAGATCATGTCTTTTGCAGGAAGTGGATGGAGCTGGAGGCCATTATCCTCAGCAAACTAGTGCAGGAACAGAAAACCAAATACTGCATGTTCTCACTTATAAGTGGGAGCTAAATGATGAGAACTTGTGAATACAAAGAAGGAAACAACAGGCACTGAGGCGCACTTCAGGCAGGAGGGTGGGAGGAGAGAGAGGAGCAGAAAAGGTAACTGTTGGGTACTGGGTTTAATTCCTGGGTGATGAAATAATCTGTACAACAAACACTCCCATGACATGAGTTTATCTGTGTAACACGCCTTCACATGTACCCCCAAACCTAAAATAAAAGTATTAAAAAAGAAGAAAATAGGGACTCATAAATAAGTACATGTGCACACATGTTCATAGCAGCACTATTTACAATAATCAAAAGGTAGAAACAGCCCAAAAGTCCAGCAGGGGGAATGGATAAACATAATGTGGTATATTCACGGAACGGAATATTATTCAACCATGAAAAGGAATGAAGTATTGGATACCTGCTGCAATGTATGCTAAGTGAAGAAAACATGCTAAGTGAAAGCAGATAAAACATCACATACTGCATGATTCAATTTATACGAAATATCCAGAAAAGGTAAGAGTGCACCTAGGTGGTTTCCAGCGATTGCAGTTGCAGAGGGATGGGGGAAAACGGCTTAAAGGTATTTTTACTTCGGCATGATGAAAACATTTTAGAACTAAGATAGAGGTGCTGTTTGTAAGACATTATGAATCTACTTAGTGCTACTTTAAAATGGTTAATTTCATTATTTTAATTTCACCTCAACAAATTATTTTTTTAAAAGATTCTCCATATTCTAAACAAATCAGATCTGTTCTGTGTAAACCACTGCCTTCTAAGAAAAGGGCATGGAGTGAGATGGGATTGAAGTTTAAGTGACAGAGGAATTTAGGGTGGTAAACTGGGGGGCTCTGCAGTCAGACCCCTGACTCTGTAGCTAACTAGCTCTGTGACATTAGGTAAGATATTTTATAGTGTAAGTATTTGTGTTCCCATATATAAAAAATAAGAACAATATATAACTTCACTAGGGTGTTGTAAGGATTAAATGAGGGGAGTTACTTAATGCAATTTTGTACAGAGCCTGCTGACACATGGTAAATTTTAGCTCAACCTATTCTAACTGAATTTTTTTCTCCCTCCAATTTTAAGTTGTCCATTTCGCATTATAGTCCTAGTTATAGCTTTCATAAAGCCCAGTCAAAAATATTTCTGTCTCTTGGATTAATTAAGAGCAAGGCTGACTAGAAGCCCCTAGAGCTTGTCTCCATCACAGATGCCAGAAAGACTAAAAAAACACTACGTTTTAATGAGAGTAACTGAAGGAGAGTTCCAGAGAAACTCAGAGGAATAGCAGGAACCCTGATGAGCACAGAAACAGAACAGCCACAAAGAGAATGGAAGGAAATGCCAGGCCTTCACCACTCCATCCCCAAATTGAGATAAGCTAGGAACAAAGAGGAACTTCTTCATACAGTGAGGAGGTAAGCAAGAGAACACCAGCAACCCCGATCAACACCTTGGACATCCACAGACCTCACCATGGCAGAGGTGCCCTACGGTCCTCACAGGCACTACCTAAGCCCACCTGAAGGAGCTGTCTAGAGTTCACAAAGCTGTGCTCCCTTCAGAGAAGTAGCTAACACTATGTTCTCCTCTGTGGCCCACATGTCTACTGTGCTATACCATCTTGCAGCTAGACCTACGGCTGGAGTGTGTCGTGCTCAGGGTTCAAGTAGGCACAGGTCCCCTTCATCCCTGAGGCTAAACTGCCACCAAAACACCCCCAGCCTAGTGACTGAACATCCCCAAGGTGAGCTATAAGCATCTCTTACACACTTCTCCTGGGGCCAAGTGGAGGTGGAGCTGATCCACCTACTCTTCCCCTAACTCCTCAGGCCAGATCTGAAACAGTACCCTGCCTCCAAGAAAACAATACCTTAGTCACTTTGAGCAGTCATGCCTCCCTGTGCCTAAGTTTTAGCAGTGCCCTGTATCCCAGAAAATGGTCTCTGGGCCACCTGGGGAATCAGTGCCCTGGCCAAGCTGAGCTAAACTGCTGTAGTACCTTGCATCACAGAGAGGCAAAACCGTGGCTGAACTGAGACAGTCTGCCCTACAGGCCAAACAACTCTAGTATCCTAATTCCCTGGAGAGCTGGACTAGCCACCAAGAGCGGGAGCTGCTGAGACACCCCTCTCCCTGGAAAGTAAAATCATCACAGTGCTGTTTCCTGCCTAACAGGGCCCAAAGGACAGCTGTGCTCCACTATTCAGGGTACTTGCTACTGCTACACCTGGCCTCACAGAATCTGGAATACTGCTGACTCCACCATCACAAGGTCTAGAGTCACTACTACTGCCACTACAACAACTATTACTACTACAACTACAACAACTACAACAACTACTACTACTACTACAGCTACAACTACTACTACTACTACTACTACTACTACTACTACCACTACTACTACTACAATGGGACCCACATTGCCACTGATACCTATTGGCTTGGGTTCCTGAATTGCAGCACTACCCTGCTCCCTAGGCCCAAACATCCAGAGCACCCCTTCTTCTCCAGAGTTGGTCCAGTGCTGCTCCCTGGCCACTAGGGATAGAATCACAGCTACAACCCAAATCCCTGTAACCAAGCTGCTAGGGGGTACCTCAGAGTCACAGATCCTGGCTCTTTGGGCAACCTGCATTCAACCTCACCACAGAGAATAAACAGGCACCCCAAGACCCAAGTGCCACACATAGTTCATGAAACCTTGAGCCTAGGACCCTAGCACCATAGCCATTTGGAGCACCTAAACCTGGAACCCAGCACTGCTATAGCTACTTATAGGCCATGTCAGACCTGAATCCAGAAAGGATACTCTTGTCTAAATCTCCCCAGTGTGTGGAAAATGAGAATGAAGAAAACCCCCAAAGCCTTTGATATGGAGGTTATTAACAACTTATGCCATCATCACTACCACAAACTTGTATGGCCTAGGCAACTGAGGTACTCACAGCTACTGCTGATATTGAATGCAGCCAAAGAAGCTGAATGAGGCCATACCACTTCAACTATCTTGAAAAAGAGTCACTGCACCCTTCTCAACTGGCACACTAAAACTCAGATGCACGTGAAAGTCTTTCTCTACAAAAGCAAGAGAAAAGCATCAAGTCACATATAAGGGCATCTCCATTAGACTAGTAGTGGATTTCTCTGCAGAAGTCTTACAGGCCAGGAGAAAATGAGATGATATAATTCAACGTGCTAAAAAAAAAAAAAAAAAAAAAAGAAAGTTCAGTCAAGAATGCTATTCCCAGCAAAGCAATCCTTCATAAATGAGGGAGAAATAAAGTCTGCCTAAAGCAAGCAAAAACTGAGGGAGTCCATCAGTGCTAGACTGGCCTTACAAGAAATGGTTAAGGAAGTCCTACATCTGGAAGTAAAAAGATGATGATCACTATTACAGAGACATATACAAGTATAAAGATCACTGGTAGAGCAGATATACAACAAAAGGAATAATAATCAAATCGTATCACTATAGAAATGACCAAACTGCAACGATAAACAATAAGGCAGAAATAAATGAACAAAGGATATACAAAACAACAAGAAAATAATTAACAAAATGACAGGAGTAAGTCCTCACCTATCAGTAATACCTTGAATGTAAACAGATTAAATTCCTCACATAAAAGACTTAGGCTAGCAGAATGGATTGAAAAAAAAAAAAAAAAATTACCCAACTGGATGCTGCCTACAAGTAACTGACTTCACCTGTAAAGACACTTGTGTGATTACATAGACTGAAAGTGAAGGAACAGAAAAAGATATTCCATGTGAACCAAAACCAAAAGTGAATTAGAGTAGCTATACATATCAAATGAAACAGACTTCAAGTCAAAAACTGTAAAAAGAGACCAAAAAGGTCATTATGTAATGATAAAGGGTCCAATTGAGCCAGAGGATATAACAATTGTGAATATATATTCACCCAACATCAGAGCACCCAGATATATAAAAACCAAATATTATTAAATCTAAAGGGTGAGATAGACTTCAATATAGTAATAGTTGGGGACTTCCAACACTCACTCTCTGCATTAGACAGATATCTATATATATACATATATATATATATATATATATACAGAAACCAACAAAGAAACATTTAACAGGAAATGAATCTGAGACCAGACAGACCTAACAGACATTTCTAGAACATTTCATCCAATAGCTGCAGAATACACATGCTTTTCATCAGTAAATTCTGCACATGGACTGTTCTTGGGGACAGACCACATGTTCATCCACACAATTAAGTTTCAACAAATTTAAATGAACTGAAATCATGGTAAGTATCTTCTCTTAATCACAATGGAATAAAACTAGAAATCGATAACAAGAGTAACTTTTGAAATTACACAAATACATGGAAATTAAACAACATGCTCCTGAATGAGAAGTCAAATGAAAAAATTAAAACGATAATTTAAAAATTTCTGGAAACAAATGAAAACAGCAACATTTGAAAACCTATGCGATACAACAAAGCCATTTTAAGAGGAAAACTTACAGCAATAAATACCTGTATCCGAAAAGTGGAAATAAAATTAAAAACCTAACGATGCATATCAAGGAACTAGAAAAGTAAGAGCAAACCATGACCAAAATTAGTAGAAGAAAAACATAATGAAGATCAGAGCAGAAATAAAATGGGGACTATAAAAATACAGAAGATCAACAAAAGAAAAAGTTGGTTTTGTGAAAAGGTAAACAAAATTTGCAAACGGTTAGCTACACAAACCAAGAATAAAAGAGAAAAAGACTCAAATAAATAAAATCAGAAATGAAATAGGAGACTACCAGAGAAATATAAAGGATCATTACAGACTATTCTGAACAACTATACACCAAAAAATCAGAGAACCTAGCAGAAAGAAATAGACAAATTCCTGGACACATAAAACCTACCAAGATTGAACCAGTAAGAAATAGAAAACACGGGCCGGGCACGGTGGCTCACAGCTGTAATCCCAGCACTTTGAGAGGCAGAGGCGGGCGGATAATGAGGTCAGGAGATGGAGACCATCCTGGCTAACACGGTGAAACCCCATCTCTACTAAAAATACAAAAAAGTTAGCTGGGCATCATGACAGGTGCCCGTAGTCCCAGCTACTCAGGAGTCTGAGGCAGGAGACTGGCATGAACCCGGAAGGAGGAGTTTGCAGTGAGCCGAGATTGCACCACTGCACTCCAGCCTGGGTGACAGAGAGAGACTCCCTCTCAAAAAAAAAAAAAAAAAAAAAAAAAAAAAAAAAAGAAATAGAAAACCTGAACAGACCAATTATGAGTAAGAAGATTGAATCTGTAATAAACAGCCTCCCATCAAATAACTGAGGAACTGAGGGCTTCAATGCTGAATTACACCACAAATTTAAATAAATAATAGCAATTCTTCTCAAACCCTTCCAGAAAGTTGAAGAGAATTCTTCAAAGTTCATTATTTGAGGTCAGCATTACTCTGATACCAAATCCAGACAAGGACACAACAAAAAAAGAAAACTATAGACCAGTATCTCTGATTAACAGAAACGCAAAAAACCTCAACCAAATACTAAGAAACTGAAACCAACAGCACATTAAAAAGATCATTCCCCATGACCAAGTGGGATTTATCCCAGGGATGCAAGGGATTCATCCCAGTAGAGCAGATATACAAGGGAGAAAGGAAAAACAATCAAACTTTATCACTACAGGAAAATACTAAACTGCAATGATAAACAATAAGAAAGAAATCAACAAAGGTTATACAAACCAACCAGAAAATAATTAACAAAATGACAGGATGTTTCCACATATGCAAACCAACTTAAATATGATACATCGCATTGACAGAGTGAAGAACAAAAACCATGTGATCATCTCAATAGATGCAGAAAAAACATTTGATAAAATTCAACAGGGCTTCATGATAAAAACTCTCCACAAGTCAGACGTAAAAGGAATATATCTGAACACAATAAAGGCCATATATAATAAACCCACAACCAACATCATACTGAACAGGGAAAAATTCAAAGGATTTCCTCTAACATACGGAAGAGACAAAAATATCCACTTCACAACTTTTATTCAGCATAGTACCAGAAGTTCTAGCCACAGCAATTAGGCAAGGGAAAAAAAAGAGCATCCAGATTGGAAAGGAAGAAGTCAAATTGTCCCTGTTTGCAGATATAAAACCTTTAAAACTCCACCAAAAAACTTTCAGTAGTCATAAATGAATTCAGTAAATTTGTTTGCAGACACAAAACCCTTAAAACTCCACCAAAAAAACTTTCAGAAGTGATAAGTGAATTCAGTAAATTTGCAGTACACAAAATTAATATACAAAAACCACTAGACTTTCTGTGTACCAACAAGCAGCCAGCAGGAAAAAATAATCAAGAAAGCAATCCCGTTTATAATAGGTATAAAAAATAAAATAAAGTATCTAGGAATAAATTTAACCAATGAGATAAAAACCTCTACAAGGAAAACTATTAAAAAACTTACAAAATAAATTAAAGATTACACAAAAAAGTAGAAAGACACCCCAACCCCATGTTCACAGGTTGGAAGAATTAATATTGTTAAAATAACCAATTCTGCCAAAAGTGATCTACAGATTTCATGCAATCCCCGTGAAAATGCCAAATACTTCTTCATAGAAATTAGAAAAAAAAATCATAAAATTCTATGGAACCACAAAAGACTCCAAGTAGCGAAAGCAATACTGAGTCAAAAGAATAAAGCTGAAGGCATCACGCTAGCGAATTTCAAAATGTACTGCAAAACTGTAGGAGTAACAAAAACAGCATGGCATGTTGAAGAGATCTCTGCACTCTCACGTTTATTGCAGTACTGTTCACAATATCCAAGATTTGGAACCAGCCTAAGTATCCGTCAACAGATGAATGCATAAAGAAAATGTGGTACATCTACACAATGGAGTACTATTGAGCCGTTAAAAAGGATGAGGTCCGGTCATTTGCAGCAACACGGATGGAACCAAGGACATTATTTTAAGTGAAATAAACCAGGCACAGAAAGACAAATGTCTTTATTCTCACTCATATGTGGGAGCCAAAATAATTGATCTCATGGAGGTAAAGTGTAGAACAGTAGTTAACAGAGGCTATAGAGAGTGAGTGTTGGGGTTGGGGGACGGGAATTAAGGGAGGTTGTTTACTGGATACAAAAATACAGTTAGAAGGAATAAGTTCTAGTGTTTGACAGCACAGGAGGGTGACTATAGTTAACAATAATTTATTGTGTAGTTCCAAATAGGTAGAAAATGCTCCCCACACAAAGAAATGATAAATGTTTGAGGTGATGGATATCCCAGTTACCCTGTTTTGATCACCACACATTGCATGGAAGCATGAAATTGTCACAGATATCCCATAAATGTGTATAATTATTATGTATTAGTAAAAATATTTCTGTATTTTGATTTGGAGAGTCTGCTATCTATGAGATAGTATAAAAAGCAATGGCCCAGATGTCAAGTCTCAGTTTCTTATTTATCTGAATCCCAGGGTGTGTAAATTTAAGAAAATCACACCTAAAACCTAGACATGTCTAGCACTTCAAAGGAGTTGACGAAGACCAAACGAAATCATATATACGAAGTAGCTCTGAAAACCCTAAAATCCTATACAAATTTCAGGGAGTATGCATGTGATGAGAAGAATGGGATATGAAATCCTGCCTGCCACCTCCAGCATTTCATGAAGGAAAAACAGAAATTGTGCTTAGGGAATGCTGGCCTATGTACCATTATTTCACTCATTTGTTAGTGTTCTACTCATTCAAGGCCCTCTCAGAAAAAAGGGAACTATTCTAGAAAATATCCTGAAGAGCCTAGCATAATGAGCTGTTTCCTACTACCAAAGAAGATACGCAAAAGACTACATTTCAGGACACAGTCATTCACCAAACCATGGCTGCTCTATACACAGACCACGTGGGAAGTTCTAGTTACTGAAATGTAAAGGCTGCAGAAAACTTAGGTGGGTTTGAGTGGGATGCAGGTGGGTAGATCTGTGGATGGGAAGCTAACCACATTGATGTGTTGCCCCAAATAATCTCATAGTAACACTATAAAGTAGATACTAGTATTGTTGTTTTACAGAGGAGGAAACCAAGACTCAGTGAGAAGCTCGTCCAAGCTTACTCAGGAAGTATTTGGGGCTGGGATTTAAAGTTCACTCTTTTTTATGACATTCTAGTACCTAAGTGATCAGAGGCATTTAACAATGTTCGTAGGAGCATAGTTTGTAACAGCAATCAACGAATCAACACAATTTACATTTAAAATTTTAAAACAAAAAATAAAAGTCAATTGTCCCCCAGCAAGGGAAATAACAAACCGTAAAATATTCAACTGATACAACTAAAAAGCAGTGAAAATAAATAGAATCTCCCAGTCAACACGGATGAGTCTAACAATGTGCCAAAAAAAAAAAAAAAAAAATAGTTTCAGTATATGTTCTCTTAAAGTTCAAAATATTGTGAAAAGAAACATTTTATTCAGCAGATGATTAAACCAAAATTCAATTTAGGTGGTTTCTTCTTCTTGGGGAGGAAGAGGGTGTGATCAGGGAGGGCATATTTTTTAATTAATGAAATGTTCTATTTCTCAAGCCAACTTGGGTATTTATTATTCTTTAAATAAATATTTTTATACTTTTGAGTGAACTAAATGTGAAATTTTAAAACACAGACATATACAAAAAGAATATGGATATCAAATGCCTAAGGCTGTCTCTGGAACTTGATCTCAACATATTTTTTTGATATTGATCTGTTATTATCATTCTTGCTTAAAGGTGTTAAGAGGTATTAGTTAATTCCACAGCAGGAAAAGGAGCAATGACAGGCCATACTTTTCTAAAAACCATGGGTAATACTATTTGTAAAGTGTGTCAAGTGAGTCAAAGGCATAGTTCTTCACTCCAGGAGGCAAACACAGTGTCTCTGTCCCCAGGATATCCACTCTGCCCTTTCCCACTCGAGCCTAGTCCCTCACCCTTGGCTTGCCTGCTCTTGGCCTTGGAATCCAGCTTTGCCTCTGTAGTCACTCCCTCCTGTCACTGATTTCTGGCCACAAGTCTTGGTTTTCAAACTTTCTATTCAATCTATTTCAGCCCATTCATGAGTCACTCTTGCCTGTGGACAGCTGGCATTCCCAGGCACGGGCTTGGCAGGGAAAGATGAATTCGGTGAATTAAGCCAACGGAATCCTTTATGAAAGTCATAGTTGACCTGACAGGGCTGTTTCTATCCTAAATCCAGGGGTAGCTTGAGATGATCTAATGAGAGCTCCCCAACTGAGGCCATATTTCTCAAAGTATGTTACAGTGGTCAGAATCACCTGGGGCACATGTTAAAAATGCAGATTACTGGGCCCATCCAGAGCATTAGAATAAGAGCATCTGAGAATGGGGCCCAGGATTTGGCTTCTGAAAAACACCCCTTATGATAGCTCTGATGCTCTTTGACTTCCCTGTAAAATTGGTATCTTGAGGAAACGTGCCCTATCGAATACTGCGCTGATCTAAACATGGACACAACTTTGGATGGTGAGCATATCGGTTTGTCAAAGACCCATCACCAACCAAAATGATGAGCAACAACCAAGTCATGTTCAGGAAAAAAAAAAAAAAAAAAAGTGCAGGTCACGCTTTCCTCAATATAGTGGGTTTACTGCTTAAACACTGTTCAGATTTTACTCACAGTGAAGCTGCTCCAACACCAGGTAGGGGATCAGCATAGGTAAAAACAAGGAGAAAAATGTCCTCTGCCTTTTAAATTACCTCTCTCCATTCTTATGGGCCTAGTCAGATTTATGGAGGGTGTGAAGGAGGCGGGAAGAGTCCTATCAAAATTTTTAAACAAATGTACAAGGGCAGAGGGGACACGTCCACTTAAACAGCTGGCCTGGCTGTATCATTATCAACTGCCTTTCTTCTGGAGTTTCATCTAAGATTGAGCCAGAATGGAGTGTGTCTCTATCCATGTTATTTTGGGCAAAGACAATAGATGTGATTAGAACCTTAGTGTATTTTTGTTATTCTATAAAAAGATCTGATTGAGGGTTATGAAACCTCCAATTTTCCAAAGTGCTTAAAATGTTACTATTGCTTCAAATTTATAAGGAGTGTTCATGACCTGAATATCCCAGTCATGCAAGTATTTGTTCTATTGTTAAAGACCTAGTGAACCGGTATCTTGAAGTTTCATGTGGAAAAGACCTAGTGAACCGGCATCTTGAAGTTTCATGTGGAATTCCTGGCATGCAGCATTAATGAAGGTGCACGTAAGATACAAAGCCTTGTCTTGGGAAAACGAACTACAGACTTAACTAGAGAACTGTTTCAGACCAGTTAAAAACGTAAAATACAGCGACCATAGAGTTTAATTGTACAGTGGTAGAGTGGTAGTTTCAACTTCTGTACCAAGAGACAATTTTTTTTTTTTTTTTTTTTTTGCGTTTACTTAGGATTGGCCCACAGCTACATCCATACTGGACAGATGTTTTTAACTCTAAATGCAATGTTGAATTGTCTATTATTTCTTTGCTATGCAGATTATCTTGCATGAGCATTCAAAAACATGTTTATAGTTTGAACTTCTTATGTCTATTGTTTTCTACTACAAAATGTACTGTCTACAGATGGAAAGTTCTGTCTTTGGTGAGTGGCAAGGAATTGCTCACAACAATCAGTTACATACAGAGACATACTACACATGTTGGGAAGGGATAGATTACACTTATCAAAATATGTACAGGAGCAATCCTTATCTAGGGATTCCAAATGATCATACTCAATAGCTGGCCCATTCACAAGACTTGGTCAATGTAAAATACTGCTACTTTTTTCTCCCTTATGTTTCCCCACTTTCTCTATTGGCATCTTTGTGAAAGCAAGGTGGCACGCTGCCTTATCGTTGCTGCTCCTCATTACCCTCAACTGACAGCAAGGAAAGCAGGCAAGGCGATTAAGCAATGTGGCAGCCCATTTTTATCAGTTTACCTTTAAAAAAAAGCCAAGAAAAATTTAGTGAAGAGGGGGCTAGAGGTGCTTTATAACGAGAGGGAAATGCTGTGGAGTATTTATTTTTAAGAGTCAATGACTTCCTTGCCAGACAGGTACTACCAATTCTGAAGTTATTTTGAATTAAAGGTAATCTGATTTTAGAAAAAGAAAAAAACCAACATGCAGAATACACTTAAGGAGGTGACCAACCTTTTTAGAGCTGCTTGATTTCACCATAACTTGAACTTTTTACAAAAAAGTGCTTAACTGTTATTTTTCAATTCCAAAGATTTTTGTGGTAATAATTTAATAGGAAACTAGAAACAAGCTGGTGTAAAGCAACTATCTTAAACCATATGTAGTCTAGTTTTGGGGTCTGAAAATACTGAAAACCTACTAGCTTGATCAGCTAGAACCAAATATTCTGGATAATCGTTAGTATGTACATAACCATAAATATATGCATATATAGACACATATGTACACATATATACACATAGGCACATAAAAGAATTACTAATTTTTTGCCTATTATTGGACACTAAACATCACAATTTAATCTTTGGTGATGCAGAAAGCACTGTTTGCTATCCTGCGTATCCTTGGAGTCAACTTTCTGGTTATGAATCAGCAAGCTTACTAACTAATAGAGTGTCTGAGGAGTTTCCTCTCCACTGGACTCAGCTTATAGAACTGAGTACTAACACTAAAGCTAGAAGAAGCGGTACTGATTTTTTTTTTTATGGTATCCACAGGAAGTACCTGCAATATAAAAAAATTAAGCTCCCTTAGGCAACTGCAATACCCCGAAATAAATGATCTAGAGACTAGGCCCAAAGTGTACAGTAGACAAAATGCTTCATAGGGTCCAAAATGTGAGGGACCTTAGCCGTGAGATAGCAGAGTCGGATGTGTTCATCAGCATTCCTAGTCTGCACTGCTGTTGATGCACCTCTTAAACTTATCTTTGTACCTACATTTGCTTTTATGGGCTAACTCAGACAGATTAGTATACTGAACTTTATACTTCTGCATTTTAAGAATCTAAAGCTTGTTATACGAATTTAAACCTTGTTACACAGTTCCCACGCAACTCCCCACCATTTTACATTATTACATCGGAAAGCCAAAAACACATTTGAAGAAAAAAAGTTTATTTTTATTCATTTATGCAAAGACAGTATCAGCAATAGGTAGTAGGAACATTTTTCTCAGTTTAGAATTAATTTTCCATTTTGAAAGGGACTTAATATCTTCTTTACCTTACTCTATTAAATACTTCAACAAAGACAAAAATTTATTCCTTTACTTTTCCTTAAGGTCATATCGGAATAATTAGAATTAACTCTTTAGAATGTAGGTATCATTTACAGAAATCTGGAGATTTAATCACAGAATGATGTATGTCGGAATGTTAAAAGCACTAAAAAAACTATGGATAATTTTTTAATGGACAAAGTCATGGTGCTTTCAATTTCTGAGGTGTAATAAAGCCTTCTTGGGAATTCTAAAGTTTAAAGACTGTATCCTTCGGATTCCGAATGAAAATTTTGAGAAATCATAGACCCCAGTGGGCATTAGTAATATGGCCCATAGTAACGACATTAACTTAGAGTCTCCACGTTTTAGGGAAGAAGCCATTGAAAGAAGGGCCAGAAAGCCACTTTAAACACATGTCCATGGCAGATCAAATGATACTGATACAAATGTTTCCCTTAGAAAGGTATTATATCCCATTGCTACCATTCCACGGCTTGGCCTTTGAACTGCTCATACAGCTACTTCCATTCTTTACATCACCAGTTCTAAGAGCAAACCTCCTGAAAGACTAGTAAAAGAGGCTGGGAAAACAAGACTGTGAGTATAGCAAAAGGGCTCTGGTGCTCTAGCTGTGTGGTCACAATATAAAATGAGGACACTACCTAATCTAGAAACAACATGCCTCTTCTGGACATATTTTATTTTACAGAAGGAAATATAACAGGCTAAAAAACAAAAATAAAAATCTATTTATAGCAAGTAACTAATACTTCAATGTTTTTATAAAAACAATTCCTTTCAGATACTCCGATTAACCTTTGAGTGACATAAAAAAGCTGCAGCGTTCTTTAATACCAGTATTTTGCAAATTTCACATACAGCCATTAAGTTTAGCATTTCAAGGAACAATTTTTTTTATAAAAAAGAATGGTAACTCATTGAGAAGGTTATATACCCAGTAAAGTTTAGTTTGTCTTGGATTCTTTAAAAAATTAGGCCCAGAATTTTAGTTATCCTAACTACTATCCCAATCAAATTGGACATACATATGTGGATTCTAGATAAAAGATAAAATACTTTGAATAAACATTATGACTCACTGATTGGACTGTTTGCTTAGAATCTGTTTTACTGGGTTTGGATAAGACTTCAATAAAGCTAACTATACATTGAGTTCCACTGATTAAAAATGCAGTTTTAAAAATTCTGCTTTTGAGGTAAATTTCTAGATAAATCATAAATGCAAAGCTCAATACTGAAATATTGTACTGTTCACAGGTACTTCTTGGAGAAGTGAAATGCTTGTGTTCAGACTATCAAAATTGTTAGCTTTCAAATCAGGTTTTAAAAACTTTTTTGAAAGTCAGTATTTGCTTTTAAACACTTAAAATGCAAGTTTCAATTTTTTAAAAATCCTTGCAGATAAATCTTAACATTCTTTCAGTCTCGATTATTTGTTACTTTAAACTATATATTAAACACAGAACCAGGTTCTAAATAAACATCTAATGAAGAACAGTTTCAGTGTTAAGATAAAACTAGAGAGTCTAATAATACAAGTTATACAGAAAGTTTCAGTGTGATTTACCAAAATTCAGAATTTCTGTAATAGTGGAAAACTTTTAGCTTAATATTCAAAACCAGCAACTTCCCATGAAACTAGATAGCTGAGAGGATCCAACAGATTTAAATACTGCCAAACTTCTTCTAAAGCGATGCACTCTTTTACCCTGGAAAAGACAGAAATAGTCCTTTTATTTTACTGAAAATTTCTGATGACTACTATGGATCTGAAAGTTGTCAAAACTTAAACCATTTGTTTTGGGTTTAAACATTATAAATAATGAGAAAAAAAGATGATTCTTTTCAGGAAGCATATTTGAACACTGGGATAACAAATGTACCAAGATGGCTAGTTTTATTAAACAGTTAAAAAAAGAAATCAATAATTAAATAAAACAAATTCCAGTAAACTGAGAAATAAAAGGACTTAAACTCAGTATCATTTTATGTACTTCTTAGTTAATAATTTTGCAGTAATGTCCCAAAGACAGCTGGTAGAAAATGTAATTGTAAAGAATACTTTTTTCACTAATTGAACTGCATTTAATACCAACTACAGCTTGCGAACTGCTCTCCAATCTGAAATTTCGTGTTTTTAGATTAAAATATGTAAGTTTTGGCATTTGAAGAACATATCATTAACCTGTGAAGACATATCATTCTTTAGAAAGGAAGATAAAACTTTAAAATACATGCAAAACTTTCTTTTCACTCTATGTTGCCTGCAGACGTGCAGAGAGAAGTGAGAGGTCTTACAAGGAGGAATGGGAATGAGTGAACGAGTAATAACATTTCCTTTTCTACAAAGCTGTGCCCTTTTTTTAAGACTTCAGTTTCATTTTCATATAAATAAAAGTGGCTTCTGGAAGTTACCTCATCTGTCAAAAGAGTGATAATCAATTTAGGTTAAAATCTAGAAAACTGGTCACCAACATGTATATTCAGAGGTCATGTAGGAAACAAGATTGTGAAAGGGCTAGATAACTAAGACAATGAAGAGAAATCGGCTATGGAAATTGTAAATACATTCAAAAATATCTCAGGCATTCTAATTCAATATAACAACGTGCAGTCAATTAAAATAGGTCTAAATGTCAGACAACTGCAGGATGCCAACTTCTGATTCCTCTCCCAAATAAGCAGAAAACTCTGGAAGTTTCAAAGCGAGTCTTTTGTCTACCACCAGGTGAGAACTCAAGTTTAAAAAAATATTTTCTGGGCTGGACATGGTGGCATACGCCTGTAATCCCAGCACTTTGGGAGGCTGAGGCAGGAGGATCACTTGAGCCCAGGAGTTCAAGACGAGCCAGGGCAATATAGTAAGATTCTCTCTTAAAAAAAAATCTTTTGGCTGGGCACGGTGGCTCACACCTGTAATCCCAGCAATTTGGGAGGCCGAGGCGGGCAGATCACAAGGTCAGGAGATCGAGACCATCCTGGCTAACACGATGAAACCCCATCTCTACTAAAAACACAAAAAATTAGCTGGGCGTGGTGGCAGGCACCTGTAGTCCCAGCCACTCGGGAGGCTGAGGCAGGAGAATGGCATGAACCTGGGAGGCAGAACTTGCAGTGAGCCAAGATCGCACCACTGCACTCCAACCTGGGTGACACAGTGGGACTCTGTCTCAAAAAAAAAAAAAAAAATTTCTTTTTAACTAGCTAAGTGTGGTGGTGCACGTCTGTCGTCCTATTTGGGACGCTGAGGCAGAAGGATCCCTTGAGTGCAGGAGTTTGAGGTTGTAGTAAGCTGTGATTGCGACACTGCACTCCAGCCTGGATGACCAAATGAGGTCACCTCAAAAAAAAAAAAAAGAAAGAAAGAAAGAAACACAAAAAACTATCTTCTGCTTTGAAAATCACTTAAGTACTACTGTAGACACCAATGTAATCAGAATTTTCGGCAAGATAAGCTGATGTACAATTCCAGTTCTTTCTTTTCTAAATTGTACTATCTATATAGAACGAAGCAACAAGAGAACAAATGTCAAATTTAAATATATTTACTCCATGTTGCAAAGATGTTAAGAACTTAATTCTGCTATCTGGCTCTACTCTTCTACATTATACAGAAGATTCATAATATAACCCTTTAAAAAGGCTTAGGCTTCATCCCATATCCATTCACAGACAAAAATAAGCTAGTTCTGTTGTAAGACACAAAGTGATGGTTAAACATTTTCTTTTGAATGTAAAGTGTGTAGCCAGTTTTGACAAATCTGGCAGTTCCACTAAAGGTTAAATATGACTTAGCAATTCCATTCCCAAGTATATACGCAAGAGAGGTAAGCACGTATGTCCCCACAGTAACTTGTACATGAATGTTCACAGCATTAGTTATAACAGCTAAAAAGTGGAAATAATCCAAATGTCTTTAACAGATGAATGCATAAACAGAATAAGGTAATATCTACAAATAAAAAGAAATGATTAAGTTCTGATACGTGCTAGAATATTGATGAACCTTACAAACATTATGCTGAGTGAAAAAATCCAGTCACAAAATGCCACATCATTATGTATGATTCCATATACAAGAAATCTCCAGGACAGGAAAATCCTTAGAGGAAAAAAGTAAATTAGTGTTTGCCTAGGGATACACACAAGTTCCAGGAAAATAGCAGGTGACTGCTAAGGTACGGGGGTGATTTTTGAGGTGATTTAAGTATTCTAAAATTGATTGTGGACATGGTTGCACAACTTTGAATATATGAAAAAACAGTGAAGTGCACATTTTAAATACATAAATTGTATTACTGGTATTATTTTAATAAAATTGTTATTTAAAAAACACCTTCCCTTTATTAACCATAATATTTTTCTCCCACCGGACTGACCAAGTTAGTTCTTTTTCGTATTTATAGACTTAGAACCACAGGGACCCAGAAACCTTTAGTCCTGTACCTTCTCATTTTAGACTTGTAAGAATTAGAGCCTTAATAAAAGATTTATCTATCCAACATGGATAGAAAGTGGGATCAGAAGTCAGATCTTTCTGGAATTCAACTAGCCACATTCTCTTCCGCTTCACCAACTCTGAATCAACCTCTCTTTCTACTCAACTTTTTACTGCTTCATTTTACCCCTTTTCTCCCTTCACACTGTTCAGGTGTATCATCTGAGTAAATCATTTCTTTTCTTCTCTTTAGTCCAATATGCATGTATTAAGTTCTACTTTTTTTTTTTTTTTTTTTTTTTTTTTTTTTTTTTTTGAGACAAGGTCTCTCACTCTGTTGCCCAGGCTGGACTACAACGGCACAATCATGGCTCAGTGCAGCCTCAACTTCCCAGGCTCAAGCGATCCTCCTGCCTCAGACTCCTCTGGAGTAGTTGGCACTACAGGCATGTACCATCACAACTGGCTGATTTTTGTATTTTTTTGTAGAGATGGTGTTTTGCCTTGTTACCCAGGGTGGCCTCGAACTCCTGAGCTCAAGCAATCCACCCACCTCAGCCCCCCAAAGTGTTGGGATTACAGGCGTGAGCCTCTGCACCCAGCCAAGATCTCCTTTCTGTATCTAAAATTTTATTTTACTATTTGGTCAAGGTAGTCAACTAACTCTCTTCTCTAGTAAACCCTTTCAATTACAAATTTCTGCTGCAGGATTCTTCCCTAAATTTGACTACATTATATCAAGGCTCGGCAGCAGAAAATATACTGCCAGGTAAAACCCACACTGGTTTACTGGGTTACAGTCAAATGCCAACAGTTCAATTAAATGTTCTAGGCCGGGCACGGTGGCTCATGCCTGTAATCCCAGCACTTTGGGAGGCTGAGGCAGGTGGATCACGAGGTCAGGAGATCGAGACCATCCTGGCTAACACGGTGAAACCCCGTCTCTACTAAAAATACAAAAAATTAGCTGGGCGTGGTGGTGGGCGCCTGTAGTCCCAGCTACTCGGAAGGCTGAGGCAGGAGAATGGCGTTAAGTAAACCTGGGAGGTGGAGCTTGCAGTGAGCCTAGATGGGGCCACTCACTGCACTCCAGCCTGGGCGACAGAGGAGACTCCGTCTCAAAACAAAAAAAAAAGAAAAAAAATTCCTCTAAGAAAGCCCAAAATACATGTGCCACAAGGAAAACAGCTAACTTGAGAGGGAACAAGTGTGCTTTTTAATTATGCATGCCATTCCTTTCATACCTTGAAGCAGTCATCTTGAGTAACAACGGAATTTATCAGTCTCTTCTCTGGATTAAACAGACAAGATACCACCATTTGTATGCTTCGGTCCACAGATTTCTGAAACACAGAAGTTTTCAGTAATGTAAAGACAACTCTTTCTTTCACTCACTCTTAATAAGGGTGTGTTTTGGTTTTTCTTTTGATGGTTTAATGAACATATCAGTTTATTTCCAAAGAAATGCAAAAATGCTAAAAGAGGCTGGGAGCAGTGGCTCACACCTCTAATCCCAGCACTTTGGGAGGCCGAGGAGGACGCATCACCTGATATCAGGAGTTCAAGACTATCCTGGCCAACATGGCGAAACCCCTTCTCCACTAAAAAATACAAAAATTAGCTGGGTGACGGGTGCCTGTAATTCCACCTATTGGGGAGGCTGAGGCAGGGAGAATTACTGGAACCTAGGAGACAGAAGTTGCAGTGAGCCGAGATCACACCACTGCACTTCCAGCCTGGGCGACACCGCAAGACCCTGTCTCAAAAAAAAAAGAAATTCATAAAAATGTGATTCATAATTCCTGCCACATATCCTCAGTATGTACGTTTTCTGACAAATCGAAGAATTATTTTAGAACCTTAGCGATAGAATACTGGTTTAAAAAGCTGAATTTGTTAAATCCCTAAGTGAATTCCAATGTTTCAAGAAAACATACTCAGAACAAAACCAGACAATTATACTGTAAGAGTTATGTTTTCATATTTATTCACATTTTAAAATCCAATATCAAATCAAGGAATTTACACTGCAATGGGACTTCTTGGGTATTATACATATTACCAGCACATCAACTACTTCCACACGCCCACCTATCTAACAGAACATATGTGACGCCAGGAGTGACAGTACTGTTATTACAGAAATTTGCACTAATGATAAAAAAAAGAAACAACCCTGTCTATTTCAGTGTTTGAATAATTACTACTGACTTCACCACTGTTGGAAACTTCTGCCACATATAATGTTATGGAGAGAATGCTTATTTAAATGGTATTTTTCACTGCTTAAGATCAAAACTGTTGTAAAAGAAAAGGGACATACAATTCGTACTAATTCTTCTTTTGAGTAGAATTCTAGAGGAAACCCTCCCATAGCATTCTGCCAAATCATATTAATACAGTATTTATTAAAGAATGGCTTTTTAAAATTAGTGAAACTGAAATACAGGAAAGGACTTGCTGAATCAGAAACTTTAGGTATATACTGAAAATTTGGGGTATCTGAAATTTCAACAACCTTTACATTAACTGCTGACTATCAGTCCATTATTTAAGCTCCATGATTTATGGCTAACATTTTTAAATTTGGGCAAAAATGTTTGCTTCTCAAAAAAAGTCATTCAAATTAGAAAAAAATATGAAATATATATTGTAAAAAAAATTCAAAATTAGATGTTTGCCTTTTGTGGGCCATTTCCAGAGGGTGGGGTAGCTTCATGAATTGAGCATTCATTTAGCACAACATCACCTCCTGTATCAACTTCACTACAGTGACAGTTAAGAGCTGAATAAGCCTATATTTAAAATAATGAAAGTGTAATTAAACAGATAATACAGATACGTTTAAAAGCTACTTATTTATTCCTCAAAAAGGTGAGCTGGTATCAAAAGTTTCAATGTAGGTTGTGTTGAAATTCAATTGTGTTACTTCAGAAACCTTGTTTTAAACGAAAAGTTGAAATGCATTAAGGCAGCCTTTTGTTTTAAAACGTCTTCCAGGTATCAACATAATCAGAGGTAGAAGGATTCTAAGAAACAAATGTAGTTAAGGGAGTGTTTGAGAATTTTAACACTTACTATATCCTTCAAATATCCAATCGTGATGTAAGACAGCAGCTCTGTTGTATTAGAGGTAATACTCTTGTTTTATTCCTATTCCTCTTTAAGAGTAATTAATAGCAAAACATTTCGGTTTCTCCTCAACAAATGTTTTATGGCTAGTAAAGCCAGAGGCATATTCTAGGCAGATACATGCTAATTCTAAAGCCAGTTAATACCGCCATTCCTGGATTATATAATCTATCAACAAGTAACTGAACACTTATCATTATGTGGACCAGCCACTGTTTCAGCACACAAAAATGTGAGAGACAAAAAGGCACTGTTGCTCCCATGGGAGTTTATAATTGGGTTAAAAATAAAGTAACAAAACATAAAACATTAATATAAAGAACCATTTAAAAATATCTACAGGCATATATGGCATAGAAAAAAGTCAAGAAAGATGAGGAAGTATACGTTTCACTAATTCACTTTACTCCATAACCCCTTTTGCTCCCCAACAGGCCACTGCGGTAGCACCTTAAAAAAATAAAAAGAAGGAAACCAAAACTATTAAAATATTCCTACACATTTTCAAAAACTCATGAGATACACAATATTGAAGCACTTATCATGCTGGCTCATTTGTTATTAAAGTGAAAGAAACAGAGTAAAAAAAAAAAAAGAAGTACTTTATGTTTCTAATCCCTGATGTTCTTGTTACTTTTATACATAAAACCTCGCCATTTTCCCAATTTTCTGGAGTTGGCATTGTGGAAATCTCAAGGATACTAGTTTTTTCAATTTATTACTTATCACCATAGATATGATTATGGGTCACAGATGTAGTCATATCTATGAAAAGAGGCCCAGAGAACTACTATCATGAAGCAGCAAGCTTAAAATAAAAATATAATTGGAATTCTGTGCTCTAAGAATGGGATGATAAAAAGATGAAAAAGATGAAAAAATACACGCTGAAATATAGAAGGGGACAACGAATCTCAGAAAACTGTTTTACAGAAAAGTTATTGCTAAGTATATCCCTGTCAAAATGTTAATTCATTACTTCTAAATAATACAGAGGGCTTCATTCTAGACCATTGCAAGTGTTTTCCTAAATTTTAGGTACATTTCACTAGTTTAAAATGACACACTATTTGGGAAATTCATATAAACAAGTTAAAGGCTTCAATAATATCTGAAAACAAATCATTTTACTCCCTCTTCAATTACCTGATAATTACATACAGGCAACTGACACCCAGTGGTGACCTGACCTGGTGAATTTGGATAAGTAGGATATGTCTGAAAGTAAGTTTACAGAAAGAATGAATATGGTAAAACATCTTTTTAAATTAGAAAAAAATATTATTCCCAAAATAAAAAAAATGAAAAACTTTAAAATATTTATTAATTTTCTATATAAAACAATGCAGAATTCTAAATGAATGAATGACTTCAGGAAGAAATAAATATTCTCTGTCAAGTGCTAAGCCCCTTTGGGTGGGGCGGGGGAACACACAAATGACAAAGTAGTGACTATTTCACCAGGCAAAGTTCACCTTACTGACACTGTGTACTTATGCCCACCCAGAAGTTGTTTCTTACACTGCTGGTAAGGCTCCATTAAGACAGATCTCAATGTAAGTTAAGTTAATACATTTGCTATTTCTTTGTCAATATACTTCCAGATAGTTTTGTGTTTGACAATATTACAGGGTAATATGTAGTTCTCCTACAGATGTTATGTTTTTTTTCTGTACTTCATTTCGAAAAACTAAGGGCAGTGTACAATCCAAAACTGGAGAAGGACAGTACGATGTCTTATATGTTTCGATAAATACTTATTGTTTGAAAACATATAGGAAGCAGCATACATGAATACACCCAAATTCAGTAATGGCTCACCGTAAATGTTAGAAACAAGTAGGGCTTTGTCTCTAGCCATTGTTCAGAGAAGAAAAAAGAAGAAGAGGTATATCCTACACATTTCAAGTACACAGAAAATGTCAATAAATGAGAGACACTGAAGAACTATTTCACTACTATTTTGTTACTTTATTTTCCATCAAAGAAAATGTCTTTTAAACTAACACATAAATAAAATGGACTAAGAAGAAAACAGACGTTATTTATCACCAATAAGTGATAGAGTATGTCAAATCCTACTTTAAATATCAAAGTAATCAGGATCAGAGAAATTACATGCCAGAAATTCACAGGATTTATAGGTACAGTAAAATAGGTCAGAAATCTATACATTCCAGACCGAGAATATATCCCGAAGTCAGCAGTTTATATGAGGAGTCAACTGGAAATCATTGCAAGTAAAGAAGAGCTAGATTAATCGCTATCCTTAAAGAATAAACTAGGCAGAAACATTAGAACAGCTGCTTTCAAATGTTTTCAGAACTAGGTATAATGGGGGAAAGAAGTTCAGGTATTTTAGAGGTAATACTCTTTTTTTATTCCTATTCTTATTTAAGAGTAATTAACAGCAAAACATTTCTGTTTCTCTTCAACAAATTTTTTGTGGCTGGTAAAACCAGAGGCAGACCCTACGCAGATACATGCTAATTCTAAAGTGACATTAATACTATCTTTCTTAGATTACACAGTCTATCAACAAGTAACTGAACACTTATTATGTGGACCAGCCACTCCTTAAGCACACAAAAACCTGAGAGAGAAAAAGGCACTGTTGCACCCATGGGAGATTGTAACTGGGTTAAAAAGAAAGTAACAAAATGTAACACATTAATATAAAGAATCATTTAAAATATTTATAAGGCATAAATGATATGGAAAATAATCCAGAAAGAACAGAAGTACATGGTAGGCTAATTCACTTTACCAGAGGTACAACCTACCTCCTTTGCTCCCCAACAGGGCACTGCGGTGGCATCTTAAAAAAAAAATAGGAAAACAAAATTATTCAAATATTCATAAACATTTTCAAAAACAAATGATATATAAAATATTGAAGTACCTATGCTGGCTCCTTTGTTATTATAATAAAAGAAAGACAATGGAAAAAAAGAAGTACTTTATGGTTCTAATTCCTGACATTCTTGTTGTTACTTCCACATACAAATACGAAACCACACCTTTTCCCCAATTTTTGGATTTGGCATTGTGGAAATCTCAAAGATGTTACTACTTTGAACTTATTATGCTACATATGATTATTGGTCATAGATAGAGTCCTCTCTACTATGAAAAGAGAACCAGACAACAATTGTCGGGAAACAGCCTACTAAATGAAACTATAATTTGAATTATGTGCTCTAAGAATTGGGTAATAATTTTATTTACTCTATATCCCTAAAAAATTCATGAAAGTCATTCTGGAGGTTTCATTCAGCTATTTGACAGCAAAGATGAAAACTATATCCTGAAATATAGAAGGGTCAAATCTCAGAAAACTGTTCTACAGAAAAGTTATTGCCAAGTACATTCCTGTCAAAATATTACTTCATTACTTCTAAATCAGACAGAGGTCTTCATTCTACACTAATTCTAAGTGTTTCCTTAAATATTAGGTACACTTCACTAGTTTAAAATGACCAACTATTCAGGAAATTTGTATAAACAAGTTAAAGGCCTCAATAATACCTGAAAGCAAATCATTTCATTCCTTCTTACATTACCTGGTAATTGTATACATGGAACTGATATCCAGTGGTGACCTGAACTGCTGAATTTGGATAAGCAGGAAATGCCTGAAAAGAAAGGTGGCAGAAAAAAAAGAATATGGTAAACCATTTTTTAAAATTAGAAAGAAATATCATTCCCAATGTAACAAAAATATTAAAAACGTTAAAATATCATTTTTCTACATACAACAATGCAGAATTCTAAATGAATGACTGACTTTATGAAGAAAGAAATAGTCTATGTCATGTGCCACACTTTGGGTGTGAAGGGGGAACAAATGACAAAAGAATTGACTATTTCACCAAAGTTTACCTTATACTGTGTACTTATTCACACCCAGAAATTCTTTCTTACACCGGTGATAAGGCTCCATTAAGACAGATTGCAATGTAAGTTAAATTTATACATTTGCTATTTCAATGTCAGAATATTTCTAGACTGTTTTGTATCAGACAATATTAAAGGGTAATATGTAGTTCTATAGATATTAGTGCTATGTTTGTACTTCATTCCAAAAAACTAAGTGCAGTCTATAATCCAATACTGGAGAAGAGAAAGTATAATGTCTTATATGTTTCAATGAATTCTTATTGTTTGAAAACATACAGGTAGCAGCATACATGAATATGCCCTGATTCAGTAATGCCGCACAGTAAATGACAGAAACAAGTAGGGCTTTTTTTCCAGCCATTGTTCAGAGAAGGAAAAAGAAGAGGTATACCACACATGTTTCAAGTACATGGAAAACATCAACAAATTAGAGACACTGCAGAACTATTGGACTATTATTTTGTTACTTCATTTTCCGTCAAAGAAAATGTCTTTAAAGCTAACACATAAATAAAACGAACTAAGAAGAATATAAACGTCCTTTATCAACATTAAGTGATGGAGTATGTCAAAACCTACTTTAAATATCAGTGTAAGCAGGATCAGAGAAATTAGATGCAAGAAGCTCACGGGATTTATATACCTACTAAACCACATCAGAAATCTACCCATTCCCGAACCAGAATATATCCAGAAGTCAGCAATTTATATGAGGAGGCATCTGGAAATCATTTCAAATAAAGGGTAGCTAGATGAACTGTTAAACTTACCGAAGAATGAAGTAGGCAGACACATAAGGAGAGCTGCTTTCATTCACTTTAGGAACTGGTTATAAGGAGGAAAGCAGCTCTGGTGCTTTGGAGGTAATACTCTCGTTTACTCCTATTCTTATTTAAGCGCAATTAACAGCAAAGCATTTCTGTCTCTGTTCTACAAATTTTCTGTTGCTGGTAAAGCCAGAGGCAGAATCTACGCAGATGCATGCTAATTCAAAAGCCACATGAATACTACCTTTCTTTGATGATATGGTCTATCATTAAGTGGACCTGCCATTGCTTAAGCAAGTAAAAACCTCAGGGCAAAAAAGGCACTGTTGCTCCCATGGGAGTTTACAATCGGGTTAACAAGAAAGTAAAAAAATAAACTAAAACATTGATATAAAAATCACTTAAAAATAGTAATAGGCATATACGACGTGGAAAAAAACCAAGAATGAACAGGAAGTCTATGTTTGGCTAATTCACTTAACATCAAGGAAAACATAATCCCTTTGCTCCCCAACAGGCCCCTATGGTGGCATCTTGAAAAAAAAAGGGGGGTGGGGGAGGAGCCAAGATGGCCGAATAGGAACAGCTCCAGTCTATAGCTCCCAGCGTGAGCGACGCCGAAGACGGGTGATTTCTGCATTTCCATCTGAGGTACCGGGTTCATCTCACTAGGGAGTGCCAGACAGTGGGCGCAGGTCAGTGGGTGGGCTCACCGCGTGCGAGCGGAAGCAGGGCGAGGCATTGCCTCACTTGGGACGCGCAAGCGGTCAGGGAGTTCCCTTCTGAGTCAAAGAAAGGGGTGACGGATGCCACCTGGAGAATCGGGTCACTCCCACCCGAATACTGCGCTTTTCCGACGGGCTTAAAAAACGGCACACCACTAGATTATATCCCGCACCTGGCTCGGAGGGTCCTACGCCCACGCAGTCTCACTGATTGCTAGCACAGCAGTCTGAGATCAAACTGCAAGGCGGCAACGAGGCTGGGGGAGGGGCGCCCGCCATTGCCCAGGCTTGATTAGGTAAACAAAGCCGCAGGGAAGCTCCAACTGGGTGGAGCCCACCACAGCTCAAGGAGGCCTGCCTGCCTCTGTAGGCTCCACCTCTAGGGGCAGGGCACAGACAAACAAAAAGACAGCAGTAACCTCTGCAGACTTAAATGACCCTGTCTGACAGCTTTGAAGAGAGCAGTGGTTCTCCCAGCACGCAGCTGGAGATCTGAGAACGGGCAGACTGCCTCGTCAAGTGGGTCCCTGACCCCTGACCCCCCGAGCAGCCTAACTGGGAGGCACCCCCCAGCAGGGGCACACTGACACCTCACACGGCAGGGTATTCCAACAGACCTGCAGCTGAGGGTCCTCTCAGTTAGAAGGAAAACTAACAAACAGAAAGGACATCCACACCAAAAACCCATCTGTACATCACCATCATCAAAGACCAAAAGTAGATAAAACCACAAAGAGGGGGAAAAAACAGAACAGAAAAACTGGAAACTCTAAAAAGCAGAGCACCTCTCCTCCTCCAAAGGAACGCAGTTCCTCACCAGCAACGGAACAAAGCTGGATGGAGAATGACTTTGACGAGCTGAGAGAAGAAGGCTTCAGACGATCAAATTACTCTGAGCTACGGGAGGACATTCAAACCAAAGGCAAAGAAGTTGAAAACTTTGGAAAAAAAAATGTAGAAGAATGTATAACTAGAATAACCAATACAGAGAAGTGCTTAAAGGAGCTGATGGAGCTGAAAACCAAGGCTCAAGAACTACGTGAAGAATGCAGAAGCCTCAGGAGCTGATGCGATCAACTGGAAGAAAGGGTATCAGCAATGGAAGATGAAATGAATGAAATGAAGTGAGAAGGGAAGTTTGGAGAAAAAAGAATAAAACGAAATGAGCAAAGCCTCCAAGAAATATGGGACTATGTGAAAAGACCAAATCTACGTCTGCTTGGTGTACCTGAAAGTGATCAGGAGAATGGAACCAAGCTGGAAAACACTCTGCAGGATATTATCCAGGAGAACTTCCCCAATCTAGCAAGGCAGGCCAACGTTCAGATTCAGGAAATACAGAGAACGCCACAAAGATACTCCTCGAGAAGAGCAACTCCAAGACACATAATTGTCAGATTCACCAAAGTTGAAATGAAGGAAAAAATGTTAAGGGCAGCCAGAGAGAAAGGTCGGGTTACCCTCAAAGGGAAGCCCATCAGACTAACAGTGGATCTCTCGGCAGAAACCCTACAAGCCAGAAGAGAGTGGGGGCCAATATTCAACATTCTTAAAGAAAATAATTTTCAACCCAGAATTTCATATCCAGCCAAACTAAGCTTCATAAGCGAAGGAGAAATAAAATACTTTACAGACAAGCAAATGCTGAGAGATTTTGTCACCACCAAGCCTGCCTTATAAGAGCTCCTGAAGGAAGCACTAAACATGGAAAGGAACAACCGGTACCAGCCGCTGCAAAATCATGCCAAAATGTAAAGACCATCGAGACTAGGAAGAAACTGCATCAACTAACAAGCAAAATAACCAGCTAACATCATAATGACAGGATCAAATTCATACATAACAATATTAACTTTAAATGTCAATGGACTAAATGCTCCAATTAAAAGACACAGACTGGCAAACTGGATAAAGAGTCAAGACCCATCAGTGTGCTGTATTCAGGAAACCCATCTCACGTGCAGAGACACACATAGGCTCAAAATAAAAGGATGCAGGAAGATCTACCAAGCAAATGGAAAACAAAAAAAGGCAGGGGTTGCAATCCTAGTCTCTGATAAAACAGACTTTAAACCAACAAAGATCAAAAGAGACAAAGAAGGCCATTACATAATGGTAAAGGGATCAATTCAACAAGAAGAGCTAACTATCCTAAATATATATGCACCCAATACAGGAGCACCACGATTCATAAAGCAAGTCCTGAGTGACCTACAAAGAGACTTAGACTCCCACACATTAATAATGGGAGACTTTAACACCCCACTGTCAACATTAGACAGATCAACGAGACAGAAAGTCAACAAGGATACCCAGGAATTGAACTCAGCTCTGCACCAAGTGGACCTAATAGACATCTACAGAACTCTCCACCCCAAATCAACAGAATATACATTTTTTTTCAGCACCACACCACACCTATTCCAAAACTGACCACATACTGGGAAGTAAAGCTCTCCTCAGCGGATGTAAAAGAACAGAAATTATAACAAACTATCTCTCAGACCACAGTGCAATCAAACTAGAACTCAGGATTAAGAATCTCACTCAAAACCACTCAACTACATGGAAACTGAACAACCTGCTCCTGAATGACTACTGGGTACATAACAAAATGAAGGCAGAAATAAAGATGTTCTTTGAAACCAACGAGAACAAAGACACAACATACCGGAATCTCTGGGATGCATTCAAAGCAGTGTGTAGAGGGAAATTTATAGCACTAAATGCCCACAAGAGAAAGCAGGAAAGATCCAAAATTGACACCGTAACATCACAATTAAAAGAACTAGAAAAGCAAGAGCAAACACAGTCAAAAGCTAGCAGAAGGCAAGAAATAACTAAGATCAGAGCAGAACTGAAGGAAATAGAGACACAAAAAACCCTTCAAAAAATTAATGAATCCAGGAGCTGGTTTTTTGAAAGGATCAACAAAAGTGACAGACCGCTAGCAAGACTAATAAAGAAAAAAAGAGAGAAGAATCCAATAGACGCAATAAAAAATGATAAAGGGGATATCGCCACTGATCACACAGAAATACAAACTACCATCAGAGAATACTACAAACACCTCTACGCAAATAAACTAGAAAATCTAGAAGAAATGGATAAACTCCTCGACACATACACTCTCCCAAGACTAAACCAGGAAGAAGTTGAATCTCTGAATAGACCAATAACAGGAGCTGAAATTGTGGCAATAATCAATAGCTCACCAACCAAAAAGAGTCCAGGACCAGATGGATTCACAGCCGAATTCTACCAGAGGTACAAGGAGGAACTGGTACCATTCCTTCTGAAACTATTCCAATCAACAGAAAAAGACAGAATCCTCCCTAACTCATTTTATGAGGCCAGCATCATTCTGATACCAAAGCCAGGCAGAGACACAACCAAAAAAGAGAATTTTAGACCAATATCCTTGATGAACATTGATGCAAAAATCCTCAATAAAATACTGGCAAAACGAATCCAGCGGCACATCAAAAAGCTTATCCACCATGATCAAGTGGGCTTCATCGCTGGGATGCAAGGCTGGTTCAATATACGCAAATCAATAAATGTAATCCAGCATATAAACAGAACCAAAGACAAAAAACACATGATTATCTCAATAGATGCAGAAAAAGCCCTTGACAAAATTCAACAACCCTTCATGCTAAAAACTCTCAATAAATTAGGTATTGATGGGACGTATTTCAAAATAGTAAGAGCTATCTATGACAAACCCACAGCCAATATCATACTGAATGGGCAAAAACTGGAAGCATTCCCTTTGAAAACTGGCACAAGAGAGGGATGCCCTCTCTCACCACTCCTATTCAACATAGTGTTGGAAGTTCTGGCCAGGGCAATTAGGCAGGAGAAGGAAATAAAGGGTATTCAATTAGGAAAGGAGGAAGTCAAATTGTCCCTGTTTGCAGACAACATGATTATATATCTAGAAAACCCCATTGTCTCAGCCCAAAATCTCCTTAAGCTGATAAGCAACTTCAGCAAAGTCTCAGGATACAAAATCAATGTACAAAAATCACAAGCTTTCTTATACACCAACAACAGACAAACAGAGAGCCCAATCATGAGTGAACTCCCATTCACAATTGCTTCAAAGGGAATAAAATGCCTAGGAAATCAACTTACAAGGGATGTGAAGGACCTCTTCAAGGAGAACTACAAACCACTGCTCAAGGAAATAAAAGAGGATACAAACAAATGGAAGAACATTCCATGCTCATGAGTAGGAAGAATCAATATCGTGAAAATGGCCATACTGCCCAAGGTAATTTACAGATTCAATGCCATCCCCATCAAGCTACCAATGCCTTTCTTCACAGAATTGGAAAAAACTACTTTAAAGTTCACATGGAACCAAAAAAGAGCCCGCATTGCCAAGTCAATCCTAAGCCAAAAGAACAAAGCTGGAGGCATCACACTACCTGACTTCAAACTATACTACAAGGCTACAGTAACCAAAACAGCATGGTACTGGTACCAAAACAGAGATATAGATCAATGGAACAGAACAGAGCCCTCAGAAATAACGCCGCATATCTACAACTATCTGATCTTTGACAAACCTGAGAAAAACAAGCAATGGGGAAAGGATTCCCTATTTAATAAATGGTGCTGGGAAAACTGGCTAGCCATATGTAGAAAGCTGAAACTGGATCCCTTCCTTACACCTTATACAAAAATCAATTCAAGATGGATTAAAGACTTAAACGTTAGACGTAAAACCATAAAAACCCTAGAAGAAAACCTAGGCATTACCATTCAGGACATAGGCATAGGCGAGGACTTCACGTCTAAAACACCAAAAGCAATGGCAATAAAAGACAAAATTGACAAATGGGATCTAATTAAACTAAAGAGCTTCTGCACAGAAAAAGAAACTACCATCAGAGTGAACAGGCAACCTACAAAATGGGAGAAAATTTTCACAACCTACTCATCTGACAAAGGGCTAATATCCAGAATCTACAATGAGCTAAAACAAATTTACAAGAAAAAACAAACAACCTCATCAAAAAGTGGGTGAAGGACATGAACAGACACTTCTCAAAAGAAGACATTTATGCAGCCAAAAAACACATGAAAAAATGCTCATCATCACTGGCCATCAGAGAAATGCAAATCAAAACCACAGTGAGATACCATCTCACACCAGTTAGAATGGCAATCATTTAAAAGTCAGGAGACAACAGGTGCTGGAGAAGATGTGGAGAAACAGGAACACTTTTACACTGTTGGCGGGACTGTAAACTAGTTCAACCATTGTGGAAGTCAGTGTGGCGATTCCTCAGGGATCTAGAACTGGAAATAGCATTTGACCCAGCCATCCCATTACTGGGTGTATACACAAAGGACTATAAATCATGCTGCTATAAAGACACATGCACACGTATGTTTATTGCGGCATTATTCACAATAGCAAAGACTTGGAACCAACCCAAATGTCCAACAATGATAGACTGGATTAAGAAAATGTGGCACATATACACCATGGAATACTATGCCGCCATAAAAAATGATGACTTCATGTCCTTTGTAGGGACATGGATGAAATTGGAAATCATCATTCTCAGTAAACTATCGCAAGAACAAAAAACCAAACACCGCATATTCTCACTCATAGGTGGGAATTGAACAATGAGATCACATGGACACAGGAAGGGATATATCACACTCTGGGGACTGTTGTGGGGTGGGGGGAGGGGGGAGGGATAGCACTGGGAGATATACCTAATGCTAGATGAGGAGTTAGAGGGTGCAGAGCACCAGCATGGCACATGTATACATATGGAACTAACCTGCACAATGTGCACATGGACCCTAAAACTTAAAGCATAATTTTTTAAAAAAAAAGAATTGACTACTTCACCAAAGTTTACCTTATACTGTGTACTTATTCACACCCAGAAGTTATTTCTTACACTGGTGATAAGGCTCCATTAAGACAGATTGCAATGTAAGTTAAATTAATACATTTGCAATTTTGCTGTAAGAATATTTCTAGACTGTTTTGTATCAGACAATATTATAGGGTAATATGTAGTTCTATAGATGTTATGGCTTTGTCTGTACTTCATTCCAAAAAACTAAGTGCAGTCTATAATCCAATACTGGAGAAGAGGAAGTATAATGTCTTATATGTTTCAATAAATGCTTATTGTTTGAAAACATACAGGCAGTAGCATACATGAATACACCCAGATTCAGTAATGGCTCACAGTAAATGACAGTAACAAGTAGAGCTTTTCTTCTACCCATTGTTCAGAGAAGGAAAAATAAGAGGTATACCATACATGTTTCAAGTACATGGAAAATATCAACAAATTAGAAACACTGCAGAACTATTTCACTATTATTTTGTTACTACATTTTCCATCAAAGAAAATGTCTTTTAAGCTAACACATCAATGAAATGAACTAAGAAGAATATAAACGTTATTTATCAACAGTAAGTGATAGAGTATGTCAAACCCTACTTTAAATATCAATGTCACCAGGATCAGAGAAATTAGATGCCAGAAACTCAAGCGGTTTATATATATATACTAAATCACATCAGAAATCTACCCATTCCAGAACCAGAATATATCCAGAAGTCAGCAATTTATATGAGGAGGCATCTGGAAATCATTTCAAATAAAGGATAGCTAGATGAATTGCTAAACTTACGGAAGAATAAAGTAGGCAGACACATAAGGAGAGCTGCTTTCATTCACTTTAGGAACTGCTTATACGGGGGAAAGCTGCTCTGGTGATTTGCAGGTAATACTCTCCTTTACTTCTATTCTTATTTAAGCATAATTAACAGCAAAGCATTTCTGTTTCTCTTCTATAAATTTACTACTGCTGGTAAAGCCAGAGGCAGATTCTATGCAGCTACATGCTAATTCTAAAGTCACGTGAATATTACCTTTCTTTGATTATATAGTCTATCATTATGTGGAGCTGCCATTGCTTAAGCACATAAAACCCTGAGGGCAAAAAAGGCACTGTTGCTGCCATGGGAGTTTATACTCGGGTTAACAAGAAAGTAACAACAACAACAACAAACATTAATATAGAGAGTCACTTAAAAATATTTATAGGCATATATGACATGGAAAAAAAATCAAGAATGAACAGGAAGTCTATGTTTGGCTAATTCCCTTAACGTCAAGGACAACATAATCCCTTTGCTCCCCAACAGGCCCCTAAGGTGGCATCTTTAAAAAAAAAAAAAAAAAAAGGAAACCAAAACTATTAAACTATTCCTACATATTTTCAAACACACATGAGAAACACAGTATTGAAGTACTTATTCCGCTGTCTCCTTTTTTATTATAATAAAAGTAACAGAAAGGAAAACTTAAGTACTTTATGTTTCTTGTCCATGACATTCTTGTTACTTTAAATTTGAATCTTCACCTTTCTCCAAATTTTTGGGAGTTGGCAATGTGGAAACCTCAAAAATACTAGCTCTTTCAGTTTATTACCATAGATATAGTTATGGGTCATAGATATACTTGTATCTATGAGAAGAGATCCTGAGAATGACTACCGTCAAACAGCCAGCTAAAATGAAAATATAATTGGAATTCTGTGCTCTGAAAAGTGGATCATAATTTTATTTCACTCTATCTCCCTAAAAAAATTCATGAAAGTCAGTTTGGATGTTTCATTCAGCTATTTGACAGCAAAGATGAAAACTATATCCACAAATGAAGAAGGGGACACCAAATCTCAGAAATCTCTTCTACACAAATGTTATTGCCAAGGATATTCCTGTAAAAATATTACTTCATTACTTCTAAATAAGACAGAGGTCTTCATTCTACACTAAGTCTTTCCTTAAATTTTAGGGACACTTCACTAGTTAAAAATGACCAACTATTCAGGAAATTTCTATAAACAAGTTAAAGGCCTCAATAATACCTGAAAGCAAACCATTTTACTACCTCTTACATTACCTGATAATTGTATACAGGCAACTGATATCCAGTGGTGACCTGAACTGGTGAATTTGGATAAGCAGGAAATGCCTGAAAAGGTTGCAGAAAAAATGAATATGGTAAACCACATTTTAAAATTAGAAAGAAATATAATTCCCAATATAAGAAAAATATTACAAAACGGAAAATATCCTTTTTCTACATACAACAATGCAGAATTCCAAATGAATGACTTTATGAGGAAAGAAAGATTCTATGTCAAGTGCTACACTTTGGGTGTGAAGGGGGAACAAATGACAAAGAACTGACTACTTCACCAAAATTTACCTTATACTGTGTACTTATTCACACCCAGAAATTATGTCTTACACTGGTGATAAGGTTCCACTAAGACAGATTGCAATGTAAGGTAAATCAATACATTTGCAATTTCGCTGTAAGAATATTTCCAGACTGTTTTGTATCAGACAATATTGTAGGGTAATATGTAGTTCTATAGATGTTATGGCTTTGTCTGTATTTCATTCCAAAAAACTAATTGCAGTCTATATTCCAATACTGGAGAATAAAAAGTATAATGTCTGACATGTTTCAACAAATTCTTATTGTTTGAAAACATACAGGTAGCAGCATACATGAATACACCCAGAATCACTAATGCCTCACAGTAAACGAGAGAAACAAGTAGGGCTTTTTTTCTAGCCATGGTTCAGAGAAGGAAAAAGAAGAGGTATACCATACATGTTTCAAGTACATGGAAAATATCAACAAATTAGAGACACAGCAGAACGATTTCACTATTATTTCATTACTTCATTTTCTGTCAAAGAAAATGTCTTTTAAGCTAACACATCAATGAAATGAACTAAGAAGAAAATAAACGATATTTATCAACAGTAAGTGACACACTATGTCAAACCCTACTTTAAATATCAATGTAACCACGATCAGAGAAATTACATGCCAGAAACTCACCGGGTTTATATATATATACTAAACCACGTCAGAAATCTGCCCATTCCAGAACCAGAATATATCCAGAAGTCAGCCATTTATATGAGGAGGCATGTGGCAATCATTTCAAATAAAGGATAGCTAGATAAACTGCTAAACTTACCGAAGAATAAAGTAGGCAGACACATAAGGAGAGCTGCTTTCATTCACTTTAGGAACTGCTTATAAGGGGGAAAGCAGCTCCGGTGAGTTGGAGGTAATACTCTCCTTTACTCCTATTCTTATTTAGGCGTCATTAACAGCAAAGCATTTCTGTTTCTCTTCTATAAATTTTCTACTGCTGGTAAAGCCAGAGGCATATTCTGTGCAGACACATGCTAATTCTAAAGTCACGTGAATACTCCCTTTCTTTGATTATATAGTCTATCATTATGTAGACCTGCCATTGCTTAAGCACATAAAAACCTGAGGACAAAAAAGGCACTGTTGCTGCCATGGGAGTTTATAATCGGGTTAACAAGAAGGAAACAACAACAAAAAAAACATTAACATAAAAAGTCACTTAAAAATATTTGTAGGCATATATGACATGGAAAAAAATCAAGAATGAACAGGAAGTCTATGTTTGGCTAATTCCCTTAACGTCAAGGACAACATAATCCCTTTGCTACCCAACAGGCCCCTAAGGTGGAATCTTAAAAAATCAATCAATAAATAAAAGGAAACCAAAACTATTGAAGTATTACTACACATTTTCAAAAACACATGAGAAACACAATATTAAAGTACTTATCCTGCTGTCTCCTTTTTTATTGTAATAAAAGTAACAGAAAGGAAAACTCAAATACTTTATGTTTCTAGTCCATGACATTCTTGTTACTTTTACATTGGAAACTTCAGCTTTCTCCACATTTTCGGGATTTCGCAATGTGGAAACCTCAAAGATACTAGCTCTTTCAGTTTATTACCGTAGATATAATTATGGGTCACAGATACACTTGTATCTATGAAAAGAGATCCAGAGCATTACTATCGTCAAACAGCCAGCTAAAATGAAAATGTAATTGGGATTCTGTGCTCTGAAAAGTGCAGCATAATTTTATTTCAGTCTATCTCCCTAAGAAAATTCATGAAAGACACTTTGGACGTTTCATTTAGCTATTTGACAGTAAAGATGAAAACTACATCCAGAAATGAAGAAGAGAACACCAAATCTCAGAAATCTGTTCTACAGAAAAGTTATTGCCAAGTATATTCCTGTCAAAATACTACCTCATTATTCTAAATAACACAGAGGTCTTCATTCTACACTAAGTGTTTCCTTAAATTTTAGGTACAATTCACTAGTTTAAAATGAGCAACTATTCAGGAAATTTGTATGAACAAGTTAAAGGCCTCAATAATACCTAAAAGCAAATCATTTTACTCCCTCTGACATTACCTGATAATTGTATACAGGGAACTGATATCCAGTGGCGACTTGAAATGGTGAATTTGGATAAGCAGGAAATGCCTGAAAAGAAAGGTTCCAGAAAAAAATGAATACGGTAAACCATTTTTTTAAAATTAGAAAGAAATATAATTCTGAATATAACAAAAATAGGTAAAATATTGTTTTTCTACATACAATAATGCAGAATTCTAAATGAATGACTGACTTTATGAAGAAAGAAAGATTCTATGACAAGTGCTACACTTTGGGAGTGAAGGGGGAACTAATGACAAAAGAATTGACTATTTCACCAAAGTTTACCTTATACTGTGTACTTATTCACACCCAGAAGTTATTTCTTACACTGGTGGTAAGGCTCCATTAAGAGAGATTGCAAGGTAAGTTAAATTAATACATTTGCTATTTCCCTGTCAGAATATTTCTAGACTGTTTTGTATCAGACAATATTATAGGACAATATATAGTTTGACAGATGTTATGGCTTTGTCTGTACTTCATTACGAAAAACTAAGTGCAGTCTATAATCCAATACTGGACAAGAGAAAGTATAATGTCTTATATGTTTCAAAAAATTTTTATTATCTGAAAACATACAGGTAGCAGCATACATGAATACACCCAGATTCAGTAATCGCTCACAGTAAATGACAGAAACAAGTAAGGCTTTTTTTCTAGCCATTGTTCAGAGAAGGAAAAAGAAGAGGTATACCATACATGTTTCAAGTACATGGAAAATATCACGAAATTAGAGACAACCGCAGAACTATTTCACTATTATTTTGTTACTACATTTTCCATCAAAGAAAATGTCTTTTAAGCTAACACATCAATGAAATGAACTAAGAAGAATATAAACGTTATTTATCAACAGTAAGTGATAGAGTATGTCAAACCCTACTTTAAATATCAATGTCACCAGGATCAGAGAAATTAGATGCCAGAAACTCAAGCGGTTTATATATATATACTAAATCACATCAGAAATCTACCCATTCCAGAACCAGAATATATCCAGAAGTCAGCAATTTATATGAGGAGGCATCTGGAAATCATTTCAAATAAAGGATAGCTAGATGAATTGCTAAACTTACGGAAGAATAAAGTAGGCAGACACATAAGGAGAGCTGCTTTCATTCACTTTAGGAACTGCTTATACGGGGGAAAGCTGCTCTGGTGATTTGCAGGTAATACTCTCCTTTACTTCTATTCTTATTTAAGCATAATTAACAGCAAAGCATTTCTGTTTCTCTTCTATAAATTTACTACTGCTGGTAAAGCCAGAGGCAGATTCTATGCAGCTACATGCTAATTCTAAAGTCACGTGAATATTACCTTTCTTTGATTATATAGTCTATCATTATGTGGAGCTGCCATTGCTTAAGCACATAAAACCCTGAGGGCAAAAAAGGCACTGTTGCTGCCATGGGAGTTTATACTCGGGTTAACAAGAAAGTAACAACAACAACAACAAACATTAATATAGAGAGTCACTTAAAAATATTTATAGGCATATATGACATGGAAAAAAAATCAAGAATGAACAGGAAGTCTATGTTTGGCTAATTCCCTTAACGTCAAGGACAACATAATCCCTTTGCTCCCCAACAGGCCCCTAAGGTGGCATCTTTAAAAAAAAAAAAAAAAAAAGGAAACCAAAACTATTAAACTATTCCTACATATTTTCAAACACACATGAGAAACACAGTATTGAAGTACTTATTCCGCTGTCTCCTTTTTTATTATAATAAAAGTAACAGAAAGGAAAACTTAAGTACTTTATGTTTCTTGTCCATGACATTCTTGTTACTTTAAATTTGAATCTTCACCTTTCTCCAAATTTTTGGGAGTTGGCAATGTGGAAACCTCAAAAATACTAGCTCTTTCAGTTTATTACCATAGATATAGTTATGGGTCATAGATATACTTGTATCTATGAGAAGAGATCCTGAGAATGACTACCGTCAAACAGCCAGCTAAAATGAAAATATAATTGGAATTCTGTGCTCTGAAAAGTGGATCATAATTTTATTTCACTCTATCTCCCTAAAAAAATTCATGAAAGTCAGTTTGGATGTTTCATTCAGCTATTTGACAGCAAAGATGAAAACTATATCCACAAATGAAGAAGGGGACACCAAATCTCAGAAATCTCTTCTACACAAATGTTATTGCCAAGGATATTCCTGTAAAAATATTACTTCATTACTTCTAAATAAGACAGAGGTCTTCATTCTACACTAAGTCTTTCCTTAAATTTTAGGGACACTTCACTAGTTAAAAATGACCAACTATTCAGGAAATTTCTATAAACAAGTTAAAGGCCTCAATAATACCTGAAAGCAAACCATTTTACTACCTCTTACATTACCTGATAATTGTATACAGGCAACTGATATCCAGTGGTGACCTGAACTGGTGAATTTGGATAAGCAGGAAATGCCTGAAAAGGTTGCAGAAAAAATGAATATGGTAAACCACATTTTAAAATTAGAAAGAAATATAATTCCCAATATAAGAAAAATATTACAAAACGGAAAATATCCTTTTTCTACATACAACAATGCAGAATTCCAAATGAATGACTTTATGAGGAAAGAAAGATTCTATGTCAAGTGCTACACTTTGGGTGTGAAGGGGGAACAAATGACAAAGAACTGACTACTTCACCAAAATTTACCTTATACTGTGTACTTATTCACACCCAGAAATTATGTCTTACACTGGTGATAAGGTTCCACTAAGACAGATTGCAATGTAAGGTAAATCAATACATTTGCAATTTCGCTGTAAGAATATTTCCAGACTGTTTTGTATCAGACAATATTGTAGGGTAATATGTAGTTCTATAGATGTTATGGCTTTGTCTGTATTTCATTCCAAAAAACTAATTGCAGTCTATATTCCAATACTGGAGAATAAAAAGTATAATGTCTGACATGTTTCAACAAATTCTTATTGTTTGAAAACATACAGGTAGCAGCATACATGAATACACCCAGAATCACTAATGCCTCACAGTAAACGAGAGAAACAAGTAGGGCTTTTTTTCTAGCCATGGTTCAGAGAAGGAAAAAGAAGAGGTATACCATACATGTTTCAAGTACATGGAAAATATCAACAAATTAGAGACACAGCAGAACGATTTCACTATTATTTCATTACTTCATTTTCTGTCAAAGAAAATGTCTTTTAAGCTAACACATCAATGAAATGAACTAAGAAGAAAATAAACGATATTTATCAACAGTAAGTGACACACTATGTCAAACCCTACTTTAAATATCAATGTAACCACGATCAGAGAAATTACATGCCAGAAACTCACCGGGTTTATATATATATACTAAACCACGTCAGAAATCTGCCCATTCCAGAACCAGAATATATCCAGAAGTCAGCCATTTATATGAGGAGGCATGTGGCAATCATTTCAAATAAAGGATAGCTAGATAAACTGCTAAACTTACCGAAGAATAAAGTAGGCAGACACATAAGGAGAGCTGCTTTCATTCACTTTAGGAACTGCTTATAAGGGGGAAAGCAGCTCCGGTGAGTTGGAGGTAATACTCTCCTTTACTCCTATTCTTATTTAGGCGTCATTAACAGCAAAGCATTTCTGTTTCTCTTCTATAAATTTTCTACTGCTGGTAAAGCCAGAGGCATATTCTGTGCAGACACATGCTAATTCTAAAGTCACGTGAATACTCCCTTTCTTTGATTATATAGTCTATCATTATGTAGACCTGCCATTGCTTAAGCACATAAAAACCTGAGGACAAAAAAGGCACTGTTGCTGCCATGGGAGTTTATAATCGGGTTAACAAGAAGGAAACAACAACAAAAAAAACATTAACATAAAAAGTCACTTAAAAATATTTGTAGGCATATATGACATGGAAAAAAATCAAGAATGAACAGGAAGTCTATGTTTGGCTAATTCCCTTAACGTCAAGGACAACATAATCCCTTTGCTACCCAACAGGCCCCTAAGGTGGAATCTTAAAAAATCAATCAATAAATAAAAGGAAACCAAAACTATTGAAGTATTACTACACATTTTCAAAAACACATGAGAAACACAATATTAAAGTACTTATCCTGCTGTCTCCTTTTTTATTGTAATAAAAGTAACAGAAAGGAAAACTCAAATACTTTATGTTTCTAGTCCATGACATTCTTGTTACTTTTACATTGGAAACTTCAGCTTTCTCCACATTTTCGGGATTTCGCAATGTGGAAACCTCAAAGATACTAGCTCTTTCAGTTTATTACCGTAGATATAATTATGGGTCACAGATACACTTGTATCTATGAAAAGAGATCCAGAGCATTACTATCGTCAAACAGCCAGCTAAAATGAAAATGTAATTGGGATTCTGTGCTCTGAAAAGTGCAGCATAATTTTATTTCAGTCTATCTCCCTAAGAAAATTCATGAAAGACACTTTGGACGTTTCATTTAGCTATTTGACAGTAAAGATGAAAACTACATCCAGAAATGAAGAAGAGAACACCAAATCTCAGAAATCTGTTCTACAGAAAAGTTATTGCCAAGTATATTCCTGTCAAAATACTACCTCATTATTCTAAATAACACAGAGGTCTTCATTCTACACTAAGTGTTTCCTTAAATTTTAGGTACAATTCACTAGTTTAAAATGAGCAACTATTCAGGAAATTTGTATGAACAAGTTAAAGGCCTCAATAATACCTAAAAGCAAATCATTTTACTCCCTCTGACATTACCTGATAATTGTATACAGGGAACTGATATCCAGTGGCGACTTGAAATGGTGAATTTGGATAAGCAGGAAATGCCTGAAAAGAAAGGTTCCAGAAAAAAATGAATACGGTAAACCATTTTTTTAAAATTAGAAAGAAATATAATTCTGAATATAACAAAAATAGGTAAAATATTGTTTTTCTACATACAATAATGCAGAATTCTAAATGAATGACTGACTTTATGAAGAAAGAAAGATTCTATGACAAGTGCTACACTTTGGGAGTGAAGGGGGAACTAATGACAAAAGAATTGACTATTTCACCAAAGTTTACCTTATACTGTGTACTTATTCACACCCAGAAGTTATTTCTTACACTGGTGGTAAGGCTCCATTAAGAGAGATTGCAAGGTAAGTTAAATTAATACATTTGCTATTTCCCTGTCAGAATATTTCTAGACTGTTTTGTATCAGACAATATTATAGGACAATATATAGTTTGACAGATGTTATGGCTTTGTCTGTACTTCATTACGAAAAACTAAGTGCAGTCTATAATCCAATACTGGACAAGAGAAAGTATAATGTCTTATATGTTTCAAAAAATTTTTATTATCTGAAAACATACAGGTAGCAGCATACATGAATACACCCAGATTCAGTAATCGCTCACAGTAAATGACAGAAACAAGTAAGGCTTTTTTTCTAGCCATTGTTCAGAGAAGGAAAAAGAAGAGGTATACCATACATGTTTCAAGTACATGGAAAATATCACGAAATTAGAGACAACCGCAGAACTATTTCACTATTATTTTGTTACTACATTTTCCATCAAAGAAAATGTCTTTTAAGCTAACACATCAATGAAATGAACTAAGAAGAATATAAACGTTATTTATCAACAGTAAGTGATAGAGTATGTCAAACCCTACTTTAAATATCAATGTCACCAGGATCAGAGAAATTAGATGCCAGAAACTCAAGCGGTTTATATATATATACTAAATCACATCAGAAATCTACCCATTCCAGAACCAGAATATATCCAGAAGTCAGCAATTTATATGAGGAGGCATCTGGAAATCATTTCAAATAAAGGATAGCTAGATGAATTGCTAAACTTACGGAAGAATAAAGTAGGCAGACACATAAGGAGAGCTGCTTTCATTCACTTTAGGAACTGCTTATACGGGGGAAAGCTGCTCTGGTGATTTGCAGGTAATACTCTCCTTTACTTCTATTCTTATTTAAGCATAATTAACAGCAAAGCATTTCTGTTTCTCTTCTATAAATTTACTACTGCTGGTAAAGCCAGAGGCAGATTCTATGCAGCTACATGCTAATTCTAAAGTCACGTGAATATTACCTTTCTTTGATTATATAGTCTATCATTATGTGGAGCTGCCATTGCTTAAGCACATAAAACCCTGAGGGCAAAAAAGGCACTGTTGCTGCCATGGGAGTTTATACTCGGGTTAACAAGAAAGTAACAACAACAACAACAAACATTAATATAGAGAGTCACTTAAAAATATTTATAGGCATATATGACATGGAAAAAAAATCAAGAATGAACAGGAAGTCTATGTTTGGCTAATTCCCTTAACGTCAAGGACAACATAATCCCTTTGCTCCCCAACAGGCCCCTAAGGTGGCATCTTTAAAAAAAAAAAAAAAAAAGGAAACCAAAACTATTAAACTATTCCTACATATTTTCAAACACACATGAGAAACACAGTATTGAAGTACTTATTCCGCTGTCTCCTTTTTTATTATAATAAAAGTAACAGAAAGGAAAACTTAAGTACTTTATGTTTCTTGTCCATGACATTCTTGTTACTTTAAATTTGAATCTTCACCTTTCTCCAAATTTTTGGGAGTTGGCAATGTGGAAACCTCAAAAATACTAGCTCTTTCAGTTTATTACCATAGATATAGTTATGGGTCATAGATATACTTGTATCTATGAGAAGAGATCCTGAGAATGACTACCGTCAAACAGCCAGCTAAAATGAAAATATAATTGGAATTCTGTGCTCTGAAAAGTGGATCATAATTTTATTTCACTCTATCTCCCTAAAAAAATTCATGAAAGTCAGTTTGGATGTTTCATTCAGCTATTTGACAGCAAAGATGAAAACTATATCCACAAATGAAGAAGGGGACACCAAATCTCAGAAATCTCTTCTACACAAATGTTATTGCCAAGGATATTCCTGTAAAAATATTACTTCATTACTTCTAAATAAGACAGAGGTCTTCATTCTACACTAAGTCTTTCCTTAAATTTTAGGGACACTTCACTAGTTAAAAATGACCAACTATTCAGGAAATTTCTATAAACAAGTTAAAGGCCTCAATAATACCTGAAAGCAAACCATTTTACTACCTCTTACATTACCTGATAATTGTATACAGGCAACTGATATCCAGTGGTGACCTGAACTGGTGAATTTGGATAAGCAGGAAATGCCTGAAAAGGTTGCAGAAAAAATGAATATGGTAAACCACATTTTAAAATTAGAAAGAAATATAATTCCCAATATAAGAAAAATATTACAAAACGGAAAATATCCTTTTTCTACATACAACAATGCAGAATTCCAAATGAATGACTTTATGAGGAAAGAAAGATTCTATGTCAAGTGCTACACTTTGGGTGTGAAGGGGGAACAAATGACAAAGAACTGACTACTTCACCAAAATTTACCTTATACTGTGTACTTATTCACACCCAGAAATTATGTCTTACACTGGTGATAAGGTTCCACTAAGACAGATTGCAATGTAAGGTAAATCAATACATTTGCAATTTCGCTGTAAGAATATTTCCAGACTGTTTTGTATCAGACAATATTGTAGGGTAATATGTAGTTCTATAGATGTTATGGCTTTGTCTGTATTTCATTCCAAAAAACTAATTGCAGTCTATATTCCAATACTGGAGAATAAAAAGTATAATGTCTGACATGTTTCAACAAATTCTTATTGTTTGAAAACATACAGGTAGCAGCATACATGAATACACCCAGAATCACTAATGCCTCACAGTAAACGAGAGAAACAAGTAGGGCTTTTTTTCTAGCCATGGTTCAGAGAAGGAAAAAGAAGAGGTATACCATACATGTTTCAAGTACATGGAAAATATCAACAAATTAGAGACACAGCAGAACGATTTCACTATTATTTCATTACTTCATTTTCTGTCAAAGAAAATGTCTTTTAAGCTAACACATCAATGAAATGAACTAAGAAGAAAATAAACGATATTTATCAACAGTAAGTGACACACTATGTCAAACCCTACTTTAAATATCAATGTAACCACGATCAGAGAAATTACATGCCAGAAACTCACCGGGTTTATATATATATACTAAACCACGTCAGAAATCTGCCCATTCCAGAACCAGAATATATCCAGAAGTCAGCCATTTATATGAGGAGGCATGTGGCAATCATTTCAAATAAAGGATAGCTAGATAAACTGCTAAACTTACCGAAGAATAAAGTAGGCAGACACATAAGGAGAGCTGCTTTCATTCACTTTAGGAACTGCTTATAAGGGGGAAAGCAGCTCCGGTGAGTTGGAGGTAATACTCTCCTTTACTCCTATTCTTATTTAGGCGTCATTAACAGCAAAGCATTTCTGTTTCTCTTCTATAAATTTTCTACTGCTGGTAAAGCCAGAGGCATATTCTGTGCAGACACATGCTAATTCTAAAGTCACGTGAATACTCCCTTTCTTTGATTATATAGTCTATCATTATGTAGACCTGCCATTGCTTAAGCACATAAAAACCTGAGGACAAAAAAGGCACTGTTGCTGCCATGGGAGTTTATAATCGGGTTAACAAGAAGGAAACAACAACAAAAAAAACATTAACATAAAAAGTCACTTAAAAATATTTGTAGGCATATATGACATGGAAAAAAATCAAGAATGAACAGGAAGTCTATGTTTGGCTAATTCCCTTAACGTCAAGGACAACATAATCCCTTTGCTACCCAACAGGCCCCTAAGGTGGAATCTTAAAAAATCAATCAATAAATAAAAGGAAACCAAAACTATTGAAGTATTACTACACATTTTCAAAAACACATGAGAAACACAATATTAAAGTACTTATCCTGCTGTCTCCTTTTTTATTGTAATAAAAGTAACAGAAAGGAAAACTCAAATACTTTATGTTTCTAGTCCATGACATTCTTGTTACTTTTACATTGGAAACTTCAGCTTTCTCCACATTTTCGGGATTTCGCAATGTGGAAACCTCAAAGATACTAGCTCTTTCAGTTTATTACCGTAGATATAATTATGGGTCACAGATACACTTGTATCTATGAAAAGAGATCCAGAGCATTACTATCGTCAAACAGCCAGCTAAAATGAAAATGTAATTGGGATTCTGTGCTCTGAAAAGTGCAGCATAATTTTATTTCAGTCTATCTCCCTAAGAAAATTCATGAAAGACACTTTGGACGTTTCATTTAGCTATTTGACAGTAAAGATGAAAACTACATCCAGAAATGAAGAAGAGAACACCAAATCTCAGAAATCTGTTCTACAGAAAAGTTATTGCCAAGTATATTCCTGTCAAAATACTACCTCATTATTCTAAATAACACAGAGGTCTTCATTCTACACTAAGTGTTTCCTTAAATTTTAGGTACAATTCACTAGTTTAAAATGAGCAACTATTCAGGAAATTTGTATGAACAAGTTAAAGGCCTCAATAATACCTAAAAGCAAATCATTTTACTCCCTCTGACATTACCTGATAATTGTATACAGGGAACTGATATCCAGTGGCGACTTGAAATGGTGAATTTGGATAAGCAGGAAATGCCTGAAAAGAAAGGTTCCAGAAAAAAATGAATACGGTAAACCATTTTTTTAAAATTAGAAAGAAATATAATTCTGAATATAACAAACATAGGTAAAATATTGTTTTTCTACATACAATAATGCAGAATTCTAAATGAATGACTGACTTTATGAAGAAAGAAAGATTCTATGACAAGTGCTACACTTTGGGAGTGAAGGGGGAACTAATGACAAAAGAATTGACTATTTCACCAAAGTTTACCTTATACTGTGTACTTATTCACACCCAGAAGTTATTTCTTACACTGGTGGTAAGGCTCCATTAAGAGAGATTGCAAGGTAAGTTAAATTAATACATTTGCTATTTCCCTGTCAGAATATTTCTAGACTGTTTTGTATCAGACAATATTATAGGACAATATATAGTTTGACAGATGTTATGGCTTTGTCTGTACTTCACTACGAAAAACTAAGTGCAGTCTATAATCCAATACTGGACAAGAGAAAGTATAATGTCTTATATATTTCAAAAAATTTTTATTATCTGAAAACATACAGGTAGCAGCATACATGAATACACCCAGATTCAGTAATCGCTCACAGTAAATGACAGAAACAAGTAAGGCTTTTTTTCTAGCCATTGTTCAGAGAAGGAAAAAGAAGAGGTATACCATACATGTTTCAAGTACATGGAAAATATCACGAAATTAGAGACAACCGCAGAACTATTTCACTATTATTTTGTTACTTCATTTTCCATCAAAGAAAATGTCTTTTAAGCTAACACATAAATAAAACGAACTAAGAAGAATATAAAGGTTAGTTATCAACATTAAGTGATGGAGTATGTCAAACCCTACTTTAAATATCAGTGTAACCAGAATCAGAGAAATTAGACGCCAGAAGCTCACGGGGTTTATATATATACTAAACCACATCAGAAATCTACCCATTCCAGAAGAAGAATATTTCCAGAAGTCAGCAATTTATATGAGGAGGCATCCGGAAATCATTTCAAATAAAGAATAGCTAGATGAACTGCTAAACTTACCAAAGAATAAAGTAGGCAGACACATAAGGGGAGCTGCTTTCATTCACTTTAGGAACTGGTTATAAGGGGGAAAGCAGCTCCGGTGATTTGGCGGTAATACTCTCGTTTACTCCTATTCTCATTTAAGCGTCATTAACAGCAAAGCATTTCTGTTTCTCTTCTATAAATATTCTATTGCTGGTAAAGCCAGAGGCAGATTCTATGCAGATACATGCTAATTGTAAAGTCACATGAACACTACCTTTCTTTGATTATATAGTCTGTCATTATATGGACCTGCCATTGCTTAACCACATAAAAACCTGAGGGCAAAAAAGGCACTCTTGCTCCCATGGGAGTTTATAATCGGGTTAACAAGAAAGTAACAACAACAAAAAAATTAATATAAAGAATCACTTAAAAATATTTATAGGCATATATGACATGGAAAAAAATCAAGAATGAACAGGAAATCTATGTTTGGCTAATTCACTTAACGTCAAGGACAACATAATCCTTTGCTCCCCAACAGGACCTTATGGTGGCATCTTAAAAAAAAAAAAGAAAGAAAAAGAAAGAAAAAAAAAGGACACCGAAACTATTATATGTATTCCTACACATTTTCAAAAACACATGAGAAATACAACATTGAAGTACTTATCCGGCTGTCTCCTTTTTCATTATAATAAAAGTAACAGAAAGGAAAACTTAAGTACTTTATGTTTCTAGTCCATGACATTCTTGTTACTTTTATATTGGAAACTTCACCTTTCTCCAAATTTTCGGGAGTTGGCAAGGTGGAAACCTCAAAGATACTACCTCTTTCAGTTTCTTACCATAGATGTAATTATGGGTCATAGATATACTTGTATCTATGAAAAGAGATCCAGAGCATTACTATCTTCAAACAGCCAGCTAAAATGAAAATGTAATTGGGATTCTGTGCTCTGAAAAGTGCAGCATAAATTTATTTCACTCTATCTCCCTAAGAAAATTCATGAAAGTCAGTTTGGATGTTTCATTCAGCTATTTCACAGTAAAGATGAAAACTGCATCCAGAAATAAAGAAGAGAACACCACATCTCAGAAATCTCTTCTACAGAAAAGTTATTGCCAAGTATATTCCTCTCAAAATACTACTTCATTACTTCTAAATAAGACAGAGGTCTTCATTCTACACTACTTCTACGTGTTTCCTTAAATTTTAGGTACACTTCACTAATTTAAAATGACCAACTATTCAGGAAATTTGTATAAACAAGTTGAATGCCTCAGTAATACCTGAAAGTAAATCATTTTACTCCTTCTTACATTACCTGATAATTATATACAGGCAACTGATATCCAGCAGTGACCTGAAATGGTGATCTTGGATAAGCAGGAAATGGCTGAAAAGAAAGGTTGCAGAAAAAAATGAATATGGTAAACCACTTTTTAAAATTACAAAGAAATATAATTCCCAATATAACAAAAATATTACAAAAGGTAAAATATCCTTTTTCTACGTACAACAATGCAGAATTCCAAATGAATGACTGACTTTATGAAGAAAGAAAGATTCTAGGTCAAGTGCTACACTATGGGTGTGAAGGGGGAACAAATGACAAAAGAATTGACTACTTCACCAAAGTTTACCTTATACTGTGTACTTATTCACACCCAGACGTTATTTCTTACACTGGTGGTAAGGCTCCATTAAGAGAGATTGCAAGGTAAGTTAAATTAATACATTTGCAATTTCTCTGTAAGAATATTTCCAGACTGTTTTGTATCAGACAATATTATAGGGTAATATGTAGTTCGACAGATGTTATGGCTTTGTCTGTACTTCATTACAAAAAACTAAGTGCAGTCTATGATCCAATACTGGAGAAGAGAAAGTATAATGTCTTACATGTTTCAATAAATTCTTATTGTTTGAAAACATACAGGTAGCAGCATACATGAATACACCCAGAATCAGTGATGCCTCACAGTAAATGACAGAAAAAAGTAGGACTTTTTTTCTAGCCATTGTTCAGAGAAGGAAAAAGAAGAGGTATACCATACAAGTTTCAAGTACATGCAAAATATCAACAAATTAGAGACACTGCATAACTATTTCACTATTATTTTGTTACTTCATTTTCCGTCAAAGAAAATGTCTTTAAAGCTAACACGTCAATAAAATGAACTAAGAAGAATATAAACGTTATTTATCAACAGTAGGTGACAGAGTATGTCAAACCCTACTTTAAATATCAATGTAACCAGGATCAGAGAAATTAGATGCCAGAAGCTCACGGGGTTTACATATATATACTAAACCACATCAGAAATCTACCCATTCCAGAACCAGGAAATATCCAGAAGTCAGCAATTTATATGAGGAGGCATCTGGAAATCATTTCAAATAAAGGATAGCTAGATGAACTGCTAAACTTACCGAAGAATAAAGTAGGCAGACACATAAGGAGAGCTGCTTTCATTCACTTTAGGAACTGCTTATAAGGGGGAAAGCAGCTCCGGTGATTTGGAGGTAATACTCTCGTTCACTCCTGTTCTTATTTAAGCGTCATTAACAGCAAAGCAATTCTGTTTCTCTTCTATAAATTTTCTATTGCTGGTAAAGCCAGAGGCTGATTATTGGCAGATACGTGATAATTCTAAAGTCAAGTGAATACTACTTTTCTGTGATTATATAGTCTATCATTATGTGGACCTGCCATTGCTTAGGCACATAAAAACCTGAGGGCAAAAAAGGCACTCTTGCTCCCATGGGAGTTCATAATCGGGTTAACAAGAAAGTAACAACGACAAAAAAATTAATATAAAGAATCACTTAAAAATATTTATAGGCATATAGGACATGGAAAAAAATCAAGAATGAACAGGAAGTCTATGTTTGGCTAATTCACTTAACGTCAAGAACGGAATCCCTTTGCTCCCCAACAGGCCCCTATGGTGGCATCTTAAAAAAAAAAAAAAAAAAAAAAAAAGGACACCAAAACTATTAAAGTATTCCTACACATTTTCAAAAACTCATGAGAAACACAATATTGAAGTCCTTATCCTGCTGTCTCCTTTTTTATTATAATAAAAGTAACAGAAAGGAAAACTTAAGTACATCATGTTTCTAGTCCATGACATTCTTCTTACTTTTATATTTGAAACTTCATCTTTCTCCAAATTTTCAGGAGTTGGCAATGTGGAAACCTCCAAGATACTACCTCTTTCAGTTTATTACCATAGATATAATTATGGGTCATAGATATACTTGTATCTATGAAAAGAGATCCAGAGAATTACTATCTTCAAACAGCCAGCTAAAATGAAAATGTAATTGGGATTCTGTGCTCTGAAAAGTGCAGCAGAAATTTATTTCACTCTATCTCCCTAAGAAAATTCATGAAAGTCAGTTTGGATGTTTCATTCAGCTATTTCACAGTAAAGATGAAAACTACATCCAGAAGTAAAGGAGAGAACACCACATCTCAGAAATCTCTTCTACAGAAATGTTATTGCCAGGTATATTCCTCTCAAAATACTACTTCATTACTTCTAAATAAGACAGATGTCTTCATTCTACACTAATTCTAAGTGTTTCCTTAAATTTTAGGTACACTTCACTAGTTTAAAATGACCAACTGTTCAGGAAATTTGTCTAAAAAAGTTAAAGGCCCCAATAATACCTGAAAGCAAATCATTTTACTCCCTCTTACATTACCTGATAATTATATACAGGCAACTGATATCCAGTGGTGACCTGAAATGCTGAATCGGGATAAGTAGGATATTCCTGAAAATAAATTATACAGAAAGAATGAATTAATACGTTAAAACATTATTTTTAATTAGGAAGAATTAGTCCCAATATAACAAAACTATGAAAAATTTCGAAATACTAATTATTTTTCTATCTGCAACAATGTAGAATTGTAAGTGACTGACTGATTTATGAAGAACGTATTATTCTCGGTCAAGTGCTATGGTTGGGCGTGGAGGGGGAACAGACAAATGTCAAAAGAACTGGCTATGACACCAGGCAAAGTTAACCTTACTTATATTGTGTACTTATGCCCACCCAGAAGTTATTTCTTGCACTGGTGATAAGGCTGCATTAAGACAGAGTTCAATGTAAGTTAAATTAATACATTTGCTATTTCCCTGTAAAAATGCTTCCAGACTGATGTGTATTTGACAATATTATAAGGTAATACGTAGTTCTGCAGAATTTACGGCGTTTTCTGTACTTCATGTTGAAAAACTAAGTGCAGTATAGAATCCAATACTGGAAAAGAGACAGTATAATGTCTCATATGTTTCAATAAATACTTATTGTTTCAACACATATAGGTAAGCAGCATGCATCAATACACCCAGATTCAGTAATGGCTCACAGTAAATGATAGAAGTAGGGCTTTTATTCCAGCCATTGTTCACAGAAGGAAAAAGAAGATGAGGTATACCGTACATGTTTCAAGTACAGGGAAAATGTCAACAAATGAGAAACACTGAATATAACTACTTCACTACTATTCTGTTACTTTATTTTCCATCAAAGAAAATGTCTTTTAAACTAAGATATAAATAAAATGAACTAAGAAGAAAATAAACGTTATTTACCACCAGTAAGTGACAGAATATGTCAAATCTACTTTAAATAGCAAACTAACAAGGATCAGAGACACTACATGCCAGAAACTTGCGGGATTTACAGATACCTAAAACATATCAGAAATCTACCCATTCCAGAACCAGAATATATCTGGAAGTCAGCAATTTAATATGCAGAGGCATCTGGAAATCATTTCAAATAAAGAATACCTGGATTAACTGCTAAACTTAGAGAAGAATAAAGCAGGCAGACACATGAGGAGAACTGCTTTTAAATATTTTAGTTATATGGGGGAAAGCAGCTCAGGTGTTATAGAGGTAATACTCTTTTTAATCCTATTCTTATTTAAGAGTAATTAACAGCAAAACATTTCTGTTTCTTTTATGAAATTTTTTATGGTTGGTACATCCAGATGCAGATTCTCATCAGATACATGCTATTCTAAAGCCAAATTAATACTACCTTTCTTAGATAAAGCCACATTAGGACTACCTTTCTTAGATTAAATAATCTATCGACAAGTAACTGAACACTTGTCATAATTTGGAGAAGCCATTGCTTAAGCATACAAAAACCTGAGAGAGAAAAAGGCACTGTTTCTCCCATGGGAGATTATAATTGGGTTAAAAAGAAAGTAACAAAACGTTAACACATCAATATAAAGAATCATTAAAAATATTTATAGGCATATGTGCCACACAAAAAATCAAGAAAGAAGAGCAGGTATATGTTTCACTCATTCGCTTTACCGGAGGAACAACATAACTCCTTTGCGCCCCAACAGGCCAGTGCAGTGGAATCTTAAATTAAAAAAAAAAAAAAAAAAAAAAAAGTAACCAAAATTATTTAAATACTCCTACACGTTTTCAAAAACACATGAGTTACATAATATTGGAGTATTTATCATGATGGCTCCTTTGTTATAATAAAAGAAACAGAATAGAAAAAAGAAGTACTTTAGGTTTCTAATCCCCAAAGTTCTTGTTGTTACTTCTACACAGAAAACCTCACCTTTTTCCCAATTTTATGGAAACAGAATTGTGGAACCCTCAAAGATATTAATTCTTTGAATTTGTTACCACAGATACAATTATGGGTCACAGATAATAGTTGTACCATTGAAAAGAGACCCAGAGAACTGCTATCATGAAGCAGCAAGCTAAAATAAAAATACAACTGAAATTCTGTGCTCTAAGAATTCGGTAAAGCTTTTATTTCACTCTGTATCTCTACAAGATTCAGGAAAGTCAGTCTGGATGTTTCAGCTCTTTGACAGCAAAGATAACAAAATACATGCTGAAACAAAGAAGGGAACACCAAATCTCAGAAATTGTTCTACGGAAAAGTTATTGCTAAGTACCCTCCTGTCAAAATCTTATTTCATCACTTCTAAATAAAACAGAGGTCCTCATTACACTAATTCTAAGTGATTTCTTAAATTTTAGGTACAGTTCACTAGTTTAAAAGGACAACCTATTCAAGCAATTTGTATAAGCAAGTTGAGGCCTCAATAGTAGCTGAAAGTAAATCATCTTACTCCCTCTTCAATTACCTGATAATTATATACAAGCAACTGACATCCAGTGATGACCTGACCTGGTGAATGTGGATAAGCAGAGTAAGCCTGAAAATAAAGTTTACAGAAAGAATGGATTAATACGGTAAAACATTTTCTTTAACTAGAAAGAAATATCATTCCCAAAATAACAAAAATACGAAAAACCTTGAAATGGTAATTATTTTTCTACATACAGAAATACAGATTTCTAAATGAATGACTGACATGAAGAAACAAATATTCTCTGTCAAGTGCTACCCTTTGGGCGGGGAGGGGGAAGAGACAAATGACAAAACAAGTGACTGTTGCACCGGCCAAAGTCTACCATATTTATACTGTGTACTTATGCCCACCCAGAAGTTATTTCTTACGCTGCTGATAAGGCTCTATTAAGATAGATTTCAACGTAAGTTAAAATAATACATTTGCTCTTTCTTTGGCAAAATACTTCTAGACTGTTTGCTATCTGATGATATTATAGGGTAATACTGTAGTTCTTCGGCAGATGTTACGGCTTTCTCTGTACTTCTTTTCCACAAATTAAGGGCAGTAAGTAAGCCACAGCTGGAAAAGAGACAGTATAATGTCTTCTACTTTTCAATAAATACTTACTGATTAAAAACATACAGGTAGCATCATTCATCAATACACCCACATTCAGTAATGGCTCACAGTAAATGCTACAAACAAGTAGGGCTTTTCTTCTAGCCATTGCTCAGAGAAGGAAAAAGAAGAAGAGGTGTACCCCACACGTTTCAAGTACATGGAAAATGTCAACAAATGAGAGACACTGAAGAACTAATTCACTACTATTTGGTTACTTTATTTTCCATCGAAGAAAACCTCTTTTTAAAAACTAACACATAAATAAAATGAACGAAGAACAAACTAAACGTTATTTATCACCAGTAAGTGACAAGAGTATGTCAAATCCTACTTTAAATATCAAAGCAACCAGCATCAGAGAAATTACGTGCCAGAAACTCACGGGATTTCTAGATAGAGCAAAAGAGATCAGAAATCTACCCATCCCAGAACCAGAATATACCCAGAAGTCAAGCAATTTATATGAGGAGGCATCTGGAAATCACTGCAAGTAAAGAATAGCTAGGTTAACTGCTAACCTTAGAGAACAATAAACTAGGCAGACACATAAGGAGGGCTGCTTCCAAATACTTTAGGAACTAGTTATATGAGGTGAAAGAGGCAGAGATAGGAAGAGATTTGTTCATGTGTCTACAGAGGTCATTTCTAAGAGAAAGCTTCGCCAAGTATACAGAAGATTCTTAGCTCAAATGACGAACACGAAGAATAAGAAATTTCTAACAAAAGTAACAGATTTCCCGTTACTCACACTGTTCAAACAGGGATTCTATTGCCACTTACTATGGAAAGTGTAGATACAATTCCACAGAGGGAAGGATGACTAGAATAAACAAGAGAACAGGAACATAAGCAGTTCTTACCTGAACGTGCTGAGTTACAGGATTCGGCGTGATTTGGGGCTGCAGGTAGGTTTCAGTGTTTGGATTCCGCCAGACGTTCTGAAACTGTGGTGGAGGAGGAGGATTAACTACCAAAGGACGTGGCTGCACATGACGAGCACCTTTTTAAAAAGCAAGAAGAAAAAAGCCTATTTTTAGTTATTTGAAAAGCTACACAGGTCAGAAAAGAACCATTTCTTTTCCTACTCACATAACTTTTGTTTCCTGATTGCAGGGCCCAGCTTCAGCTTTTTACCATGGAAATGTATCTGTGACTGAAAATAGAACCGTTAACAAAACTAGAATCAATTTTCAAGTGTTAGCTTCCAAGACTTGGGTAAACACCTGAAGTCTTCTAAAGTACCTATCATCATAGAAGATCGGGGACAACTACGCACCAAATTAAAATTTGTCATCACGAAGCTACCTTACTTACCCTTACTACTCTAATCAGTGTCAAGAGGCATCAAGTGAAAGTTGATCAAAAACTTTCCATCACCCTGTCTCCAACCCTTCCTGTCTGTAGTTCATGAAACTAGGTGTCCAGTCAAAAATAAACAGGATCAAACAAGCTACGTGAGGTTACTCTGAGTTTGGATTTTGAACAGGAAGTGTGTCTTTCCCCAAATTTTACACAAGTCCGAGTGTATCACTGACACTAAACGTTGTAGCAATAAGATAAATAAGAGATTTTTCTATTAGATTACTTACTCCTACTATCTTCTGGACATCCACGTCATTAACAAACGAAACAAATCCATAGCTATAAAGGCAGACAAATGAAGCATAAAATCACCATCATACAGTACGTGGTTCAGAAGGTCTACTATTCTATATACAGAAGTGATCATGACAAAAGACGAATAATATACCATGATAAGTATTTGCTAAGATGTACATGACAGATCCTCTACAAATACCACTTTTTCTTAAGCAGAACTATGTCAAAATGTGCTAGGATTAGGGCAGTGTGACAACTTTATTGATTAGCAAAGAATTCATATCTGTGAACCTGAGTTTAACTTACTGTCTAAGACAAGGTGGTTAAAATTTAAGATGCTCTGCAGTGTATGAAGAAAACAATTATTTGAGAAAACTGATTAACTCATCTGTATGAAATAGAAACTGGAGACATTTAAATACAAACATTAGAAAAATGGTCAAATAGAAGAACTGGTAATAGCCTTTTATCCCCTACGTGAAAGAAATTAACACTGCAGAATATTGCATTTATACAAGGGTCAGAATATCAGTTTTGAAGTCTTGTCTGATACTTATAGAATAGGTGACTGGAGTTCACATATTTTTGATAAAATTACTCACCCTTTGGACACACCAGTTCGATTCGTGATTATCTTCACTTCTTTCACTGAACCGTATCTACCAAAGCAGCTTCCAATCTCAGTTTCATCCATCTATGGAAAAGAACTGAACGTCAGAGTAAAAATTCAGCATTCAAAAATTTCAACTTTACTACAATTTTACTACCATGAGGTGGAAATTTCTCCCCCATTTATCCCCGAATGACCAGCAGCCCTTTGTCAAAGATATTTTTAGTACCTATGGGTCAAACCTAAAAGCAATTCTAAACCTCCAGGAAGTACAAAAAAAAATTTAAGTTTGTAACAGGGCCCACATCCCATTGTTCATGATGTATGTTAAGGTAAAAATGAGGTACGAATACAATACCCTAGCATCAATTCCACCAACAAAAACAGTGTTTGGCACGATTTTGCCTTCTGGTAACACCCAGCCTTGGCTAGCTGCAGCTGATGAAGACTGGGTGCTGGCCTCTCTGGAGATGGTTGAGTTTGGAGTCTCAGGATTTGCAGCAGACTGTAATTTGGAAAGTAGACATCATAATTACGTATGCAGGCAAAACCCATACATAATGTGAAATACCATTTTTGTATTTTAAGTATATTTTACATAAATTACTTTCATTGTAATTCAGTCACCAGTGCAGCTCAGTTCAGGCTCAGGATTTAAACTTATCAGAGTACATCAGCATGGAATTTTAACCGAAGGATACAGTACTTTCTTAAACCTAGTGCCGCTCATCACCGAGTCTTGTATAATGCTGTGGAAGAATACCCATTTAGTATTTGTGAAAGTACTACGTGAAGTAGTTAAAAAAGACACCCAAAACTAGAGAGTTTAGATTTGTAAAAATTAAAGTTATTAAAATCATCCTGTTCTATATTCATAAACAACTTTTCACTTTACTGAGTAGACTAAAGATAAATCTTAAAAAAAAAAAAAAAAAAAAAAAAGCCCCACCAAAAAGAAAATAAGCCTCAACGTTTTAAACCAATTTGTTACAATCCTCTTCCCTAACGCTAGGGTGTTCAAAGCATCTTTTGAAATAACATTTTTCTTCCTGAGTAACACGGAATCAGTCTGACTGATAATTCTGATTTTCACAGTGGGCTGATAGATATAAATGATACCATCTTTATTTTCAGATAAAAAAACACATACATATAACTCACTAATTTTCTAGATTCTGATCAGAACTGTCTTTATTCTTTCCACAGCAGACTCTAAGGTTAATGTAAAATTTTCTGAAGTAGTATTCATAAGTAATATATACGTTGGAGAAACAATATAGCATAGTGAAACAAAAATTAATTCAGTCAGGAGATCTAGGTTTATGTCCCTTACAGGTAAGTGGTTATAAGCCACCTACTTGCCAGCTATGTATCTGTGGGCAAAGTGCTTTGAGAATGACATGAGATCACATCTGTGAATTCATTTTGTACGTATAAAGTGGTACAAGTGGTGTGCCAATGTAAGTTAGTGTCCTGTTATTTGAATTTATTTTCAGCCGATTTGTTTTCAAGTTTCTTTTTTGGCTTCACTATTTAGCTGACTTATTTTGAAAAAAATTTTAATTAAGAACTAATTGACACATCAGGAAACTATGACACATCATTAATTTAAAAATCATTGGTGAAGTGCTGTTGACTTCACAAATGTCAGTACAAAATGCTGCAAAAGAGAAAGCTATTACACATATACCTGTCTGAAAGAAAACAAAAGACAAAAGAAACTGCGTTATCTTTTAGAACACAGTAATGTTACAGAAGTTAATAAGAAAGGAGGGTTCCTGCTTTGTTAATTAGAGCCTAGAAGTTACTGATTCTACACAGCTTTACTAGAGATCAAATCTAAATTGTCAAATCAACTAAAGCCGAGGTTACTGCATTTCTCTATTCTTTCGTGCTTGTACTTGCTATTTTGGGTTTGTAACTAATTCCTAATTCTTTCCTTTAACAGCGTTATTTCATGACAATGATGTGAAAGAAAAATTTAAAACACTGTTTTTAAAGTTCTTCCTTTCAAAAATGTCTCACATTATTGTTTTTTCCAAATGACATTAAGCTGCACTACCTTGAACTACTGGGAACCTGATTAGATCTCCCTTCCCTATAGACAATTTACCAATTCCTTCTCAGTTCATTCAGAAATCCCAAACAGAATAAAACAAAACAAAACAAATTCTGAAATTCTTGTAGTTTCTTTTTCTCCTTTCCAATTCCTCCTTGATTTGTGGATGAACTTTGGGTACGTGTTTCCTTGATAAACAAGCTATATTACAGTATCGTCTCTGCACCATAGTGTTTGGATGTATTTTAATTTAGAAATGTAACATCTGGCAGAAAACTGTGTCAGACTACGAGAGGTTATGGAAATGCACTGATTCTCAACTGGGCAAGATTTTTGAGCCCCAGGGGCATTTAGCGACGTTTAGAGATTGGCTGTCACAACTGAGATGTATTCCTGGAATCTGATGGGCCGAAGGCCAGGCACACTACTGCGCATCCTACAGTGTAAAGACAGCCTCCTACCATAAGGAAGTATTTGGTGCACAATTTGAAAAGGGTCTGGTTAAGAAACCTTGTCACCGTGCCACAAGAATTGAAGAGGAAAATTCTTCTTTGGGAAGAACCTGATTTCCATCGCTCACTAAAGTGAATCTTTTCATGACCTCGGTTTCAGTTTCCTTGCTTGAAAACGAATGGCCGGAAAAGACCTCGGGTGTCTCTTCTGATTCTCATACTCATTTGGATACTCGAAATAACCGTAGTTTGGTAAAGAAGAAAAAAGGCATTTGATATTATTAAGAAGTTTGACTTTAGCTTGGATCTTACAAACCGGCTGCCTGCTTAACTGGAATCGTACATATAAAATTCACTGAATCTCTCTAATAGCGTCATAATACTTTAAATGAAGGAAGTAATGATCATGTCCTAGTCCTCAGCCAGCAGGTGGCGCTCAAAGCTAACAAGGTAAGCAATGTACCTCGTTTTCTGCAACGTACTTCACTTTTACCATGGCTCGAGTAGCAGGGATTGTTCAATTCCGACTGTGTACTTATACATAATTATATAATGTATATATAAAAATCCACAATCAACAGACAAACTTTGGTTAGTTTTAAACTACGGCCAAAAATATAAATGAATGCTTCGGATAAGCAAAAGTTTAGTTTGAAAGAAAGTACCATCGTAACCGTCAATGGCATCCTGAAAACAAACTGCATTAAAGAAGTAATTTTCTTGGCCGGGCGCGGTGGCTCACGCCTGTAATCCCAGCACTTTGGGAGGCCGAGGCGGGTGGATCATGAGGTCAGGAGATCGAGACCATCCTGGCTAACAAGGTGAAACCCCGTCTCTACTAAAAATACAAAAAATTAGCCGGGCGCGGTGGCGGGCGCCTGTAGTCCCAGCTACTCGGGAGGCTGAGGCAGGAGAATGGCGTGAACCCGGGAAGCGGAGCTTGCAGTGAGCCGAGATTGCGCCACTGCAGTCCGCAGTCCGGCCTGGGCGACAGAGCGAGACTCCGTCTCAAAAAAATAAAATAAAATAAAACAAACAAACAAACAAAAAAACACAAAACACAAGAAGTAATTTTCTTAACCGTATCTTCAAGTGAGTTGTTGAATTTTCAAATGAGAAATGTTGCAATAGTAAACAGGGGTGAGCTTCAAGACCGTCATAATCACAACTCTCATTGCTATTTCTAGCAAACATATTCCTTGTTATATGCGGACAATCAAGTGACAAAGACAGCTAAAAGCTGGAAAAAATTATCATTAAACTCCTGCCATGTCAGCTCCTCTGCCAGTATTATCTAATGCAATTACTATGTGAACATGTAAGCAAATTGTTATTTACATAAACTGGCCAGGAAAAAGCCTATCATTTGTAGTCATCAAAGTTACATTCACAGCAATAGGAAGAGGAGCAAATAAAGAGAATGCTAAAATTAAGAAAATATGACGTGAAAATCAGAAGTTAATCCAAGAACAGAGTCCCGGGGAGTGGTGGGTGGCAAGGATGAAATTCAAGCAATACACAATCCTTGCAAAACTAAGCAAGAAAAAGCAAAAATATATGAGACCTGAAAAATGGGTTGTGGCCCGTGGTTATAAAAGAATGTTATGCTCAAACTCTATAGGAATAAATTTTGAAATCAACGACATGGTCAACTTGTACAGAAATTTTAATTCTTCCCAAACAATCTTGAAAAAGAACACCCAATGGTATTTGGCTTAGTTTCCCTGGGAGTTTTTTCAACTTGTAAAGAAACAGGTAACTTGGGTGTATGTGGTGTGTCACAGAGAGGTGCACACAGACGCCAGAAACCTGAAGTAAAGATAGAAGAAGAGATTAAGAAATGTAAACTCTTTTCTTCAATTTTCAAAGAGGAAAAAAGTACTTCTCAATGCATTTTACAAAGGTTAACAACACATAAGCAACAAAGCCTCATCAAGATGGTCCAACCCTCTCCTCAACACAAATGCAAAATTCCAGTAGGAAAGAATATAGTTTATATTGGCAATGCAAGAATACTGCATTCGCAGGATACGTTACTTTAATTCATCATTGAAAAAGTATTTAATAAAATACAGCATTCATTTTTAAATTTTTTAAAAACCTAAGTAAAATAGAAATAGAGGATTCTTGCTTTCTATCAATCTAATTCTACCCTATCATGAAGCTTACAGTGAAATACTAGAGCCATCTCCACTGAAAATAGGAATAAGGTAAGGGCACCATGGCACCTCATCATTACTACTATATATATTTTCCCACTATGTATGACAAATGCGAATATTAATACAGGGTTTTTATGAGTCAGTAAGAAAAATAAAATTAAAAAAGGAAATTTAAAAAGCTAATGATCAATGCTCAACTTCACTGATGATTCAAAAAAGTGCACATCAACATAGTGTAACATTATCCAGCTATTAGGCTGACGATGTACAAAATCCTAATACCGTTCATTAGAAAGGGTGTGCAACAGAGATCACTCTACACACCATCAGTGGGAAAATACTGATACATGCTTTACCAAGAGCACCTTGGAAAAGGTGTATCATAATTTGACAGGGGGATACTCACCACTATACTAATGAGGAGCATAATTTAAAATTGTTATGAAAGGGCAAAAGCACTTCCACCCAGCAATGCCACTTACAGCAATTAATCTCAAGGAATTAATAATTAAGTACAAGTGTGCCAAGATATTTACACAAGGACATTCATGGCATTTTTTAAATTTTGTTTTGAGACTGAGTCTCCCTTTGTTGCCTAGGCTGGACTGCAGTGGCACCATCTCAGCTCACTGCAACCTGCTTCCCAGGTTCAAATGATTCTCCTGCCTCAGCCTCCCGAGTAGCTGGGATTACAAGTGCACGCCACCACGCCTGGCTAATTTTTCGTATTTTTAGTAGAGATGGGGTTTCACCATGTTAATCGGGCTGCTCTCGAAATCCTGACCTCAAGTGATCCGCCCGCCTCAGTCTCCCAAAGTGTTGGGATTACAGGCGTGAGCCACCGCGCCCAGCCCATGATAGTTTTAATACTGAAAAAGTATTCATCATAAGGGAATTCAGTAAAACAACAGTACAATTTTTAACATGATATACTGAAAATTAAAGTTATCTTCAGAATAATACCCACATTAATTGAAAGCTGCCAGTTGTAAAATAGTATTAAGCAGCACTATGTAACTTTTGTAAAAGCTGGCCTATCTATATGCAATTGCAATACATGCATAAAAATAAGTTGGAAAGGCATTCATGTATCAAAACTTAACTGTGGTTTTATGTGTTGGTATTAACATGGACTGCTATTTTCTTAGTGTGATTGTTTTCAAATGAGTAAATATACTACACTACTTTTATAATCAGGAAAAAAACCTAATGAAACGATAAGCATTTCTTCCCTCTACCTCTAAAAATGAAAAGTATTATTGTAAATAATTATAACTTATAACTCAAGGTGATTTTTTCATTAGCATGGGTAACATGTTGCACACTTATTACACATTATAGTTGCTTATGTATTTTTAATGTTTATACATGGTAATATAAACCGTGTATAAAACTCCTCCTTTTATTTCCAAAAACGAAAAGACAAAATTATCAATGCAGATACGCACACAGCATGTAACACGCGTGTTTGTGACTCAGTGTTTGGTCAGCGTATTCAGAGCCACATCTGTGATGGCGCTCAATGAACGCTGGGCATTTACCAAACTCACAGAAATGCACACCCAACATTATCTACCAATTGGACATTTAGTCAAAGTTTCCTGGTTTATCTACGGGGGAAAGATTGTGCCTGGAGTTTAAAAATTCTAAAATTCTCAATGGTAACTGCCGAAGCCAACCTCTTGCCACAAAGATGGCGTCGAGTGAGCTTTTGTGCCTGTCGCCGCCGCAGTAGGGAGCCGCCATCAGCCAGCCGCCATCAGCCAAGCCCCCAGCAGCTGCTAGCCGCGAAAGGATCAGAGGCACTTCCCACCCAGCCCCCTCAGCTAGTGGGCCGCGCCTTCAGGCCGCCCCACCCGCCACACTCAGGCCCCCACAAACCCCACCAACCCACCCCACCCAGTAGTACAAGGACCAGGAGGGAACCACTTCCTGAAGAAGTTCCGGCCCTCCCAATCCAAGGAGGCAAGTCTCTCAGCAGGCCCGCCGCCATCTTGCGGAGCCACCAGGAGAGCGTCAGAAGTGAAGTTGGCGGGGTGGGGGCGCGTGGGAGTGGGGGAAGGGGGAAAGGGCGCCTAGGAGTGGGGGTGGGGACGCGTGGGGGTGGGGAACCCGCACCCCAAACCGCTGCCAGGAGAGAACCCGGGGCAGGAAATGGGTTCCGCAAGGAGGCCGTGGCCCTTGTAAGTGAACTGTGAGGCAGGGCGTCCTGGGGACCCACGCCATGCTTGCTGTCCCGCCACTTCTGTGCCTGCCTCTCTGTATAGGCCGCGCTGCTGCCAGGCCGCCTCACCCCACCCTGCGGGCCACGGCTCCTAATGCATTCAGCGGGGTGGCCCCGAAACAGGAAAACCGAGGATAAGGCGGAGCCTGGTTTCACCCACCGGTGAAGACCCCACAGGCCTTGCCCCTCAGGTCTTTCCTTCAACTCACCATGGTGGTGGCAGGCAGCAGCTCCCGACAGGCTCAAGGAGGAACAGAGGCAGTGTTTCACCCACCACTTCTGGGTCTGCTGGTGAAGTCCGCTGGAACACGCTGTGGGGCTTCGAGTGGTCAAAGGAGCCAAAGGCTAAGGTGTAAGGAAAACCAAGGGCGGGCGAACCCTCGGAGGTAGAACCGCCAGGCTGAGGAGCGCAGGCCGACTGAGGCATGGACTGCGGGGCTCTGGGAGGTGGCTCCTGTGCCGGGTATCGGGGCGCGTGGTATCGGCCTGAGCCAATGGGTGGCAGCACACCCGCCCCCTGGAGGGTGGAGGCCTGCGGGGGATGACGGCCGTCCCCCACGCTGTGGGTGCGTAGAGTACGCAGGGTATGCCGTGCGTGTGTGCTGGCCAGTGCCTGGGTTCCAGGCAGGCACCGCCTCCAAAACACCCTTGAAATAAGTATGCATACTGAAATATATGGTATAGTTTTAAAAAATGATAATGTGTCTGGGCTGTAGTTTCAAAATGGCTTCCGGAATGCACAGGTTTAGCACAATCACTGTTAGCGTCACACCCACCCCAAAATCTTTTAAAGTACCTGCAGAAATAAATAGTAGCAAGTCTGTGGAAAACGGAGGGAGACATCAACAGGCCAGAAACTTGGACTCCTTTCTGTCAAGTTTGAGATATAAGGGGTTGGATGGGAGGGAACGCCAGTTTTGACATTCAGGATGTTCCTTCTTTCAAGAGATAGTTACTGAGTGCCTGTGATTACCAGGTACTGCAGATGCAGGAGTGAACAGAATAAAATAATATCTCTTTGCTCAGGGATTTTACATTTTAATGGAAGACTTCACCTTCTAGGACTTACAGAAAGACGCTAGGCCTGCCTAGAGACTTACAGAACATTCTCAAGATCAGAGCAAGGGCCTAGAGCGGGAGCAAGCTGTGGGGCAGGTGGTGGAGCCAATCACATAACTTTGGGGACCACTCCAGCACCTGGTTATGCACACAGGGCTACGTGGCTATGACCTTTATCCTCAAACTTCACTTCTGTACTGACGGAAAGAATTAAAATGTGACTTTTTGAACTGGCAAAATGCTGGACTGCTATAACGTGAGACGTGTCTCACTACTGACATCTAGTAATGCGGGATAAAAAAAAATAACGTTTTGTTTCCAATAGGCAGATAAGCCCATAAAAAAAGAAGGGAAATTCCAAGAACCAAAAATCAACTGAAAACCAGAGCAATGAATTGTTCAAATGATTGTTCTCCTGCCCTGGATATGGGGGCTGGGTTGTAGGGCAGCCAGTCATACTCGTTTGCCCAGGACTTACTGGTTTTAGCACTGAGAAATTCCTGCATCCCTAAGGAAACCAGAAGGATTGGTCCTCCTAGGTGTGGGCAAAATGTTACTCTCTCTAACTTGAGGTCTGGATGTTTAGGGGCAGGAGGTAAGGGCTCAAGGTGGGAGCTGGAACTGAGTACTCTGCAAAAAGCCATTGTCCCTAAAATCCTTAGGAAAAGGATGGAGTGGGGAAAATATAAATCACCCATGAACGAGCAGATGAGGAAGCTTGCCCCATCTCTGGATGAAGAAAATACGTATTTAACTCTCATTATATTTTAAAACCCTAGACCTGCATTTCATCAAAGTTTGGGGTTTAAATCTGTGACATATTATTGGAATCTGCAAGCCAAGAAATGGGTCCTCCTACACCATCACCCTCTCTCCTGCCTAAAGAGATCCTAGACATGGGGCATCTAGAATGCCTGGCAGAAGCAAACATAAAGCCGACTTGGATGAATCCTTCTACAACCTAGGCTGAAAGAAAATGATCCTTTAAGGACACGCTCACAGTAAAAATTTATACAACACTACTTATCTTGAATAAGAATGGCATACAAACAAGAAAGTTAAAACTTACAGAAGAAGCTTCTCAGTAGCAATAGAAACTAGAAGATAACAGTAATATGCTCACGTGTGTATGTGTTTTGTTTTGTGTTTTTTCTTTTTGTCACGTTATTTTTTTCCTCAACTTATTTGGAGTAATGCAGTCTATATTTTTAAGTGACTGTTTTACTATTTGAAAATGTAAACTTAAAATATAAAGCTAATACATAGCTTTACTCTCCTCTTGAATAATACAAAGGCCTTTAGGATGTTTTAGCTTTGGACACCCTCCCCTCTCTCAGTTTATATGTTATTCACTATTTTAGCTCTATCCTGGTTTCACCATATAAATTAGACATCGTTTTTTTAGACCCATCCACATATGTAGTAACATTTTGCTTACCATTTCTTTGCATATCTCAGATCTGCCTTCTGAATCATTTTCCTTACGCCTGTAGCAAATTCTTTATAATTTCCTTGTGTGACAGTGTGATGTGGTAAACTCTTGGGTTTTTTTCTACCTAAAATATTTTGATTTTTCCCTGTTGTTTCATAATTATACTGAATATATAATTCTAGGTTTAAAAGTATTTTCCCTCTCAGAATATTGAGCATATTACTCTGTTATCTTCTAGTTTCTATTGCAACTGAGAAATCTGCTGTCAGTCTTTTTGCTGTGTAAGATCAGTTTTTCTTTGGTGTTCTGAACTTTCACAATGATGTAAGTAGGTGTGGAGTTTTTAAAAATTTTGCCTGCTTAGGAGTTTTAACACTTTCTGGATTTGTGTATTAGTTCTTAACAGTTCTGAACAGTTTCACCCATTTTCTTGTTAAAGGTTAGCTGGTCAAGGGATCAAACATTATTTGTATTTTATATTTCATAAGTGATTCTTAGAATTTTCTTTAGATCATGAATTTTTTAAAGGCTGGTGCTGTTTTCTTGAAATCTTATGAAATCTCTTAAAAAATTTTTAGGATCAAAACTGATTGTATCCATTTCAATGTGTTAAGTAAGATTAGTGGCATAATTCGTATCAGCTCAGAAATAGATCTCTATATTTCTTCCTATATGCTGGGGGAGAAGAAAAAATGCTGGTGTCTTTGAACACCTCTGCCAGTTCTTCTGTGCTCCTAAAGCCTACGGCTTTGGAAAGAAGGCTACGTTTGTATAGGCACACTTGAATTTCAATCACTTGCAAATCATTTTCAAGATTTTTGTTTTATCTGCCCTGAGCGTCTATTATTATTTACCTGTTTTTAAAATTAACTTATTGTCCTAAACAATAACATTTGCAAGATCAGATGTACTGTTTTAGCTACATTTTAAACGGTGACATTAAAATAAATACAGAAAGATTCAAATTTAAAACACTGTTTGTTTATGCGTCACTTCATACCACATTCTGCCAGGTCAACAGGTAACATGGTTTTGGGAAACACTGGACTAGCAGAACTCCATAGAGCTTTAGATATGCAAAGTTAGGCCCAAGGGACTAAAGAGTAGAGTTTCAAATTGTTCTGCCTAATAAATGAGAATAATCAAATTACAAGGGGAGAAACCAAGCAAGGGGTTGGGGGGAGAAGTGGAAGTCCTGGAAGCTGGAGAAAAGAAGTAACCTTGCAGGTTGGCTTATTTGCTCACACCTGTAATTCTCACACTTTGGGAGGCTGAGCCCGATGGATCGCCCAAGTTCAGGTGTTTGAGACCAGTCTGGGGAACATGGGAAAACCCTGTCTCTACCAAAAATACCAAAAATTAGCTGGGTGTGGCAGTGTGCAGCTGTGGTCCCTGCTCCTCAGGAGGCTGAGGTGGGAGGATCATTTGAGTCTGGGAGGTGGCGGTTGCAGTGAGCCAAGATTGCCCCCACTGCATTCCAGCCTGGGTGACACAGTGAGACTCCTTCTCAGAAAAATGAAATTAACCTTGCAAAGAGACAAGAAGTTGGAGCCTGCAGTGAAAGATGTCTGAGTATATTAGAAACTTTTTTTTATATATGTTTTAAATAATTTATATTTTTTAAATATAATTTTAAAAATTATATTTATTGTTTAAATAAATTTAACTATTTTTTAAACAAATTTAAAAAATTTGTATGTCCGTGCCTCACCCCAAACCAACTAAATCAGCTGAGGGCAGGGCTCAGAAGTCAATATTTTTTTTAAGGAAATGTTTGTCTTGTTACTCCAATATGGGGCCAAATTTGAAAATTGGTGCTATTGGTGCTATGGAGGCTTGCTACTCAGTGTATGTAATCCTCAGATCAGCAACTTCACATCACGCGGGTGCTGTAAAATCTCAGGTCCCATGCCAAACCTACTGAATCAGAGTCTGCATTTTAACAAGATCTCCAAATGGCTCATGTGCACACTGACTGACGGTCAAGAAACATTGCCATCGAGAGCGCTTGTCATAAACAAGTTGCACCCCCCCTGGATCTGAGAATGCTTCACCTTATAAATAAATAGTCTACTTTCTCAGCCTTTCTTGCAGCTACATCTTGGGCAGGTAACCTACACAACAGCAGTGAGATGCACCCATCCCAAATTTTGAAGAGGGGACTGCTGATGCTGTAAAGAAGGGACTGCAGAGAATTCTTTCTGGAGAAGAGTATCAACAGCAGCAGCGGCAGCCATGGTATCGGTTAGAGCTGCGGTGGCCACTACTGTCAGTTGTGCAAGCCACGATGTAACTCAGTGCCCAGTGGTGACAGCTGAGGTTTCTTCACTGGACAAGTTCTGCGGCACGGTTTTGTGTGTCATTCCTGGAGACAACCTGGCTCTTTGGTTCATTTTGAGATTCTGTGGGCTAGTTATCCAATAAATTTTAATAAGTTGTTCTCCTGTTTAAACCAGCCAAAACTTCTGTGACTATTGCTTGCAACGAAGCATCTTGACTACATTAGGTGATGAGTGAGGTTAGCCAGACTGCTTTTAAAAAGAAGGTTAACAGCTAAAAGATTTATGACTCTTTACTGTGATTATGTAGCATACTGTCCTGCTATAGTGTCCAACCTTTACCAAGCTTCCAGTACACACACAAATGCCTTATGTCAGCGGTATTTTGTGAGGAGTGTCAAGGACACTGTCCGTTGCAACATGGGTCAGGGACAGCATGCTGATCCACAGCAAGATGATATGTAGATGAAATAATTCAGTAGGAACAGTAGCTTACAGCCAAAAGTGACCTGGAAAAGCAAAAATCATGAGCTCAGTATGCCCAGCAAGATAGAAAGAAATATGTGCTATTCCCATTGCATGTTAGCAGATGTTTAAACCAATTCCATTTAAATCTCAGGGTATGGTGCCTCATCTTCTGTTGGACCTGTATTCGTGTGGTCCAGCATAGCAACACACATCTCGTGTACACTTGTGCATACTTACAGATATGTCTATCAACTGAGCAACATTGGCTTAAGCCCTGCCTGTTCACCTTTAATCCTACTACCTGCAATAATAGTTTATTCAGTCAAAACTTAAATCTCCTAAGCAGATTGTCTGAATTTTGGGATTGGTCTGAAGCAAACGTGCATAATCTTCATGATGGCCTCTTGATTCTAAATATTAAATATTTAACTGAAAAATTATCAGTTTGTTAAAAGTAATAATATTGACACAAGGCACTGATACTGATACGGTGCATACTATGTACCAGGCATTATTGTAATCATTTTACTTCTAGTTCATCTAATCCTCATAACAATACTAGGTGCTATTATTATCTCAATTTTATGGAGAAGGAAGTAGAGGTACACAGAGGTTGGATAACTTGCCTGAGATCATAGTTGGTAGGCATCAGAGCTGTGATTTAAACCCAGTCAGACTTTAACATCTGAGTTCTCAACCAGTATGCTATATTAGCAAACTACATGGAGGAAGAAAGGGGTAATATAGTGGGACAAATTTATGTATTAAATGTCTTGTTCCCATGAGAGTAGCTAAACAAAGAAGCAAAACCACAAATCTAAGCCCTAAACAACACTATGGTCTGAATGTTTGCCCCCACTCAACCTCTCACCTGTACATATGTTGAAACTCTAGTCCCTGGGGTGATGGTATCAGGAAGCGGAGCCTTTGGGAGATGAATTAGGTCCTAAGGGCAGAGCGTTCGTGAATGAATGATGGTATTAGGAAGTGGAGCCTTTGGGAGACGAATTATGTCATGAGGCCAGAGCTTTGGTGAATGGGATTGATGCCCTTGTAAAAGAGGACTCGGGGAGCTTAGTTACTCCTCCTACCATGTAAGAATACAGCAAGAAGTTGGCAGTCTGCACCCCAGAAAAGTGTCCTCACCAGAACCTCACCGTGCTGACACCCTGGTCTTGGACTTGCCAGTCTCCAAAACTGTGAGATACAAATTTCTGTTGTTTATAAGCCATCCAGGTTCAGGTATTGTTATTATAAGAGCCTGAACAGATTAAGAAAGGTAGTACTGGGAGAGGGGTGCTGCTATAATAAATGCCTAAAACTATGGAATCAGTTTTGTAAATGGGTAATGGGTAGAGGCTGGAAGAGTTTTGACATGTATCCTAGAAAAATCCTACACTGCTGTGAACAGACCAGGCCATAAAGGGTGATTCTGATGAGGGTTCAGAAGGAGAAAAGGAGAGCTGTAGAGAAAACTTGACTCTTCTTAGAGAGTACCTAAGTAGTTGTGAAGAGACTTAGTAGAAATATAGACAGTAAAGACCATTCTGACGTGAGGAACATGTTATTGGAGACTAGAGGAAAGACAATCCTTGTTACAAAGTAGCAACAAACTTGGATAAATCATGTTCATGTACTATTGTTTTGTGGAGTATTGCTTTTACTATAGCAGCCTGAACAGATAATACTTCTATCTACACTAATGAATTGCTCCAAAACAATTGGCCCTTGAGGAGCCTATCTGCTTAACAAAAGTAAAATTTCCACATTTCCTTCTGAATTTTGCCTGTTAACAAATCTTTCAGTACTTTTTTCAAATGTTGGAATCAATCTCATCTCTACACCACTGACTGCCTACTCACACACATACTTCTCCCAGTTGCTTTGAAACTGCTTTTTCTGCATCAGGAGGCATCACTACTGAGCAAACTCTTGCAAATCACAAGTTGAACACTTGTGGAGAAAGCAGAGAGAAAAAGCTGGTATAACTCACTCTTCTTCCTTTCCTCATCCCTAATCATGCTAACCTTCATTTCCTTAGTTTTATTCTTTCTACATTCATTTTTTGTTTCTTATCCATTTTTGACAATACGAGTAATAGATAATATGTGCCCCTTTCTTTAAAATACTAAAAACATTCAGGTAGGCTTAAGTTACCTTTTGACCACCAGCTCTACATCCCAGATCCATTCCCAGAGATGGGTAGTTTGGTGTAAATCCTTTCAGATGTTTTTCTAGATGTTTCCTTTTATACACTTATAGGGAACATTTGATATTTGAACTTACAGAACATATTTACTAACATAAAATATGTGGCATTTTTATTATACTTGTAATAGAGAAATTATATTCATATAATAAGTACTATGTATATGTATACATATTGTAGAAAATGTATGCTTACACTATATATTTATACTTAGAGGGTATATAGAGGGAATATATATTATTTGGGGTATATGTTCTTGAACAAAAATGCTATTAAAATGTATGTAACTTGATTTTTTTCCTCCAAGAACATGACTCAGAAATACCTACATTAACAGGTAGATTTTTTTTCTTTTTTAGAAATGAGGTCTTGCTGTATTGCCCAGGCTGGCCTGGAACTCCTGGGTTCAAGTGATCCTCCCACCTCAGCCTATGAGTAGCTGGGACTATGGGGGTACACCATCACACCCAGTTACTCAGAAATTTCTAATGTCAGCACATATATATATACTTAATTCCTTTTAACTTTGGCATAATTTTACATAATATGGATATGCCACCATTATTAGCCATTCCCTGGTCAATGGACATTTAGGTCACTTGTGCTTTGTCGTAGTTATTAATAATATACAATGAACCTCTCTCATTGGAGCCAAATGAGTATTTATTTTTTCTGGGGGTGAACGCCAAGAGATATATCTGTCGGGTCATGGATATGCACATTTCAAATTTTAATAGATATCAGAAAATTGCCCTTTGAAGTGTTGTGCCAGTATGTACCAATTTACACTCCACCATTTGTGAGTTAGAGTCTTCATTTGTCTATTCACTTTCCAATATTGATATCACTGCTCTTTAATTTGCCAACCTGATGGTCAAGAAGTGGCATCTCATTTTCATTTTACTTTGGTTTTCCCTGATTGCTCATGGAGTTAAACTTTTTTCTACTGTTTGTTGACTGTTTGGATTCCTCATTGCTGAGAGACCTGTTCATAGCCTCCGGTCATTTTTCATTTGAGTTGCTTGTCTTTATCATATTGTTTTGTGGTAATCTGGCTTCTTTCATTTTTTTGTTTGTTTGTTTGTTTGTTGTTTTGTTTTCTTTTGTTTTCAGGCAGAGTCTGGCTCTGTTGCCCAGACTGGTGTGCAGTGGCGCGATCTTGGCTCACTGCAACCTCTGCCTCCCAGGTTAAACTGATTCTCCTGCCTCAGCGTCCAGTGTAGCTGGGACTACAGGCACACACCACCACGCCTGGCTAATTTTTGTAGTTTTAGTACAGATGAGGCTTCACCATATTGGTCAGGCTGGTCTCGAACTCCTGACCTCAGGTGATCCACCCACCTCAGCCTCCCAAAGTGCTGGGATTACCGGCATGAGCCACCACACCCAGCCAGCTTCCTTCTTTATCTTCCTCCTCAGTCCCTCAGGCAAAGGTGCAGCGGTATTGGTGCCTCTTTGAAGTTCCACTTCAGTGTGATGAACTACAGTTACATTTATTTTCAAGAATTTCTTTTCCTAAACTGGAGAAATTTAAGCCATGAATCAGAGAGAAAGGGAAATCTCTGGTGTAAACATTAACCACTGAAACTTTCAATGTCTTTGAACCCGTCAACTCTGCTGGACCTCTTTCTAAAAAACAGATGAGAGTTGTTACTCAAGTCAGTTAGCCCTTTAGTACTTTCAAACATTTTTTTTTTAGGAGCTCAAGGAATTGCCAGAGAGAAGGAGAACTGTTAGCTCTGATTTCTAAAGAGCTTTCCTAAATATTGATTGCATTTTTTAGGCAATGCGACAATCTCAAAGCACTTTGCTAAGGGCGACATTGTGTTGAGGTCTAACTGTTAAATTTCTCATCTTGCCCCGATTCCCTTAATTTACAATGAGAATATCTGTAGAGAAATGAGGTGAGACATCAGGTGAGTAAATACACATTAACAGGGGCAGCATTTACAGATTAGCAGGGAAGGTTCTGATGACAACTTGATTAATGCAAAACTAAATTAATCAATCTCTGATCACCACAAAAAGGAGCGGGTGAAATGTTTCTTTTTTCCTCATGAAGGATTTTTTTTTTTTCTGTGACTTACGTGGCATTGACTGAAAAAAAAAAAAGTCCACAATTTCAAAACCCTTTTGGCAAAAACTTTATGTACCTCTAGCTAGCATTTCAGCCTGCATTAGCAAGTACAAGGAACTGAAAGGACTAAAGAAGAGAATACAGTCAAAGGAAAATCATGGAATAAAGAAAAACCAGGCACAGAGATAATATACATAATTTTTAAAAAAAGGAAGGAAGTGGAGGGAAACCTTTTTTGTTATTTCCAATACCTAGTCAGTCAACAAGTTTTATTTTGTTTTGTTCCGTTTTTAAGAGACAGGTCTCGTTCTGTCAGCTAGGCTGGAGTACGGTGGTGTTGTCATAGCTCACTGCAGTCTCAAATTCCTGGGCTCAAGGGATCCTCCCACCTCAGCCTCCCAAGAAGCTAATACTATGGGTTCATGCCACCATGTCCAGTTAATTTTGTTTTCATTTTTGTATTTTTTGTAGAGATGGGGTCTGATATGGTTAGGCTTTGTGTCCTCACCCAAATCTCATCATGAATTGTAATCCCCATAATCCCGAAATGTCAAGGGAGACACCAGGTGGCGGTAATTGAATCGTAGGGACAGCTTCCCCCATACCGTTCTAATGATAATGAGTTCTCATGAGATCTGATGGTTTTATGAGGGTGTCTTCCCCCTTCCCTTGGCAGTTTTTCCTGCTACCTTGTGAATAAGGTGCCTTGCCTCCCCTTCACCTTCCACCATGATTGTAAGTTTCCTGAGGCCTCTCCAGGCATGCTGAACTGTGAGTCAATTAGACCATTTTTCCTTTGTAAATTACTCAGTCTTGGGCAGTTATTTATAGCAGTATGAAAATGGCCTAATACAGTAAGTTGGTATGACTGAGAGTGGGGTGCTGCTATAAAGATATCCAAGAATGTGGAAGCATCTTTGGAACGGGGTAACAGGCGGAGGTTGGAACAGTTTGGAGGGCTCAGAAGAAGACAAGAAAATGAGGGAAAATTTGGAACTTCCTAGAGACTTGTTGAATGTCTTTCACCAAAATGCTGATAATGATATAGACAATGAAGTCCAGGCTGATGTGGTCTCAGATGGAGATGAGGAACTTGTTGGGAAGCAGAATAAAGGTGACTATTGCTATAATTTAGCAAAGAGACTGGGAGCATTTTGCACCTACCCTAGAGATCTGTGGAACTTTGAGCTTGAAGGAGAAGATTTAGGGTATCTGGTGGAAGAAATTTCTCAGCAGCAATGTGTTCAAGAATTGACTTGGATGCTCCTAAAATCACTCAGTTTTATGCACTCATAAAGAGATGGTTTGGAATTGGAACTTATGTTTAAAAGTGAAATGGAGTGTAAAAGTTTTGAAAATTTGTAACCTCATGATGTGACAGAAAAGAAAGAAAAACCCATTTTCTGTTGAGAAATTTGAGCTGGCTTCAGAAATTTGCATAAGTAACAAGGAACCAAATGATAGTCACCAAGACAGTGGGGAAGATGTCTCCAGGGCATGCCAGAGAACTTCATAGCAGCCCCTCTTATTACAGACCTGGAGGCCTAGGGGGAAAAAATGGTTTCATGGGCTGGGCACAGGGCCTTGCTGCTTTGTGCAGTCTTGGGACTTGGTGCCATGCATCCCAGCCATGGGTAAAAGGGGATAACACAGAGCTCAGGCTATTGCTTCAGAGGCTGCAAGCCCCAAGCCTTGGCATCTCCCATGTGCTGTTGAGCCTGTGGGTGCACAGAAGCCAAGAAGTTAGGTTTAGGAACCTCTGCCTAGATTTCAGAGGATGCATGACAATGCCTGCATGTCTAGGGATCTGCCCCAGAATGGCACTGTGCTCCTGGAAAATACAAAATACATTCAATGCCAGCCTGTGAAAGCAGCCAGGAAGGGGGTTGTACTCTGCAAACCACAGGGGTGGAGCGCCTAAGGCCATGGGAACCCATCTCTTGTATCAGCATGATCTAGATATGAGACATGAAGTCAAAGGAGATCACTGCAGAGCTTAAGATTTGGCTGCCCTGAAGATTTCAGACTTTGCATGGGGTCTGCTGCACCTTCATTTTAGCCAATTTCACCCATTTGGAATGGGTGTATTTACTCAATGCCTGTACCCTCATTGTATCTAGGAAGTTACTAACTTACTTTTGATTTTACAGGCTCATACGTGAGACTTGCCTTGTCTCAGGTGAGACTTTGAACTTGGACTTTTGGGTGAAATGTTGGAACCTGGACCCAATGCTAGCTAGAGGTACATAAAGTTTTTGCCAAAAGGGTTTTGAAATTGTGGACTTTTTTTTTTTTCAGTCAATGCCACGTAAGTCACAGAAAAAAAAAAATCCTTCATGAGGAAAAAAGAAACATTTCACCCGCTCCTTTTTGTGGTGATCAGAGATTGATTAATTTAGTTTTGCATTAATCAAGTTGTCATCAGAACCTTCCCTGCTAATCTGTAAATGCTGCCCCTGTTAATGTGTATTTACTCACCTGATGTCTCACCTCATTTCTCTACAGATATTCTCATTGTAAATTAAGGGAATCGGGGCAAGATGAGAAATTTAACAGTTAGACCTCAACACAATGTCGCCCTTAGCAAAGTGCTTTGAGATTGTCGCATTGCCTAAAAAATGCAATCAATATTTAGGAAAGCTCTTTAGAAATCAGAGCTAACAGTTCTCCTTCTCTCTGGCAATTCCTTGAGCTCCTAAAAAAAAAATGTTTGAAAGTACTAAAGGGCTAACTGACTTGAGTAACAACTCTCATCTGTTTTTTAGAAAGAGGTCCAGCAGAGTTGACGGGTTCAAAGACATTGAAAGTTTCAGTGGTTAATGTTTACACCAGAGATTTCCCTTTCTCTCTGATTCATGGCTTAAATTTCTCCAGTTTAGGAAAAGAAATTCTTGAAAATAAATGTAACTGTAGTTCATCACACTGAAGTGGAACTTCAAAGAGGCACCAATACCGCTGCACCTTTGCCTGAGGGACTGAGGAGGAAGATAAAGAAGGAAGCTGGCTGGGTGTGGTGGCTCATGCCGGTAATCCCAGCACTTTGGGAGGCTGAGGTGGGTGGATCACCTGAGGTCAGGAGTTCGAGACCAGCCTGACCAATATGGTGAAGCCTCATCTGTACTAAAACTACAAAAATTAGCCAGGCGTGGTGGTGTGTGCCTGTAGTCCCAGCTACACTGGACGCTGAGGCAGGAGAATCAGTTTAACCTGGGAGGCAGAGGTTGCAGTGAGCCAAGATCGCGCCACTGCACACCAGTCTGGGCAACAGAGCCAGACTCTGCCTGAAAACAAAAGAAAACAAAACAACAAACAAACAAACAAACAAAAAAATGAAAGAAGCCAGATTACCACAAAACAATATGATAAAGACAAGCAACTCAAATGAAAAATGACCGGAGGCTATGAACAGGTCTCTCAGCAATGAGGAATCCAAACAGTCAACAAACAGTAGAAAAAAGTTTAACTCCATGAGCAATCAGGGAAAACCAAAGTAAAATGAAAATGAGATGCCACTTCTTGACCATCAGGTTGGCAAATTAAAGAGCAGTGATATCAATATTGGAAAGTGAATAGACAAATGAAGACTCTAACTCACAAATGGTGGAGTGTAAATTGGTACATACTGGCACAACACTTCAAAGGGCAATTTTCTGATATCTATTAAAATTTGAAATGTGCATATCCATGACCCGACAGATATATCTCTTGGCGTTCACCCCCAGAAAAAATAAATACTCATTTGGCTCCAATGAGAGAGGTTCATTGTATATTATTAATAACTACGACAAAGCACAAGTGACCTAAATGTCCATTGACCAGGGAATGGCTAATAATGGTGGCATATCCATATTATGTAAAATTATGCCAAAGTTAAAAGGAATTAAGTATATATATATGTGCTGACATTAGAAATTTCTGAGTAACTGGGTGTGATGGTGTACCCCCATAGTCCCAGCTACTCATAGGCTGAGGTGGGAGGATCACTTGAACCCAGGAGTTCCAGGCCAGCCTGGGCAATACAGCAAGACCTCATTTCTAAAAAAGAAAAAAAATCTACCTGTTAATGTAGGTATTTCTGAGTCATGTTCTTGGAGGAAAAAAATCAAGTTACATACATTTTAATAGCATTTTTGTTCAAGAACATATACCCCAAATAATATATATTCCCTCTATATACCCTCTAAGTATAAATATATAGTGTAAGCATACATTTTCTACAATATGTATACATATACATAGTACTTATTATATGAATATAATTTCTCTATTACAAGTATAATAAAAATGCCACATATTTTATGTTAGTAAATATGTTCTGTAAGTTCAAATATCAAATGTTCCCTATAAGTGTATAAAAGGAAACATCTAGAAAAACATCTGAAAGGATTTACACCAAACTACCCATCTCTGGGAATGGATCTGGGATGTAGAGCTGGTGGTCAAAAGGTAACTTAAGCCTACCTGAATGTTTTTAGTATTTTAAAGAAAGGGGCACATATTATCTATTACTCGTATTGTCAAAAATGGATAAGAAACAAAAAATGAATGTAGAAAGAATAAAACTAAGGAAATGAAGGTTAGCATGATTAGGGATGAGGAAAGGAAGAAGAGTGAGTTATACCAGCTTTTTCTCTCTGCTTTCTCCACAAGTGTTCAACTTGTGATTTGCAAGAGTTTGCTCAGTAGTGATGCCTCCTGATGCAGAAAAAGCAGTTTCAAAGCAACTGGGAGAAGTATGTGTGTGAGTAGGCAGTCAGTGGTGTAGAGATGAGATTGATTCCAACATTTGAAAAAAGTACTGAAAGATTTGTTAACAGGCAAAATTCAGAAGGAAATGTGGAAATTTTACTTTTGTTAAGCAGATAGGCTCCTCAAGGGCCAATTGTTTTGGAGCAATTCATTAGTGTAGATAGAAGTATTATCTGTTCAGGCTGCTATAGTAAAAGCAATACTCCACAAAACAATAGTACATGAACATGATTTATCCAAGTTTGTTGCTACTTTGTAACAAGGATTGTCTTTCCTCTAGTCTCCAATAACATGTTCCTCACGTCAGAATGGTCTTTACTGTCTATATTTCTACTAAGTCTCTTCACAACTACTTAGGTACTCTCTAAGAAGAGTCAAGTTTTCTCTACAGCTCTCCTTTTCTCCTTCTGAACCCTCATCAGAATCACCCTTTATGGCCTGGTCTGTTCACAGCAGTGTAGGATTTTTCTAGGATACATGTCAAAACTCTTCCAGCCTCTACCCATTACCCATTTACAAAACTGATTCCATAGTTTTAGGCATTTATTATAGCAGCACCCCTCTCCCAGTACTACCTTTCTTAATCTGTTCAGGCTCTTATAATAACAATACCTGAACCTGGATGGCTTATAAACAACAGAAATTTGTATCTCACAGTTTTGGAGACTGGCAAGTCCAAGACCAGGGTGTCAGCACGGTGAGGTTCTGGTGAGGACACTTTTCTGGGGTGCAGACTGCCAACTTCTTGCTGTATTCTTACATGGTAGGAGGAGTAACTAAGCTCCCCGAGTCCTCTTTTACAAGGGCATCAATCCCATTCACCAAAGCTCTGGCCTCATGACATAATTCGTCTCCCAAAGGCTCCACTTCCTAATACCATCATTCATTCACGAACGCTCTGCCCTTAGGACCTAATTCATCTCCCAAAGGCTCCGCTTCCTGATACCATCACCCCAGGGACTAGAGTTTCAACATATGTACAGGTGAGAGGTTGAGTGGGGGCAAACATTCAGACCATAGTGTTGTTTAGGGCTTAGATTTGTGGTTTTGCTTCTTTGTTTAGCTACTCTCATGGGAACAAGACATTTAATACATAAATTTGTCCCACTATATTACCCCTTTCTTCCTCCATGTAGTTTGCTAATATAGCATACTGGTTGAGAACTCAGATGTTAAAGTCTGACTGGGTTTAAATCACAGCTCTGATGCCTACCAACTATGATCTCAGGCAAGTTATCCAACCTCTGTGTACCTCTACTTCCTTCTCCATAAAATTGAGATAATAATAGCACCTAGTATTGTTATGAGGATTAGATGAACTAGAAGTAAAATGATTACAATAATGCCTGGTACATAGTATGCACCGTATCAGTATCAGTGCCTTGTGTCAATATTATTACTTTTAACAAACTGATAATTTTTCAGTTAAATATTTAATATTTAGAATCAAGAGGCCATCATGAAGATTATGCACGTTTGCTTCAGACCAATCCCAAAATTCAGACAATCTGCTTAGGAGATTTAAGTTTTGACTGAATAAACTATTATTGCAGGTAGTAGGATTAAAGGTGAACAGGCAGGGCTTAAGCCAATGTTGCTCAGTTGATAGACATATCTGTAAGTATGCACAAGTGTACACGAGATGTGTGTTGCTATGCTGGACCACACGAATACAGGTCCAACAGAAGATGAGGCACCATACCCTGAGATTTAAATGGAATTGGTTTAAACATCTGCTAACATGCAATGGGAATAGCACATATTTCTTTCTATCTTGCTGGGCATACTGAGCTCATGATTTTTGCTTTTCCAGGTCACTTTTGGCTGTAAGCTACTGTTCCTACTGAATTATTTCATCTACATATCATCTTGCTGTGGATCAGCATGCTGTCCCTGACCCATGTTGCAACGGACAGTGTCCTTGACACTCCTCACAAAATACCGCTGACATAAGGCATTTGTGTGTGTACTGGAAGCTTGGTAAAGGTTGGACACTATAGCAGGACAGTATGCTACATAATCACAGTAAAGAGTCATAAATCTTTTAGCTGTTAACCTTCTTTTTAAAAGCAGTCTGGCTAACCTCACTCATCACCTAATGTAGTCAAGATGCTTCGTTGCAAGCAATAGTCACAGAAGTTTTGGCTGGTTTAAACAGGAGAACAACTTATTAAAATTTATTGGATAACTAGCCCACAGAATCTCAAAATGAACCAAAGAGCCAGGTTGTCTCCAGGAATGACACACAAAACCGTGCCGCAGAACTTGTCCAGTGAAGAAACCTCAGCTGTCACCACTGGGCACTGAGTTACATCGTGGCTTGCACAACTGACAGTAGTGGCCACCGCAGCTCTAACCGATACCATGGCTGCCGCTGCTGCTGTTGATACTCTTCTCCAGAAAGAATTCTCTGCAGTCCCTTCTTTACAGCATCAGCAGTCCCCTCTTCAAAATTTGGGATGGGTGCATCTCACTGCTGTTGTGTAGGTTACCTGCCCAAGATGTAGCTGCAAGAAAGGCTGAGAAAGTAGACTATTTATTTATAAGGTGAAGCATTCTCAGATCCAGGGGGGGTGCAACTTGTTTATGACAAGCGCTCTCGATGGCAATGTTTCTTGACCGTCAGTCAGTGTGCACATGAGCCATTTGGAGATCTTGTTAAAATGCAGACTCTGATTCAGTAGGTTTGGCATGGGACCTGAGATTTTACAGCACCCGCGTGATGTGAAGTTGCTGATCTGAGGATTACATACACTGAGTAGCAAGCCTCCATAGCACCAATAGCACCAATTTTCAAATTTGGCCCCATATTGGAGTAACAAGACAAACATTTCCTTAAAAAAAATATTGACTTCTGAGCCCTGCCCTCAGCTGATTTAGTTGGTTTGGGGTGAGGCACGGACATACAAATTTTTTAAATTTGTTTAAAAAATAGTTAAATTTATTTAAACAATAAATATAATTTTTAAAATTATATTTAAAAAATATAAATTATTTAAAACATATATAAAAAAAAGTTTCTAATATACTCAGACATCTTTCACTGCAGGCTCCAACTTCTTGTCTCTTTGCAAGGTTAATTTCATTTTTCTGAGAAGGAGTCTCACTGTGTCACCCAGGCTGGAATGCAGTGGGGGCAATCTTGGCTCACTGCAACCGCCACCTCCCAGACTCAAATGATCCTCCCACCTCAGCCTCCTGAGGAGCAGGGACCACAGCTGCACACTGCCACACCCAGCTAATTTTTGGTATTTTTGGTAGAGACAGGGTTTTCCCATGTTCCCCAGACTGGTCTCAAACACCTGAACTTGGGCGATCCATCGGGCTCAGCCTCCCAAAGTGTGAGAATTACAGGTGTGAGCAAATAAGCCAACCTGCAAGGTTACTTCTTTTCTCCAGCTTCCAGGACTTCCACTTCTCCCCCCAACCCCTTGCTTGGTTTCTCCCCTTGTAATTTGATTATTCTCATTTATTAGGCAGAACAATTTGAAACTCTACTCTTTAGTCCCTTGGGCCTAACTTTGCATATCTAAAGCTCTATGGAGTTCTGCTAGTCCAGTGTTTCCCAAAACCATGTTACCTGTTGACCTGGCAGAATGTGGTATGAAGTGACGCATAAACAAACAGTGTTTTAAATTTGAATCTTTCTGTATTTATTTTAATGTCACCGTTTAAAATGTAGCTAAAACAGTACATCTGATCTTGCAAATGTTATTGTTTAGGACAATAAGTTAATTTTAAAAACAGGTAAATAATAATAGACGCTCAGGGCAGATAAAACAAAAATCTTGAAAATGATTTGCAAGTGATTGAAATTCAAGTGTGCCTATACAAACGTAGCCTTCTTTCCAAAGCCGTAGGCTTTAGGAGCACAGAAGAACTGGCAGAGGTGTTCAAAGACACCAGCATTTTTTCTTCTCCCCCAGCATATAGGAAGAAATATAGAGATCTATTTCTGAGCTGATACGAATTATGCCACTAATCTTACTTAACACATTGAAATGGATACAATCAGTTTTGATCCTAAAAATTTTTTAAGAGATTTCATAAGATTTCAAGAAAACAGCACCAGCCTTTAAAAAATTCATGATCTAAAGAAAATTCTAAGAATCACTTATGAAATATAAAATACAAATAATGTTTGATCCCTTGACCAGCTAACCTTTAACAAGAAAATGGGTGAAACTGTTCAGAACTGTTAAGAACTAATACACAAATCCAGAAAGTGTTAAAACTCCTAAGCAGGCAAAATTTTTAAAAACTCCACACCTACTTACATCATTGTGAAAGTTCAGAACACCAAAGAAAAACTGATCTTACACAGCAAAAAGACTGACAGCAGATTTCTCAGTTGCAATAGAAACTAGAAGATAACAGAGTAATATGCTCAATATTCTGAGAGGGAAAATACTTTTAAACCTAGAATTATATATTCAGTATAATTATGAAACAACAGGGAAAAATCAAAATATTTTAGGTAGAAAAAAACCCAAGAGTTTACCACATCACACTGTCACACAAGGAAATTATAAAGAATTTGCTACAGGCGTAAGGAAAATGATTCAGAAGGCAGATCTGAGATATGCAAAGAAATGGTAAGCAAAATGTTACTACATATGTGGATGGGTCTAAAAAAACGATGTCTAATTTATATGGTGAAACCAGGATAGAGCTAAAATAGTGAATAACATATAAACTGAGAGAGGGGAGGGTGTCCAAAGCTAAAACATCCTAAAGGCCTTTGTATTATTCAAGAGGAGAGTAAAGCTATGTATTAGCTTTATATTTTAAGTTTACATTTTCAAATAGTAAAACAGTCACTTAAAAATATAGACTGCATTACTCCAAATAAGTTGAGGAAAAAAATAACGTGACAAAAAGAAAAAACACAAAACAAAACACATACACACGTGAGCATATTACTGTTATCTTCTAGTTTCTATTGCTACTGAGAAGCTTCTTCTGTAAGTTTTAACTTTCTTGTTTGTATGCCATTCTTATTCAAGATAAGTAGTGTTGTATAAATTTTTACTGTGAGCGTGTCCTTAAAGGATCATTTTCTTTCAGCCTAGGTTGTAGAAGGATTCATCCAAGTCGGCTTTATGTTTGCTTCTGCCAGGCATTCTAGATGCCCCATGTCTAGGATCTCTTTAGGCAGGAGAGAGGGTGATGGTGTAGGAGGACCCATTTCTTGGCTTGCAGATTCCAATAATATGTCACAGATTTAAACCCCAAACTTTGATGAAATGCAGGTCTAGGGTTTTAAAATATAATGAGAGTTAAATACGTATTTTCTTCATCCAGAGATGGGGCAAGCTTCCTCATCTGCTCGTTCATGGGTGATTTATATTTTCCCCACTCCATCCTTTTCCTAAGGATTTTAGGGACAATGGCTTTTTGCAGAGTACTCAGTTCCAGCTCCCACCTTGAGCCCTTACCTCCTGCCCCTAAACATCCAGACCTCAAGTTAGAGAGAGTAACATTTTGCCCACACCTAGGAGGACCAATCCTTCTGGTTTCCTTAGGGATGCAGGAATTTCTCAGTGCTAAAACCAGTAAGTCCTGGGCAAACGAGTATGACTGGCTGCCCTACAACCCAGCCCCCATATCCAGGGCAGGAGAACAATCATTTGAACAATTCATTGCTCTGGTTTTCAGTTGATTTTTGGTTCTTGGAATTTCCCTTCTTTTTTTATGGGCTTATCTGCCTATTGGAAACAAAACGTTATTTTTTTTTATCCCGCATTACTAGATGTCAGTAGTGAGACACGTCTCACGTTATAGCAGTCCAGCATTTTGCCAGTTCAAAAAGTCACATTTTAATTCTTTCCGTCAGTACAGAAGTGAAGTTTGAGGATAAAGGTCATAGCCACGTAGCCCTGTGTGCATAACCAGGTGCTGGAGTGGTCCCCAAAGTTATGTGATTGGCTCCACCACCTGCCCCACAGCTTGCTCCCGCTCTAGGCCCTTGCTCTGATCTTGAGAATGTTCTGTAAGTCTCTAGGCAGGCCTAGCGTCTTTCTGTAAGTCCTAGAAGGTGAAGTCTTCCATTAAAATGTAAAATCCCTGAGCAAAGAGATATTATTTTATTCTGTTCACTCCTGCATCTGCAGTACCTGGTAATCACAGGCACTCAGTAACTATCTCTTGAAAGAAGGAACATCCTGAATGTCAAAACTGGCGTTCCCTCCCATCCAACCCCTTATATCTCAAACTTGACAGAAAGGAGTCCAAGTTTCTGGCCTGTTGATGTCTCCCTCCGTTTTCCACAGACTTGCTACTATTTATTTCTGCAGGTACTTTAAAAGATTTTGGGGTGGGTGTGACGCTAACAGTGATTGTGCTAAACCTGTGCATTCCGGAAGCCATTTTGAAACTACAGCCCAGACACATTATCATTTTTTAAAACTATACCATATATTTCAGTATGCATACTTATTTCAAGGGTGTTTTGGAGGCGGTGCCTGCCTGGAACCCAGGCACTGGCCAGCACACACGCACGGCATACCCTGCGTACTCTGCGCACCCACAGCGTGGGGGACGGCCGTCATCCCCCGCAGGCCTCCACCCTCCAGGGGGCGGGTGTGCTGCCACCCATTGGCTCAGGCCGATACCACGCGCCCCGATACCCGGCACAGGAGCCACCTCCCAGAGCCCCGCAGTCCATGCCTCAGTCGGCCTGCGCTCCTCAGCCTGGCGGTTCTACCTCCGAGGGTTCGCCCGCCCTTGGTTTTCCTTACACCTTAGCCTTTGGCTCCTTTGACCACTCGAAGCCCCACAGCGTGTTCCAGCGGACTTCACCAGCAGACCCAGAAGTGGTGGGTGAAACACTGCCTCTGTTCCTCCTTGAGCCTGTCGGGAGCTGCTGCCTGCCACCACCATGGTGAGTTGAAGGAAAGACCTGAGGGGCAAGGCCTGTGGGGTCTTCACCGGTGGGTGAAACCAGGCTCCGCCTTATCCTCGGTTTTCCTGTTTCGGGGCCACCCCGCTGAATGCATTAGGAGCCGTGGCCCGCAGGGTGGGGTGAGGCGGCCTGGCAGCAGCGCGGCCTATACAGAGAGGCAGGCACAGAAGTGGCGGGACAGCAAGCATGGCGTGGGTCCCCAGGACGCCCTGCCTCACAGTTCACTTACAAGGGCCACGGCCTCCTTGCGGAACCCATTTCCTGCCCCGGGTTCTCTCCTGGCAGCGGTTTGGGGTGCGGGTTCCCCACCCCCACGCGTCCCCACCCCCACTCCTAGGCGCCCTTTCCCCCTTCCCCCACTCCCACGCGCCCCCACCCCGCCAACTTCACTTCTGACGCTCTCCTGGTGGCTCCGCAAGATGGCGGCGGGCCTGCTGAGAGACTTGCCTCCTTGGATTGGGAGGGCCGGAACTTCTTCAGGAAGTGGTTCCCTCCTGGTCCTTGTACTACTGGGTGGGGTGGGTTGGTGGGGTTTGTGGGGGCCTGAGTGTGGCGGGTGGGGCGGCCTGAAGGCGCGGCCCACTAGCTGAGGGGGCTGGGTGGGAAGTGCCTCTGATCCTTTCGCGGCTAGCAGCTGCTGGGGGCTTGGCTGATGGCGGCTGGCTGATGGCGGCTCCCTACTGCGGCGGCGACAGGCACAAAAGCTCACTCGACGCCATCTTTGTGGCAAGAGGTTGGCTTCGGCAGTTACCATTGAGAATTTTAGAATTTTTAAACTCCAGGCACAATCTTTCCCCCGTAGATAAACCAGGAAACTTTGACTAAATGTCCAATTGGTAGATAATGTTGGGTGTGCATTTCTGTGAGTTTGGTAAATGCCCAGCGTTCATTGAGCGCCATCACAGATGTGGCTCTGAATACGCTGACCAAACACTGAGTCACAAACACGCGTGTTACATGCTGTGTGCGTATCTGCATTGATAATTTTGTCTTTTCGTTTTTGGAAATAAAAGGAGGAGTTTTATACACGGTTTATATTACCATGTATAAACATTAAAAATACATAAGCAACTATAATGTGTAATAAGTGTGCAACATGTTACCCATGCTAATGAAAAAATCACCTTGAGTTATAAGTTATAATTATTTACAATAATACTTTTCATTTTTAGAGGTAGAGGGAAGAAATGCTTATCGTTTCATTAGGTTTTTTTCCTGATTATAAAAGTAGTGTAGTATATTTACTCATTTGAAAACAATCACACTAAGAAAATAGCAGTCCATGTTAATACCAACACATAAAACCACAGTTAAGTTTTGATACATGAATGCCTTTCCAACTTATTTTTATGCATGTATTGCAATTGCATATAGATAGGCCAGCTTTTACAAAAGTTACATAGTGCTGCTTAATACTATTTTACAACTGGCAGCTTTCAATTAATGTGGGTATTATTCTGAAGATAACTTTAATTTTCAGTATATCATGTTAAAAATTGTACTGTTGTTTTACTGAATTCCCTTATGATGAATACTTTTTCAGTATTAAAACTATCATGGGCTGGGCGCGGTGGCTCACGCCTGTAATCCCAACACTTTGGGAGACTGAGGCGGGCGGATCACTTGAGGTCAGGATTTCGAGAGCAGCCCGATTAACATAGTGAAACCCCATCTCTACTAAAAATACGAAAAATTAGCCAGGCGTGGTGGCGTGCACTTGTAATCCCAGCTACTCGGGAGGCTGAGGCAGGAGAATCATTTGAACCTGGGAAGCAGGTTGCAGTGAGCTGAGATGGTGCCACTGCAGTCCAGCCTAGGCAACAAAGGGAGACTCAGTCTCAAAACAAAATTTAAAAAATGCCATGAATGTCCTTGTGTAAATATCTTGGCACACTTGTACTTAATTATTAATTCCTTGAGATTAATTGCTGTAAGTGGCATTGCTGGGTGGAAGTGCTTTTGCCCTTTCATAACAATTTTAAATTATGCTCCTCATTAGTATAGTGGTGAGTATCCCCCTGTCAAATTATGATACACCTTTTCCAAGGTGCTCTTGGTAAAGCATGTATCAGTATTTTCCCACTGATGGTGTGTAGAGTGATCTCTGTTGCACACCCTTTCTAATGAACGGTATTAGGATTTTGTACATCGTCAGCCTAATAGCTGGATAATGTTACACTATGTTGATGTGCACTTTTTTGAATCATCAGTGAAGTTGAGCATTGATCATTAGCTTTTTAAATTTCCTTTTTTAATTTTATTTTTCTTACTGACTCATAAAAACCCTGTATTAATATTCGCATTTGTCATACATAGTGGGAAAATATATATAGTAGTAATGATGAGGTGCCATGGTGCCCTTACCTTATTCCTATTTTCAGTGGAGATGGCTCTAGTATTTCACTGTAAGCTTCATGATAGGGTAGAATTAGATTGATAGAAAGCAAGAATCCTCTATTTCTATTTTACTTAGGTTTTTAAAAAATTTAAAAATGAATGCTGTATTTTATTAAATACTTTTTCAATGATGAATTAAAGTAACGTATCCTGCGAATGCAGTATTCTTGCATTGCCAATATAAACTATATTCTTTCCTACTGGAATTTTGCATTTGTGTTGAGGAGAGGGTTGGACCATCTTGATGAGGCTTTGTTGCTTATGTGTTGTTAACCTTTGTAAAATGCATTGAGAAGTACTTTTTTCCTCTTTGAAAATTGAAGAAAAGAGTTTACATTTCTTAATCTCTTCTTCTATCTTTACTTCAGGTTTCTGGCGTCTGTGTGCACCTCTCTGTGACACACCACATACACCCAAGTTACATGTTTCTTTACAAGTTGAAAAAACTCCCAGGGAAACTAAGCCAAATACCATTGGGTGTTCTTTTTCAAGATTGTTTGGGAAGAATTAAAATTTCTGTACAAGTTGACCATGTCGTTGATTTCAAAATTTATTCCTATAGAGTTTGAGCATAACATTCTTTTATAACCACGGGCCACAACCCATTTTTCAGGTCTCATATATTTTTGCTTTTTCTTGCTTAGTTTTGCAAGGATTGTGTATTGCTTGAATTTCATCCTTGCCACCCACCACTCCCCGGGACTCTGTTCTTGGATTAACTTCTGATTTTCACGTCATATTTTCTTAATTTTAGCATTCTCTTTATTTGCTCCTCTTCCTATTGCTGTGAATGTAACTTTGATGACTACAAATGATAGGCTTTTTCCTGGCCAGTTTATGTAAATAACAATTTGCTTACATGTTCACATAGTAATTGCATTAGATAATACTGGCAGAGGAGCTGACATGGCAGGAGTTTAATGATAATTTTTTCCAGCTTTTAGCTGTCTTTGTCACTTGATTGTCCGCATATAACAAGGAATATGTTTGCTAGAAATAGCAATGAGAGTTGTGATTATGACGGTCTTGAAGCTCACCCCTGTTTACTATTGCAACATTTCTCATTTGAAAATTCAACAACTCACTTGAAGATACGGTTAAGAAAATTACTTCTTGTGTTTTGTGTTTTTTTGTTTGTTTGTTTGTTTTATTTTATTTTATTTTTTTGAGACGGAGTCTCGCTCTGTCGCCCAGGCCGGACTGCGGACTGCAGTGGCGCAATCTCGGCTCACTGCAAGCTCCGCTTCCCGGGTTCACGCCATTCTCCTGCCTCAGCCTCCCGAGTAGCTGGGACTACAGGCGCCCGCCACCGCGCCCGGCTAATTTTTTGTATTTTTAGTAGAGACGGGGTTTCACCTTGTTAGCCAGGATGGTCTCGATCTCCTGACCTCATGATCCACCCGCCTCGGCCTCCCAAAGTGCTGGGATTACAGGCGTGAGCCACCGCGCCCGGCCAAGAAAATTACTTCTTTAATGCAGTTTGTTTTCAGGATGCCATTGACGGTTACGATGGTACTTTCTTTCAAACTAAACTTTTGCTTATCCGAAGCATTCATTTATATTTTTGGCCGTAGTTTAAAACTAACCAAAGTTTGTCTGTTGATTGTGGATTTTTATATATACATTATATAATTATGTATAAGTACACAGTCGGAATTGAACAATCCCTGCTACTCGAGCCATGGTAAAAGTGAAGTACGTTGCAGAAAACGAGGTACATTGCTTACCTTGTTAGCTTTGAGCGCCACCTGCTGGCTGAGGACTAGGACATGATCATTACTTCCTTCATTTAAAGTATTATGACGCTATTAGAGAGATTCAGTGAATTTTATATGTACGATTCCAGTTAAGCAGGCAGCCGGTTTGTAAGATCCAAGCTAAAGTCAAACTTCTTAATAATATCAAATGCCTTTTTTCTTCTTTACCAAACTACGGTTATTTCGAGTATCCAAATGAGTATGAGAATCAGAAGAGACACCCGAGGTCTTTTCCGGCCATTCGTTTTCAAGCAAGGAAACTGAAACCGAGGTCATGAAAAGATTCACTTTAGTGAGCGATGGAAATCAGGTTCTTCCCAAAGAAGAATTTTCCTCTTCAATTCTTGTGGCACGGTGACAAGGTTTCTTAACCAGACCCTTTTCAAATTGTGCACCAAATACTTCCTTATGGTAGGAGGCTGTCTTTACACTGTAGGATGCGCAGTAGTGTGCCTGGCCTTCGGCCCATCAGATTCCAGGAATACATCTCAGTTGTGACAGCCAATCTCTAAACGTCGCTAAATGCCCCTGGGGCTCAAAAATCTTGCCCAGTTGAGAATCAGTGCATTTCCATAACCTCTCGTAGTCTGACACAGTTTTCTGCCAGATGTTACATTTCTAAATTAAAATACATCCAAACACTATGGTGCAGAGACGATACTGTAATATAGCTTGTTTATCAAGGAAACACGTACCCAAAGTTCATCCACAAATCAAGGAGGAATTGGAAAGGAGAAAAAGAAACTACAAGAATTTCAGAATTTGTTTTGTTTTGTTTTATTCTGTTTGGGATTTCTGAATGAACTGAGAAGGAATTGGTAAATTGTCTATAGGGAAGGGAGATCTAATCAGGTTCCCAGTAGTTCAAGGTAGTGCAGCTTAATGTCATTTGGAAAAAACAATAATGTGAGACATTTTTGAAAGGAAGAACTTTAAAAACAGTGTTTTAAATTTTTCTTTCACATCATTGTCATGAAATAACGCTGTTAAAGGAAAGAATTAGGAATTAGTTACAAACCCAAAATAGCAAGTACAAGCACGAAAGAATAGAGAAATGCAGTAACCTCGGCTTTAGTTGATTTGACAATTTAGATTTGATCTCTAGTAAAGCTGTGTAGAATCAGTAACTTCTAGGCTCTAATTAACAAAGCAGGAACCCTCCTTTCTTATTAACTTCTGTAACATTACTGTGTTCTAAAAGATAACGCAGTTTCTTTTGTCTTTTGTTTTCTTTCAGACAGGTATATGTGTAATAGCTTTCTCTTTTGCAGCATTTTGTACTGATATTTGTGAAGTCAACAGCACTTCACCAATGATTTTTAAATTAATGATGTGTCATAGTTTCCTGATGTGTCAATTAGTTCTTAATTAAAATTTTTTTCAAAATAAGTCAGCTAAATAGTGAAGCCAAAAAAGAAACTTGAAAACAAATCGGCTGAAAATAAATTCAAATAACAGGACACTAACTTACATTGGCACACCACTTGTACCACTTTATACGTACAAAATGAATTCACAGATGTGATCTCATGTCATTCTCAAAGCACTTTGCCCACAGATACATAGCTGGCAAGTAGGTGGCTTATAACCACTTACCTGTAAGGGACATAAACCTAGATCTCCTGACTGAATTAATTTTTGTTTCACTATGCTATATTGTTTCTCCAACGTATATATTACTTATGAATACTACTTCAGAAAATTTTACATTAACCTTAGAGTCTGCTGTGGAAAGAATAAAGACAGTTCTGATCAGAATCTAGAAAATTAGTGAGTTATATGTATGTGTTTTTTTATCTGAAAATAAAGATGGTATCATTTATATCTATCAGCCCACTGTGAAAATCAGAATTATCAGTCAGACTGATTCCGTGTTACTCAGGAAGAAAAATGTTATTTCAAAAGATGCTTTGAACACCCTAGCGTTAGGGAAGAGGATTGTAACAAATTGGTTTAAAACGTTGAGGCTTATTTTCTTTTTGGTGGGGCTTTTTTTTTTTTTTTTTTTTTTTTAAGATTTATCTTTAGTCTACTCAGTAAAGTGAAAAGTTGTTTATGAATATAGAACAGGATGATTTTAATAACTTTAATTTTTACAAATCTAAACTCTCTAGTTTTGGGTGTCTTTTTTAACTACTTCACGTAGTACTTTCACAAATACTAAATGGGTATTCTTCCACAGCATTATACAAGACTCGGTGATGAGCGGCACTAGGTTTAAGAAAGTACTGTATCCTTCGGTTAAAATTCCATGCTGATGTACTCTGATAAGTTTAAATCCTGAGCCTGAACTGAGCTGCACTGGTGACTGAATTACAATGAAAGTAATTTATGTAAAATATACTTAAAATACAAAAATGGTATTTCACATTATGTATGGGTTTTGCCTGCATACGTAATTATGATGTCTACTTTCCAAATTACAGTCTGCTGCAAATCCTGAGACTCCAAACTCAACCATCTCCAGAGAGGCCAGCACCCAGTCTTCATCAGCTGCAGCTAGCCAAGGCTGGGTGTTACCAGAAGGCAAAATCGTGCCAAACACTGTTTTTGTTGGTGGAATTGATGCTAGGGTATTGTATTTGTACCTCATTTTTACCTTAACATACATCATGAACAATGGGATGTGGGCCCTGTTACAAACTTAAATTTTTTTTTGTACTTCCTGGAGGTTTAGAATTGCTTTTAGGTTTGACCCATAGGTACTAAAAATATCTTTGACAAAGGGCTGCTGGTCATTCGGGGATAAATGGGGGAGAAATTTCCACCTCATGGTAGTAAAATTGTAGTAAAGTTGAAATTTTTGAATGCTGAATTTTTACTCTGACGTTCAGTTCTTTTCCATAGATGGATGAAACTGAGATTGGAAGCTGCTTTGGTAGATACGGTTCAGTGAAAGAAGTGAAGATAATCACGAATCGAACTGGTGTGTCCAAAGGGTGAGTAATTTTATCAAAAATATGTGAACTCCAGTCACCTATTCTATAAGTATCAGACAAGACTTCAAAACTGATATTCTGACCCTTGTATAAATGCAATATTCTGCAGTGTTAATTTCTTTCACGTAGGGGATAAAAGGCTATTACCAGTTCTTCTATTTGACCATTTTTCTAATGTTTGTATTTAAATGTCTCCAGTTTCTATTTCATACAGATGAGTTAATCAGTTTTCTCAAATAATTGTTTTCTTCATACACTGCAGAGCATCTTAAATTTTAACCACCTTGTCTTAGACAGTAAGTTAAACTCAGGTTCACAGATATGAATTCTTTGCTAATCAATAAAGTTGTCACACTGCCCTAATCCTAGCACATTTTGACATAGTTCTGCTTAAGAAAAAGTGGTATTTGTAGAGGATCTGTCATGTACATCTTAGCAAATACTTATCATGGTATATTATTCGTCTTTTGTCATGATCACTTCTGTATATAGAATAGTAGACCTTCTGAACCACGTACTGTATGATGGTGATTTTATGCTTCATTTGTCTGCCTTTATAGCTATGGATTTGTTTCGTTTGTTAATGACGTGGATGTCCAGAAGATAGTAGGAGTAAGTAATCTAATAGAAAAATCTCTTATTTATCTTATTGCTACAACGTTTAGTGTCAGTGATACACTCGGACTTGTGTAAAATTTGGGGAAAGACACACTTCCTGTTCAAAATCCAAACTCAGAGTAACCTCACGTAGCTTGTTTGATCCTGTTTATTTTTGACTGGACACCTAGTTTCATGAACTACAGACAGGAAGGGTTGGAGACAGGGTGATGGAAAGTTTTTGATCAACTTTCACTTGATGCCTCTTGACACTGATTAGAGTAGTAAGGGTAAGTAAGGTAGCTTCGTGATGACAAATTTTAATTTGGTGCGTAGTTGTCCCCGATCTTCTATGATGATAGGTACTTTAGAAGACTTCAGGTGTTTACCCAAGTCTTGGAAGCTAACACTTGAAAATTGATTCTAGTTTTGTTAACGGTTCTATTTTCAGTCACAGATACATTTCCATGGTAAAAAGCTGAAGCTGGGCCCTGCAATCAGGAAACAAAAGTTATGTGAGTAGGAAAAGAAATGGTTCTTTTCTGACCCGTGTAGCTTTTCAAATAACTAAAAATAGGCTTTTTTCTTCTTGCTTTTTAAAAAGGTGCTCGTCATGTGCAGCCACGTCCTTTGGTAGTTAATCCTCCTCCTCCACCACAGTTTCAGAACGTCTGGCGGAATCCAAACACTGAAACCTACCTGCAGCCCCAAATCACGCCGAATCCTGTAACTCAGCACGTTCAGGTAAGAACTGCTTATGTTCCTGTTCTCTTGTTTATTCTAGTCATCCTTCCCTCTGTGGAATTGTATCTACACTTTCCATAGTAAGTGGCAATAGAATCCCTGTTTGAACAGTGTGAGTAACGGGAAATCTGTTACTTTTGTTAGAAATTTCTTATTCTTCGTGTTCGTCATTTGAGCTAAGAATCTTCTGTATACTTGGCGAAGCTTTCTCTTAGAAATGACCTCTGTAGACACATGAACAAATCTCTTCCTATCTCTGCCTCTTTCACCTCATATAACTAGTTCCTAAAGTATTTGGAAGCAGCCCTCCTTATGTGTCTGCCTAGTTTATTGTTCTCTAAGGTTAGCAGTTAACCTAGCTATTCTTTACTTGCAGTGATTTCCAGATGCCTCCTCATATAAATTGCTTGACTTCTGGGTATATTCTGGTTCTGGGATGGGTAGATTTCTGATCTCTTTTGCTCTATCTAGAAATCCCGTGAGTTTCTGGCACGTAATTTCTCTGATGCTGGTTGCTTTGATATTTAAAGTAGGATTTGACATACTCTTGTCACTTACTGGTGATAAATAACGTTTAGTTTGTTCTTCGTTCATTTTATTTATGTGTTAGTTTTTAAAAAGAGGTTTTCTTCGATGGAAAATAAAGTAACCAAATAGTAGTGAATTAGTTCTTCAGTGTCTCTCATTTGTTGACATTTTCCATGTACTTGAAACGTGTGGGGTACACCTCTTCTTCTTTTTCCTTCTCTGAGCAATGGCTAGAAGAAAAGCCCTACTTGTTTGTAGCATTTACTGTGAGCCATTACTGAATGTGGGTGTATTGATGAATGATGCTACCTGTATGTTTTTAATCAGTAAGTATTTATTGAAAAGTAGAAGACATTATACTGTCTCTTTTCCAGCTGTGGCTTATTTACTGCCCTTAATTTGTGGAAAAGAAGTACAGAGAAAGCCGTAACATCTGCCGAAGAACTACAGTATTACCCTATAATATCATCAGATAGCAAACAGTCTAGAAGTATTTTGCCAAAGAAAGAGCAAATGTATTATTTTAACTTACGTTGAAATCTATCTTAATAGAGCCTTATCAGCAGCGTAAGAAATAACTTCTGGGTGGGCATAAGTACACAGTATAAATATGGTAGACTTTGGCCGGTGCAACAGTCACTTGTTTTGTCATTTGTCTCTTCCCCCTCCCCGCCCAAAGGGTAGCACTTGACAGAGAATATTTGTTTCTTCATGTCAGTCATTCATTTAGAAATCTGTATTTCTGTATGTAGAAAAATAATTACCATTTCAAGGTTTTTCGTATTTTTGTTATTTTGGGAATGGTATTTCTTTCTAGTTAAAAAAAAAAACACATTTTACCGTATTAATCCATTCCTTCTGTAAACTTTATTCTCGGCTTATTCTCCTTATCCAAACTCACCAGGTCAGGTCATCACTGGGTATCAGTTGCCTGTGTATAATTATCAGGTGATTGAAGAGGGAGTAAAATGATTTACTTTCAGCTACTACTGAGGCCTTCAACTTGTTTATACAAATTGCCTGAATAGTTTGTCCTTTTAAACTAGTGAACTGTACCTAAAATTTAAGAAAACACTTAGAATTAGTGTAATGAAGACCTCTGTAGTATGTAGAAGTGATGAAATAATATTTTGACAGGAGGGTACTTAGCAGTAACTTTTCTGCAGAACAGTTTCTGAGATTTGGTGTTCCTGTCTTGGTTTCAGCATGAATTTTGTTATCTTTGCTGTCAAAGAGCTGAAACATGGCAGACTGTCTTTCGTGAATTTTGTAGAGATACAGAGTGAAATAAAAGCTTTACCCAATTCTTAGAGCGCAGAATTCCAATTGTGTTTTTATTTTAGCTTGCTGCTTCATGATAAAGACTTCTCTGGGTCTCTTTTCAACGATACGAGTATATCTATGACCGATAATCGTATCTGTGGTAACAAATTCAAAGAATTAGTATCTTTGAGAGTTCCACAATGCCATTTGCAGAAAATTGGGAAAAAGGTGAGGTTTTCTATGTAGAAGGAGCAACAAGAACTTCAGGGATTAGAAACCTAAAGTACTTCTTTTTTTCTATTCTGTTTCTTTCGTTATATTAACCAAGGAGCCAGCATGAGAAGTACTTCAGTATTGTGTATCTCATGTGTTTTTGAAAAAGTACAGGAATATTTGAATAATATTGGTTTCCTTTTTTTTTTTTTTTTTCAAGTTGCCACCGCAGTGGCCTGTTGGGGAGCAAAGGAGTTATGCTGTACTTCAGATAAAGTGAATGCGCCGAACCTATACTCCCTGTTCTTTCTTTTTTTTCTGTGTCATATATGCCTATAAATTTTTTAAATCGTTCTTTGTATTAATGTGGCACATTTTGTTACTTTCTTTTTAACCCAATTTTAAACTCCTATGGGAGCAACAGTGCCTTTTTCTCTGTCAGGTTTTTGCGTGCTTAAGGAATGGCTCGTACACATGATGATAAGAAAGAATTCAGTAACTTTTTGATAGACTATACACTCCATGAAAGGTAGTATTAATAGTGGCTTTAGAATGAGCATGTATCTGCCTGGAATCTGCCTCTGGCTTTACCCTCCGTAAAAAAAAAAAAAAAAAAAAAAAAAAAAAAAAAGTGTTCAAGAGAAACAGAAATGTTTTGCTATTAATTACTCTTAAATAAGAGTAGGAAGAAAAAAGAGTATTACCTCTAAAACACCCGAACTGCTTTCCCCCCACATAACTAGTTCCGAAAATATTTGAAAGCAGCTGTCTTCGTGTGTCTGCCTAGTTTATTCTTCCCGAAGGTTAGCAATTCATCCAGCTGTTCTTTACTTGCAATGATTTCCAGATGTCTCCTCATATAGATTGCTGACTTCTGGATATATTCTGGTTCTGGAATGGGTAGATTTCTGATGTGTTTTCCTATATTTATAAATCCCGTGAGTTTCGGGCATGTGATTTCTCTGATGCTGGTTACCTTGATATTTAAAGTAGGATTTGACATACTCTGTCACTTACTGGGGATAAGTAATGTTTATTTTCTTTTTAGTTTGTTTTATTGATGTCTTAGTTTAAAAGACATTTTCTTTGATGGAAAATAAAGTAACAAAATAGTGGTGAAATAGTTCTTCAGTGTCTCTCGTTTGTTGACGTTTTCCATGTGCTTGAAACAGGTAGGGTATACCTCTGCTTCTTTTTTGTCCTCTGAACGATGGCTAGCAAAAAAGCCCTGTTTCTCACATTTACGGTGAGCCATTACGTAATCTGGGTGTATTCATGTGTGATGCTACGTATAGTTTTCAATCAGTAAGTATTTATTGAAACGTAGAAGACACCATACTGTCTCTTTTCCAGCTGTGGATCATATACTGCCCTTAGTTTTTTGAAATGAAGTACAGAAAAAGCCGTAACATTTGTAGGAGAACGTCGTATTACCCTATAATATTGTCAAATAGAAAACCCTTTAGAAGTATTTTAACAAAGAAATAGCAAATGGATTAATTTAACTTACAATTGAAGTCTGTCTTAATAGAGCCTTATCACCAGCGTAAGAAATAACTTCTGGGCGGGCGTAAGTACACAGTATAAATAAGGTAAACTTGTCTGGTGAAATAGTCCCTTCTTTTGTCATTTGTCTGTTCCCCTTCCCCAGCCAAAGGGCCTCACTTGACAGAATATTTCTTCTTCATAAAATCAGTCACTCATTTAGAATTCTGCAGTGCTGTATATAGAAAAGTAATGTTTTAAAACTTTTTCATAGTTTTTTATATTGGGAATAATATTTCTAATTAACAAAATGTTTTACCGTATTCATTCATTCTTACTGTAAACTTTATTTATAGGCACACACTACTCACCCAAATTCAGCAGTTCACGGCATCACTAGATATCATTTGCCTGTATATAATTATCAGGTAATTTAAGAGGGAGTAAAATGATTTACTTTCAGATATTATTGAGCCCTTTGTTTATACAAATTGCTTGAATAGTTTGCCATTTTAAAGAAGTGAAATGTACCTAAAATTTAAGACAACACTTCAAATTAGTCTAGAATGAAGGCCTCTGTATTATTTAGAAGTAATTGAGTAATATTTTGACAGGAATGTACTTAGCAAAAACTTTACTGTAGAATAGGTTTTTGAGATTTGGTGTCCCCTTCTATATTGTAGCATGTTTTTTTTTTTTTTTTTTTTTTTTAAATCTTTGCCGTCAAATAGCCGAAACATCCAGACTGACTTTTATCAGTTTTTTAGAGAGACAGAGTGAAATAAAATTATTACCCACTTTTTAGAGCACAGAATTTGAATTATATTTTTATTTTAGCTGGCTGCTTCACAATAGTAGTCCTCTGTGTCTCTTTTCATAGATATGACTGTATATATGACCCATGATCATATCTATGGTAATACATTCAAAGAACTAATATCCTTGAGATTTCCACAATACCAACCCCAGAAAATTGGGAAAAAGTTGAGGTTTTACATATAAAAGTAACAACAAGAACGTCAGGGATTAGAAACTTGAAGTAATTCTTTTTTCCATTCTGTTTCTTTTATTGTAATAACAAATTAAAGGAACCAGCGTATGTACTTCAATGTTGTGTTATCTCATGTGTTTTTGAAAATGTGAAGGAATATTTGAATGATTTTTGTTTCCTGTCTCTACTAAAAATACAAAAAATTTAGCCAGGCGTGGTGGCGCACACTTGTAATCCCAGCTACTCGGGAGGCTGAGGCAGCAGCATCACGTGATCCTGGGGCGCAGATTGCTGTGAGCTGAGATTGTGCCACTGCACTCCAGCCTAGGCGGCAAAGAGAGACTCAGTCTCAAAAAGAACAATGCTGTGAATATCTTTGTGTAAATATCTTGGCACGCTTGTACTATTAATTTCTTGAGATGAATTGCTATAAGTGGAATTGCTAGGTGAAAGCACTTTGCCCCTTGTATAACAATTTTATAATGAATTCTCCTTTTTAGTATAGTGGTGAGTATCCCCGCTTATCAAATTATGATACAGCTTTTCCAAAGTACTCTTGGTAAATCACGTATTAGTATTTTCTCACTGATGGTGTGTAGAGTGCTGTCTTTTCCACACCCATTCCAGTGAAAGTTATTAGTATTTTTTAAATTGTCAGCGTAATAGCTGGAAAAT